>NC_000018.10:47621244-47921911 GCF_000001405.40 Homo sapiens | reverse complement strand
ACACAGACACAAGTTAGGCCCATTCTTCTTACTGTAAACAGATGAAAATGTTGGATAAAATATAAAAGTTTTCTCTTATGTATACAGTTGATCTTGAGAGAGAAAGTGCCCAGGTACTAGAAACTTAGAAAAATCAGTCAACTTTAAGGGAAGTGTGGCCTTGGGGGATTTACTAGAGATAAGATTCAGTAGTTGGGGCTGAGGTTATAATGCCATTCAATGAAAGGAGACAGAACTGTGGGAACTGTGTGCTTAAAAAAATTAAAAAATGAAAAGTGTTCTGGTATCATTGAAACATCTGGGGCTTCTTGGAGAAAGAAGCCTCAGACCTCTCTATGGAGGAACTGGAAAAACAGTAGGCTTTAGATGGACTTTAATATCACAGCAAGGCAAGGCAGGGTACATGAAAACATCTACAGCTGCATGTGGAATAGTGAATTTTTGTATACATAATCCATGACTGCAATCCAAAATTCAGGGATACCCAGTGAAGAGTCTCTTTACTGGTCTGTTCTTTGCCATACAGTTGCCTTTTCAAAGGCAAGTAGCTTTACTAGGTTTTTGTGTGGTGTTCCAGAGATTTTATGCATCTATGAACAATTTTGTGTGTATATTACCTTTTAGTACAAGTGGTCACATATGTCACTTAATAGTACATCTTATTTTGTGTCAGTATGTAATGAATGCCTTTCTTCTTTTTTGGAGTAGTGGGTTGTATAATATTCTTTTGTATGGGTGTCTGTAAATTTTTTTTTGAGACAGTGTCTCACTCTGTCACCCAGGCTGGAGTGCAGTGGTGTGATCACAGCTCACTGCAACCTTGACTGCCAGGGGTCAAGTTAATCTCCCACCTCAGCTACCTGAGTAGTTGGGACTGCAGGCGCATGCCTACCATATCCAGCTAATTTTTAAAATTTTTTGTAGAGGTGGGGTTTCGCCATGTTGCCTAGATTTGTCTTGAACTCCTGGGCTCAAGCGATTTGCCTGCCACGGCCCCTCAAAGTTTTGGGATTACAGGCGTAAGCCACTGTGCCTGGCCGGGTGTCTGAATATATCATCAGTCCTCTGTTGAATGTTTCCAGTCTTGTGGTATTAAAAACAATGCTACAACAAATAACTTCGTTTATATAGCATTTTGCTCCTTTGCAGGTATGTCTGTAAGATAGATTTCTAGGAGTAGTTCAAAGAATATCTACATTTGTAATTTATTTTAGAGAATGTACTTTATTCATTTTTTCGAATAACACATGCACATGGTATAAAAGTCAAGGAGAACAAAATAGCAAATACTGAAAAAAGTAAGCCTCCTTTACATCTCCTACCTCCTGCTGCCCAGTTGTGCTTTCCAGAAATGTAACCACTGTTACTAGCTTTTCGTTTATCCTTCTAGAGTTGCTCTGTCCAGTATGATAGCCACTAGCCACCATGTGGCTATTGAGCTCTTGAAATTGAGATGGACCACAAGCATAAAATACACACCAATTTTCTAACAGTACAAAAACAGAATGTTAAATATTTCAATGGTTTTTAATACGGATTGCGAATTGAAATAGTATTTTGGATATATTGGGTTAGATTAATAAAATTATTAAATTATGATTTCATCTTGTAATTCCCGCTGTGATGGCATCAGGAAATGGGATCTTTGGGAGATATTGAGGTCAGGAGGGTAGAGCCCTCATGAATGGGATTAGTGCCTTTATAAAAGAGACCGTTGTTAGCATTCTGTCCTCCATGTGTAGATACCTGAAAAAAGCGGCAGTCTGCAACCCAGAAGAGGGCCTTACTTGGAACCTAACCATGCTGGTACCCTGATCTCGGACTTGCAGCCTCCGGAACTGTGAGAAATAAATTTCTGTTGTTTATAAGCCACCTAGTCTGTAGTACTTTGTTATACCGTCCTGAACTGACTAAAGCACACCAATTTTTACTTTTTTAATGTGGCTGATAGAAAATTTAACAATATGTGGTTTGCATCCTGTTTCTGTTGGATAGCACTGGTCTAAAGAAATCCATACATATATAAACATGTACTAACATAAGAATTCCACTTAGGCAAAATTTTTTTCTTTTGCGTTGTAATCTTTGGAATCAGAAATCTGCTGAGATATTGGTAAAGAGTGGTACAAAGCTGTTCTTTATGGCCCCATCAGTCACCCCCATCCATTTATCATTTGGCTCTAATCAGTGAAGGTTATGCTTCCATTGACTTCTACAGTGTTCACTTTGGAGAGAAGGCTGCCGTTGTTTTGGCTTCGTCTTTTTTAGCTTGCTCCGATTTGCACTGGTTGCCTCTACACCTAGTACGCCGCAGTCATTCTGAGATTTCCCCCTCACTAGCATATTAGGGATTGCCTTCATTTTTTCTTCTTTGTTAGATCTCCTATTCTTTGTGTGTGTGTGTGTGTGTGTGTGTGTGTGTGTGTGTGTGTGTGTGTGTGTATTTTTTTTTTTGAGACAAGGTCACACTCTGTTGTCTAGTTGGAGTGTAGTAGGGTGATCATGGCTCACTGCAGCCTTGCACTCCTGGGTTCGAGTGTAGATCGTATTCCTTTTTGTTTTACTAGTATCTCCTTTTGATGAGACATATTCTTCAGGACCTTCCTGGAGAGTGTGTTGGGGGTGGGGCGGTAAATACTTGGAGATGTTGCATGTCTGAAAATGCCTTTGTTCTGGCTAACATAAGTCTAGGTTGGAAATTTTTTTTTGAAAAATTATGAAGCCCAGAATTACGAAGCCATTGCTCTCTTGACTTTGTTTACAGTATACTGTTGACAAAACCAAAGCCATTTTGATTGTTTTCTATATAACCTATTTTTTTTCCTCCTTGGAAACTTTAAGCCCTTTCTTTGTCTTTGGCATTCTGGTTTTGCTACCATGGGCCTTCATGTAGGTTTGTTTTCATCTGTTTTACTGGGGTCTTGATGGGCCCTTTCCATCTAGAAACTCCCATCTTTCAGTTCAGGGGCTTTTTCTTAATTTATCTATTTGACTCCCCTACTCTGCATCTCTGTTTGGAACTGTTGTTGGGACATTGGACCTCTGGAACCAGTCTTCCAATTTTTTTCATTTTCTCTACTGTTTCCCATCTTTCTTTTCTACTTTCTGGAAGATTTCTTCTACTTTATCTTCTAGCACTTCTATTGATTTTTTTCCCCCGTTTCTGCTGTCAAGCTATGCAAGAGCTGTTAAGTTCTCTGAATGCTGCCTTTGAGAGCATGCTGCTCTTTCTTCAGGGTTGCTCAGTCTTATTTCTCTGGCCATGTTGATGTTTTAAAAATGTTTTCTTTCTCTGTATAGTCTTTTCCTGAAGCTGAATTTTTCTGGTTTTGTTTGACGTTTTTCCTCAGATAAAGTAATTCTTAAGAAGTGGGGATCTAAAAAGCTGATCAAAAACTCAACATGTGGGTGAAACTTGTCTCCTTTCAGTTTCACTGGAGAGGGATCTGAGCAGGCAGGCTGTTTGTTGGTAAACTCCCAATATTAGCATCTATATGCCTTTCCTCCTGGGTCGGTCAGGTACCCTAGTGAAGTCTTTTGATCTGAATAACTGGGCGGAGGTCTGGCTGCTAGTATTTGGGAGCCAAAACCCAGTGGAGGAAGGGGTTTGGGAGTCGACATTTAACACAGCGTGCTCATGTTCATTCACACCCTCTTTTCTTCCTACTTATACCCAGGCCATCTCCTAGTCCAGGGATTTTGTTTTCCCCTTTGCAGAAAGTAAACGTTGAGGCAGAGGATTAGTTATCCAGAGACAGTAGGGGCGGAAATCTAAGAACTGAATTCCTTTCTACAAAGCTCTTAACAAGTGCTACCTATTATTCCTTCCCCTGCCTGGCCCTCAGTTCCTGCCGTGACTTGCTGTTGGTTCCTTAACTTTTTGAGGTTTCTGTGTTAATCAATGGTTTTCAGCTTTTCCTACAGCTAGCCTAGAGTTAGTAGTTTCTGATCTGTTCAATTACTGCTCACCCATTTTCCAGCCATTAAAATTTTGCTTCTGTTTTCTCCTTACCTCTTCTCCCTATCCTCATGAGGTTTCTGGTTTTTAAAAATTCCCTTGGTTAGGCGTGGTGGCTCATGCCTGTAATCCTAGCACTTTGGGAGGCTGAGGCAGGAGGATTGGTTGAGTCCAGGAGTTCAAGCCTAGACAACATAGGGAGAACCCATATCTTAAAAAAAAAATTCTTTATGGTTTTCAATAGGCTGTTTTCATCTACAATGCAATGATGAGTTAAAGTTTTCCATTAAAAATTTTTTTACCAATAACTCTCCAAAAGAATTGAAATAGAATAACGTATAACTCCAAGTCAGTGGGGATGAGGGGTGGAAATAAAGAGAAATTGATCACTCCAGTATAAGGCAGGGAAGAAGAAAAAAGAAAAGAAAAATGCATAGGTATTAGAAAACACAAAATAAGATGGTAGAAAATAAGCTGAAATATCTCCATAAACCCAATATGTAATCTCAGATTAAACTTGCTGGCTAAAGGAGAACAAAAATTTAAAAAATCCAACCAACTGTATTTTACAAGTGGAGATACTCCTAAAAGTATGATGACATAGTTTAAAAGCAAAGGAATGGAAAAGATATACTAGGTGTAATTTATAAGGTAAAATTGGAAGAATTACAGGTATAAATCAAATCTATAATCGTAGTAGAAAATTTTAATATACCTCTCAGTAATTTATGAAAGGGTAGATTTAAAAAACTACAAGGTTATGAAGGATTGGAAGAGTACAATTAGCAAGCACCCAACAATTACAGAAGATACATTCTGTAAGGGGAATCGCTTGAACCCAGGAGGCAGAGGTTGCAGTGAGCCGAGATCATACCACTGCACTCCAGGCTGGGCGACAGAGCGAGACTCCGTCTCAACAACGACAACAAAAATAGTGTCAGCGAGACTCTGTCTCAACAACGACAACAACAAAAATAGTGTCTTTGATTTAGTGCATGTAACTAAGTTGAAAAGAGTGCCAAGACTGATAGAGGAGAAAAAGAATGTACAAATGTATTGGAAATGAAGGGATGGTATAACTGCAGACAAACTGAGATTTTAAAACTGCAAGAATACTGTGAACAGTTTTATTTCTTTAAATTTGGAAACAGGTAAAGTGGACAATTTCTAGCAAAACAAATTACCAAGTTGGCTTAATAAGAATTAGAAACTTCACTAGATTATGATTTAAAAACTTAGTCATGTTTAGAAATATACCTATACCAGGCGGGGCATGGTGGCTACCACTTTGGGAGGCCAAGGTGGGCGATCACTTGAAGTCAGCAGTTTGAGACCAGCCTGGCCAACATGGTGAAGCCCTATCTCTATCAAAAATACAAAAATTAGCCAAGCATGGTTGCAGTCGCCTGTAATCCCAGCTAATCAGGTGGCTGAGGCAGAGCCCAGGAGACAGAGGTTGCAGTGAGACAAGATCGTGCCACTGCACTCCAGCCTGGGCGACAGAGTGAGACTCTGTCTCAAAACAAAACAAAACAAAACAAAATAAATAAATAAATATACCTGTACCAATGTAAAATTTTAAGTCCTCAAGCAAAACACCAGACTACAAATGAAGACCCCGTATGGGCAAGTGCAACCAAACGTGAGGGATTAACTCTAATCTTATACAAAATGTTACAGAAAAATTATTTTGCAAGGCTACTATAATCTTGATACCCCAACCAGATAGTGTGAGAAGGGGATATAGGCTGCATTCTCACCAAAGAACATGGCAATAAAAATTGTAGTTTGTAAAATGTTAGTATTTACTCAAAACAAAAATACCATGACTAATTAGGGTTTGTCTCAGGAATGTAGGGATGATTAAGCATTAGAAAACTCGTAAATGAAATTCATCATGTTAACACATTAAAGGAGAAAGGCCATATGATAATTTTGATGGACAACGGGAAAGCATATGATAACATTTAGTACTTGTTCATGACAAAAATTCTTAGGAAATGAATACAAGAGAACTTTCAAAAGGGTGTTAAAAAACACAGAAGAGTACATACGGTATAATTCCATCTATATGAATTTCTGGAACAGGTAAAATTAATAGTAATAGAAGTCAGTAGTTGCCTGACGGGGGAAGGTGGATTGACTGAAAAGGAACGTAAGGGAGACATCTGAGGTGCTGGAAATGTTGTTTTTTTGGGGATTGTGGTTACATTAGTGTAAACATTTGTTAGAATTATTGATTTCATGCCCACTCACGGTTCGCGACCCTCAGTTTAGAGAAATTGTAGAGTGCAGCATATGGTGAAATGTCTTTTTTAGCAAAGTGTGTGTGTATATACTAGGTTGCATGTAAAATGTACTTTTCACTGTGGGACTTTTTTTGGTTAAAAAGTTTGAAAGTTTGAAATTTTCTGCCCTAGAAGAGCTTTTACATGGTATAAAATGATATATACCAGCCTATTCATAGCAGGTTGTGAGAGAGGAAAATTGGAAACCTAACTAGTCATCCAGAGTGAATGGACAGTGAACTGTGCTAGTCATAAAATGGAATGCCATGTGACAGCTAAAATGAATGAACTAGGATTTAGGATTATGTATGTATCAGCATGGACTGAACAGTATCACACTTTCATATAAATTTATAAAATGTACAGAACTGTATTGTATGGATACAATATGTAGCAAAACTGTTAAATGACCATGGGGGAACATCAGGATAGTGATAATCTCTGAGAAGCAAGAGGGAGGGAAATGTTATCAAAGAGGAATACATAGGGGGCTTTAGCTGTATTCGTATCTTATTTCTTATGTCTGATCAAGTACTGCAAAATGCTAAGATATGACAGCTAGATGGAAAGTACATGAGTGTTGAGTGTAATATTTTTGTGTAATTAAAGTCCCCATTTACAATAAAAACCAAGATACCTGGAGAAATAAGTAAATTTGACAAGATGTAAGATTTTTTATGGAGAAAATATGCAACTTATCAATAGATAATAAATAAATGGAAATACTCATTTGCATAGTCGGAGTACTTGATATCATAAATATGTTCTCCATAAACTAATATAAATTCATTGCACTTCCAATCAAAATCCTATAGGATTTTTGTAGAACATGCTAAACTTAAAGTAACCAGCAATACTACACATCTGAAAAATAAGGAAGGGGGGTCACCCTGACAAATATCAAGACTAACTAGAAAGCAGTAGTAATTAATATTTTCTTACATTGATGTTAAGTGTGAACAAATAACAGAATGCGTGTGATCAGACCTTTAGTAGGAATTTGTTATGCGACAGAAGTGGCATTATGACTTAGCAAAAGGTAAGCTTTAATACACAGGCTGTCCTTATGAGAGATGGTTAGATCACTGTCTCACCTCTTAAAACCAAATTTCTGATCTTTCTTTTAGAAACTTAATATGAAAAGTAAACTAAAGCATCCATAAGAATATCTAGAGGGGATTCTCTGTATTACGTCAGGGTATTTATTTGTGCCTCACATTCTTCATTTGTAAATAATAGTACCTAACCCCAGTTGGTTCTTAGGATTCGGAATTCTTGCTTACTGGACTCTTAGGCTTAAGCACTCAATAAATGTTTCCTACTATATTTAGAGGCACAGCAAGATTTCTTTGAAAAGCAAGGTTGTGGCATAAAAGATTTTTAATTAAAATACAGCTTTGTGTGTTCCAAAAGACAACATAAAATGAAAAGTCATTCTAAGGATTTGGAGATTTTTTTGTAATACATACTCAGTGATAGGGTTTATGTCAGAATAAAAACAGTAAGAAAAGGACCACATAGTTGAGGACTCTGGAAAGAGTATGCACTGTTGTTTAATTAAATGTGCAGAGAATGCTATTTGTCAAACTATAATATAGAGTTAATAACTTGAAGGCTTTACTACAAGTTCAGGATAATTAGACCTCTTACCTTATTGAAACTTTCCGGTGAGTAATCGTAGAATCCTAATTTTACTAAGGTATCATTTGGTAAGCTGACTTATTCAGCTGTAAAGATAGTCTTTGTGTTCTTTTGAAATCTGCATTATGTAAGTATCACTTATTGCTGGAATTAGAAATAGTGTCTGAACTTAGATTTCAATTCTTGCAGATGTTGAAAATTTATTTCAGTAGAGAACTTGCTGCCACACCATTGAAGGAAATCTGTATATTCTGTAAATGACTCATTCACGTTTTGATAGCAACTTGATTATAAATCTAGTTTTCTTTTTTGTATTTCATTTGTTTTTAACCTGGAACACATTGTTATCTGTTCCTTGTCAGCCTACATTCAGTCTATTTACACTTCAAAAATATTGGCTAAAAATGCTTCAGTTTTTAAAATAAAAGCTTAACTAATTGAAGATGTATTATCAGCATTACTTACAACAAATGTTATTTTATTACATAATTTAAAAATTCTCCGGAGATATTAGACAGATGTCAGCCAACCATGGTTACTGAGACATGCAAAGGTAAGGCTGGCAACTTTAAGTGTTCACTTAGTTCCAAAATGGTTTTAACTCCTCTTGTAAGACATGGGACACTGAAATCATGTGGCAATACCAGGTCATGTGGCCATTCAGATGACCCAGAATAGGCCTAAACTTAAGTTAGTTTCATTTCAGTGAAGAAACAATATTGTAAAGGTTTTATAGAAAACTTTTAGATCCCCAGGAATACAGCTTAACTCATAAGAAACATTTCTCCTAACGAAAGTGTAACAGGCTGGGCGCTGTGGCTCATGCCTGTAATCCCTGTGCTTTGGGAGGCCGAGGCGGATGGATCATCTGAGGTCAGGAGTTTGAGACCAGCCTGGCCAATATGGTGAAACCCCATCTCTACTAAAAACACAAAAAATTAGCCGAGCGTGTTGACGCGTGCCTGTAATCCCAGCTACTCCGGAGGCTGAGGCAGGAGAACTGCTTGAACCTGGGAGGTGGAGGTTGCAGTGAGCTGAGGTCACGCCATTGCACTCCAACCTGGGCAACAAGAGTGAAACTCCTCAAAAAAAAAAAGTGTTACAGAAACTGTTTACTCTCATTCCTCCTAATGCTGGAAATCCCTTTTTTTTTTTTTTTTTTTTTTGCTGTTTATACAGAAGTTTCATTTTTTATTCTTTTTTTAGGCTAAATTCTTATGAATGGAATAATTGAACCAAAGATACAGATACTTGTAGGGAGATTCTTTTATTTTGCTTTTTCTATCAGTTTTTCACAAGGAACAGAGAGATTACTCATGCTAACTCAAAAAGAGGTTTTGTTCTGAGGATATAATTGTGGAGCTGGAACAGGCCTGGACAGTCCTCAGAAACCAAGCCTAGAGATTGGCTGCTCTGCTTTTCTTCAAGACACCAGTTGTCTCTGCCTAGCTCTGGCACACACTCTTACTTGTACACTGACTGCTAGCTCCCCTGAGTCTACTATATTTTATGCTGCCTCCTGGCCATGTGATGAACATAGTTACTTACATAAAGGCATGTATAAAACTGACCCTTTAGCCTTCAGGGTTGCTTCTCTTTCCTCATTCCTAATAGTGATGAATGTACCATTACATGCCACTCAGTTACATTAGGTAGTCGGTCACATTAGTTGTGTTTCAATCCTTTTCCCTAAACTGCACGTCCAGTAGGTCATTCAAAATGCAAATTGTCACTGGAATAAATGAAGTAATACTCCTATCATTAGCAGTAATTTCTGTCTTCAGCTCTTTAATCTGCACTGGCCTTATTTTCCCCTCATCTTCTGCCACAGTGCTTCCTGTGCACCGTATTTTAGTGATAACCTAAATTTTTCGTCTCTCCTAAAACGTTTCCTGTCTTTAGAAAACATGCTGAACTTTCTGCCTGCTGTACTATCTCTCTCAATACTTGTGCTCTGGTGTCAACTTTAGTGTCACCTTTCCCTTCCAAAGGTTGAATCCTGTTCTCTGTGCTAGGATAAGACTGTGTCACATGATACTACGGTGTCTGTAGTTGGCTCCTCTAGAGCATACTTTGTGGCACAGAGTAGGAATCCAACAGGGGCCAAAGGTAGCCAAGTACACTTTTTGCTGCCTGATAGTCCCAGGTTATTAGTTGGTAGATGATTACATGCGTTTGATGGAGTTTTGTGTATTTGCTTTATTTTATCAAGTTACATACTACAGTGCTTATTTATGTGTCGTATTATAGGTCTACCACTATAGACAGTTTAACCGGGCTGTTAAGTTCACTGTTGCTCTTTTATTTGCATTACAGTTCCCTAATTCTATGCAAACCTCACTTTCCCACCATTTCTACTATATTGCTAAAGAAAGTTACATAATCCTATTATTGACTCCTTTCAAATTTTTAGTGTTTGAACCCTAGTTGGACTCCCAAGGTTGCCAATGCAGTATTGTTATGTGGCATTCCATACATCCCTAAAAAGGGTTGACATGGCCAAATTTATGAAATTTATGAAATTTGGCATGCTGTGTTGCCTCTTCCTGGAGGGAGGCCTTGGGGCCAGTCTCCTGAATTGAGCTTGAGGATGCATTGATTTTTTTTCTGTTTCGAGGGGCGTGAGTATGATTATATTAGGTTATGGCCATTATTTTCTTTTTTTTTTTTTTTCCAGATGGAGTCTCGCTCTGTTGCCCAGACTAGAGTGCAGTGGCGTGGTTTTGGCTCACTGCAACCTCTGCCTCCCAGGTTCAAGCGATTCTCCTGCCTCAGCCTCACGAGTAGTTGGGACTACAGGCACTCGCCACCACGCCCAGCTAATTTTTGTATTTTTAGTAGACATGGGGTTTCACCATGTTGGTCAGGCTAGTTCTCGAATGCCTGACCTCGTGATCCAACCGCCTCTGCCTCTCAAAGTGCTGGGATTACAGGCGTGAGCCACCACGCCTGGCAGTTATGGCCATTATTTTCTAGCAAATTATACCAAGGGCTGAATATCCTCAGTTTGAGGACCTTTTTTGAGAACATTCTTTTGATAATTTAAAGTCCTTTTTTGAGCTTTTATTTAATGTTTCTTTTTTAGTAAATATACAGTTGACCCTTGAACAATGGGGTGGTTGGGGTGCTGTCCTGCACAGTGAAGAATCTGTGTATAACTTTTGACTCTCCTAAAACTTACGACCTACTGTTGACTGGAAGCCTTACCAATACATAAACAGTTGATTAACCCATATTTTGCATGTCACATGCATGATAAACTGTATTCTTTAAGCTAGAGAAAAGAAACCTACTAAGAAAATCATAAGGAAGAGAAAATACATATACTATTCACTAAGTGGAAGTGGATCATCATGAAGGTCTTCATCCTCATTGTCTTCACTCTGAGTAGGCTGAGGAGTGGTTGGTCATGCTGTCTCACAGGTAGAAGAGGCAGACTGGGAGTCAGGCACATTCAGTGTAACTTTATGAAAATAAGCAATTTTTGCCTGACTTTTTGCATTTTCATTTCTCCAAAAATGTTTCTGTGTGGTACCAGTCCTCCTTACACCTTTTGCTTTAGTTTCAGTGCCCATGTAATGGAAGGATCTGTGTTATAAAAGAAGTCAAAAGCAGCCTTCAATAATTAGAACCCTATATTATATATAGCTAGATTGTCCTATGTCAATTTGTTTTCTGGCACTGCTTCTTCTGCATCTTCTTCCTCATCATCTGGAGCTAGTTTAGAAGCACTGATCTCTGTTACGTCGTCTTCTGTTAATTCCTCTGATGTGTGGAGTCTGTTAGCCCTTGAATTTCTCTAAAAAGATCCATCTCTTGAAGCCCTTCACTCCCCACTTTTTTTTTTTTTTTTCCATATCCACAATCTCTTATGATTTCCTCGATAGGCTCTGGTGTAAATGCTGTGAAGTCGGGCACATCTGGATACTGTTTTCTCTAGTAGGAATGTATCATTTTGGACTTGATGGCTTTCATGGTTTTTTCTATAACAGCAATGGCATCTTCCATGGCGTAATCCTTCCATACTTTGATGACACTCTATCAGAGTTCTTTTTTGTAACATTGACGGTCTTTTCCATGGAGTACTGTGTGTAATGAGCCTTAAAGGTCCTTATGACTCCCTGATTTAGAGATGTTATTAATGTGTTCAGGGACAAGTAGATCACTTTGACATATTTGGTGTTGGAATCATGGGATTGTGGGTTACCAGCGACATTGTCCAATGTCAAAAGAACTTTAAAAGGCAGTCTTTTACTGGCAGGGTACTTGACTTCAGGGACAAAGCATTGATGGAACGAATCCAGAGAAAAGCGTTCTGGTTGCCCTGGCCTTTTTGTTGTGGCAGCCGGTGTTTATCTTTTCCCTTCAAGGATTGGAGGTCAGCAGCTTTATAGAGAAGGGCAGTGCTGATCATAAACCTGGACATATTTGCACAAAACAGTAGAGTTAGCCTGTCCTTTCCTACCTCAGATCTGGTGCTTGTTTCTCTTTTTGCTAATAAATGTCCTTTGTGGCAGTTTTTTCCCCTAGAATACAGCACTTGCGCCTGCATTAAAAACCCGTTCAGGCAGATACCCTTTCTCCTCAGTGATTTTCTTAATGGTGCCTAGGAACTAACTCATCTACTTTGGTTGACAGAAGCTCCTTTCCTGTTATCTTGACATTTTTTAAGCCAGCCTGTTTCTAAATTCTCAACCATCTTTTGATTTCATTAAATTTTCCAGCTTTAGATCCTTCACCTTAATTTTGCTTTAAGTTGTCATATAATGACTCCGCTTTTTCTCAAACCATGTAATAGTCTATAGGTACGCCTTTCTTTATAGCAATCCTGTACCTACATAAAACCTGCATTTTCAATATGAGATCAAAAGTTGTTTCACAAAAGGTGCAAGATCTTCACACCTGTTGGCCTAGCTGCAGTGGCAGCTTCACAAATTTTCTTTTTTTTTTTTTTTTAGCTGTAGTTCTTACACTGGATTCATTTATCTTGAAATGGTGGGCAACTGCAGCTGCAGACCTCAGTCTGTGGTACATACCAAGCAATTGGAGTTTTTCTTGTAATGTCATGATTTTTCTCTGCTTCTTGGGAGCACTGTCAGCATCACTAGTGGCACATCGTATGGATCTCATGGTATTAGTCAAGGCTTATGGTATTGCACTACACATGGTGAAAATTACATGAGAAATGTGAGAGATCACTTTTTACTGTGATAATTTACTGGAGAGAAGAACTGCTCATGCAGAGATGATTAGCCTCACACAGTGGATACTCGCAACACTTCCGCTCACCGTGATAGCAACAGGAGGTGGCGATGAAATTATTACAGTAGTACAGTATGTACTACCGTTAATTTTATGTAGTTAATGATTTAATACTTCATCTGAATGTTTACATTTCTCAACTGTAAATGGCTCCATGTATGGTCTGTGTTTGTGTAAGTTTTGATAAATTTTAACTTTTTATAGTAGATTTTTGTATTTCATGATGGTAAATGATAGAGTAGTATCTACATATCTTTTATGCTTTATAACATACCTTTTTCTTAGTTTTTTTCAGTGTTTCTAGGCTACCTGGTTTATGAGTTTTTTTCAGATTGTCTCAAATCTCCAAGACATTTTGCAATGTTTCTTGAATAAAATCTGTGTATAAATGGACCTATACAGTTTAAACCCATGTTGTCCACGGGTCAATTATATAGCTCTGTTACAACAACCATTTTGTCAGTGCCTCATGTATGTTTGTGATGGCTGTCATTTGGGCTCTCAATTTTTGTCCTCAAAACAATACCCCTTCCACCCTCCATCCACGAACATTTGCCTACATGTACTTGCAGAGGCTATCTGCATGTTGTGGACGGAAACTTCCAAGCTTACATCTTTGGTCACTTGCAACCTCCTCCCTTCTGAAATTTGTAATGTGCATTGGCATGTTGAAGCTTTTGAGAAGTTCTTCAGTAAAGAAGTCTATTTAACTTAATTTAGGAACTTCTTAATGTGTTTGTCCAGGCACCTTTTAAATTTTTTTGAATTGTAATTTACATTGCTAAAATGCACAGACTTCAAATGTTCAGTTCTGTGAGTGTTTTTGAGATAGAGTCTCACTCTCTCGCCCAGGGTGCTGGAGTGCAGTGGCACGATCTCGGCTCACTGCAGCCTCTGCCTCCTGGGCTCTAGTGATCCTTTCAAGTAGCTAGGAGTATAGACATGCACATGGCTAACTTTTTTCTGTATTTTTTGTAGAGACAGGGTTTCGCCATGTTGCTCATACTGGTCTTGAACTCCAGAAATCAAGCAATCTGTCTGCCTCAGCCTCCCAAAGTGCTGGGATTATAGGTGTGAGCCACTGGGCTCGGCCAGTTCTGTGAGTTTTGGTAACTTGTACTCATGTGTGATTACCTCTCAAGATAGAAAACATTCAGGAATTCAACAGTGGATTTACAGGAGCGAGGGAATAAAACAAAGATAGAGAACACTTTTGTCACCGTAGAAAGGTACTTTGTGCTTCTGTCCAAACATTTCCACTTCTCTTCCTTAGTGCCTCTGAGATGGTCATCTTGACTTGTCATTAGATTAGTTTTGCCTGTTGTGGGAAGCCATGAATGAAATCAGTCTATATTTCTTTGTCTTTTGCCCAGCATGTTTTTGAGACTGATCCGTGTTGTGGAGTGTATAAGCTCATTCATATTTGTTCCTGAGCAGTATTCCTTTTTATGAGCACACTATAATTATTTGTTTTCTTTTGATATTTTGGCTGTTTTTAGTTTTTGGCGATTATTAACATGGCTACTATGAACATTCTTATACAGGTTTCTTTTTGTGGACATACGTATTTATTTTTCCTGAATGTGTGATACAGGGTAGATCTATGTTTAACTTTTTGGAACTTGCCGGTTTTCCAATTGTGCTATATACCATTTTATACTTTCATTTCAGCAGTTTATGAATGTTCTAGTTGCTTGATGTGGTAGACTGAATCATGGTCTCCAAAGATATTCAGGTTCTAATCCCAAGAACCTGTGAATGTTGTTTTATATGGCAAGAGAGACTTTACAGATGTGATTAAATTAAGGATCTTGAGATGGAGAGATGATCCTGGATTATCTGGGTGGGCTTTAAATGTAATGCCAAGAGCTCTTACTAGAAGGCCATAGAGGGAGATTTGAATACAGAAGAGAAGGCAGTGTGACGATGGAAGCAGAGATTGGAATGATGTGCTCTGAAGGTGGGGGAGAGAGCACAAGCTAAGGGAAGGGAGCACAAGCTAAAGACTACAGGTAACCACTAGAAGCTGAAAAAGGCAAGGACGAACTTCCCCTCAGACACTCCAGGAGGAATCAGTCCTGCCAACACTGTGACTGTAGTTCATTGAAACTGATTTTGCTAAATTTGTGCTGTGATTGCGATTATTTGTTACAGCAGCAGTAGTATACTAATACACTCCACATCTTCATCAACATTTAGTAGTGTCAGAAAAATTTTAAACCATTCTAGATGGTGTGAAATGGTATTGCATTATGGTTTTAGTTTGCGTTTTCCTGATGATTGGTGATACTAAATACCTCTTCATGTGCTCCTGTGTCTTTTATGACATGTCTATTATTCTTTTCCTGTTTAACAAAAAAGCTGAGCTTACCTTTTTGTGTGATTTTTAAATTTTGTTGGTTTATGTTACATACACAGATTTGAGTATCCCTTATCCAAAATGCTTGGGACCCGAAGTGGTTCAGATTTTTTCCAATTTTTAGAATATTTGCATTATAGCTGTATAGTACAATGACCGTTTTTTTGGGGGTGTCATGTTGGTACTCAAGAAGTTTCAGATTTTGGAGCATTTTAGATTTCAGTTTTCGGATTTGTGATGCTCAGCCTGTATTTTTTTTTTCTTTTTCTATTTCTTTTTTTTTCTTTTTGAGACATGGTCTTGTTCTGCCACTCAGCCTGGAGTGCAATGGAGTGATCTTGGCTCACTGCAGCCTCCGCACCCCTGTGCTCAAATGATCCTCCCACCTCAGCCTCCTAACTGGGAGCACAGGAGGCACCACGCCCAGCTATTTTTTTTGTATTTTTTGTTTTTTAGTAGAGATGGGGTCTTGCCATGCTGTCCAGGCTGGTCTTGAACACTAGAGCTCAAGCAGTCCTCCTATTTTGGCCTCCCAAAGTGCTGGGATTACAGGTGTGAGCCACCATGCGTGGCTCAACTGTATTTCTCTTGTGGTTAATGCTTTTTATGTTTTAAGGTCATGAATGTATTCTGTGTTTTCCTCTAAGAGCTTAAGATTCTGCTTTCCCATTGAAGATGGTATGCACTTGTGGTTGAGGCTTGTTATTTTCCATGTTGTTGAAAAGTTGTTGAAAACTAGATTGACCTTGGGCCTTACTGGAAAATGAGTTGACTGTATATGTGTGGGTCTATTTCTAGACTTGTTCTGTTCCACTGATCTTTTTTTCTTATGCCTACTCTATACTCTTGATTACTAAGTCTTTTTAGTAAGCCTTGAAATAAGGTGGTGTAAGGCCTCCAGTTTTCTTTTTCAAGAATGGTTTGGTTATTCTAGTTTTTTTTTTTGTTTCCATATGAATTTTATATCATATGAATTGCTTAACTCTGCTGGAAGTTTGGTAGGGATTACATTGAATCCATATATCAAATTGGAAAGAATGGACATTTAAGCAATATGAATCTTCAAGTCTATGAACATGATCTCTCTTTGTTCAGTGTTTTTCATTTTTCTTAGCAATATTTTGTAATTCTTAGTGTTGAGATCTTGAGTATCTTTCTTTAGATATGTAGAAAATATCTGTTGTTTCAAGCGTATTTCTTGAAATTTCATTTTCCAAATCTTGACCCTTTATCTTGAAACCTTGCTAAATTTACTTACTAGTTCCAGTAAGTAGATTACTTGTAGATTCCATGCACTTTTCCATGGAGACAGTCATATCACTGTAGAATATAAAGTCAGTTTTATTTATTTCTTTCCAGTCTATCTTTTCTTTGTTGCATAGTTGTCCTGTCTACAATATCCAATGCATTACTGAATAGAAAGGGTAACCGTGGACATCTTTGTCTTATTCCCAGTTGTAAGGGAGAGATTTAATGTTTCTTTATGACATATGCTAGCTCTAGGTTTTTCATAGATGTCCTTTTCAGATTGAAGAACATTCTTTTCTAGTGTTGCTGGGAGTTTTAAATTATAGATGAGTGTTGAATTAACATTTTCAGATACCTTTTTTCTCGCTCATTTGAGAGAATCATAGGTGCGTTTTCTCCTTTGTACTATAAATGAGGTGCTTGATTTTTGAATGTTAAACCAATTTTGCTCCTTGGGATAAATCCTACTTAGTGATGATGACCTTTTCTATTATGTTGCTGGATGTGATTTGCTAATATTTTGTTTAGGATTTTTGCATCTAGTAGTAACAGACCTTTGCTGTGTATTAGTACGGGATCTTGGGCCCAAGCCGGCTTGTTGTCCCTTTTTCAGTATCAGACAGCTGTTGCTTCTCATTCCTCAGCATCTGTGTGCCTTTGTCTGGGACTGGTGGTAGCAATGTTTCCTCCCTTCCCGTGGCAGTAGAATATGGTGGTTATTGTTACAGAGTGAAAGGCATGTTTGTGTGTGGGAGATGGGCAAGTAAGTTTTGCTCCACAAATCCCCCAACTCAGCAGCACATGTCTTTTGCTCTACCCTTCCCTTTGAGGCAGGGGATCTTTGCTTGCCCTTGGGTTTGGTAGACTTTCCTGCCTCTCCCGTCATAGTTGAAGGCATTTGCTTCATACGAGATGCCACCAAATGGGAGGAAGGAGCTCTCTTCCGTTTTCTGCCTTTTTTCAAGAGCACTCAGTTGAGGCCCTTGGAAAAGAGCTTGTGAATGAGTGCAGATTCTCTTTCTATCGAGGACTCCCAGGGATTTTAACTGTTATCCTAGCTCGGCCTTTCATCCTTACTTTTATCTTTAATATTCAGCAGGTTGACCATGAATGTGTTTTCTTTCCATATGTGGATTAATATCTGTCATCTCTTGAAAAGTTTATGGCCATTATCTCTTCATACATTTTTTTGTTCCCCATTGTCTTTCATCTTTCTCTGGCACCCCAATTAAACCCAACTGACATTTGGTTTTGGATATTCTGAGTCCCCCCCCCCCCCACACTGTTTTTTCCCTCTTTGTGTTTCAATTTGCATACTTTAATTTGGCCTGTCTTCAAGTTCACTGCTCATTTCTGTTAAGCCCATCTAATGGTATCCTTAATTTCTAATACTATAGTTTTCATTTCTAACGTTTTCCTGTGATCCTCTTTTGTAACTTTGATATCTGTGATGAAGTTTTTTCATTATTCATGTTGCTATCTCTTCCATCAGTTTCTTTAGCATTTTTATTATAGTTATCTGATTTTATTCATGTTTTGACTGTTTGCTACTCCCTGTATCTTGTAATTTTTGATTGAATGCTGAACATTTGTATAAAAACAATGGAGATTGAAGTAAATAATATTTACTTTTAGAAA
Organism: Homo sapiens; assembly: GCF_000001405.40. Classification (NCBI taxonomy): domain Eukaryota; kingdom Metazoa; phylum Chordata; class Mammalia; order Primates; family Hominidae; genus Homo; species Homo sapiens. The sequence continues at coordinate 47,903,517 of NC_000018.10, read as the reverse complement.
ATGGTCCATCATTTCTTGTTTTGTCCAAGTGTGATTTTGGATCTCTTTTTGGTTTATAGCTGAGCCGTCAGCTTTCTGAACCATGAGAAATTTCTCTATAGCTCAGCTGTCAATTCCTTGGTCATTCTTATTTTCTTTCCCCCCACCCCCTCTTTCTCTAGTCCTGCCTCCAAGCTTTTGTGCCCAGTGAGACATCTTTCTGCTATTAATACCTTCCAGAGGTTTCTTTTAGCAATCCTACCCTGTCTTCAAGTTCGCTACTCATTTCAGCCTCGGTAGATCAATGTCCTGAGTATCTGGGTGAAAGTTTTCTCATCTTTCCTGTCCTACCGCAGCCCTTGGCAGCTCAATGTCTAGACTCTCTTGGGATCATCTTTTTCTCACCTTTCTTGCCTGTCCCTCCCCCCATCCCCCATTGATGAGGGTAGATTTTTTGCATTTATGGGAGATCTTAAGCTCCTTAGGGGATCTCCCTCAGCTTTCCAGTCCTGTTCCCCAAGCTTTGACATACTTTTTGCAAGTACTTAGTGGAAACCTATGGGGATGAGTGGTTGGGGTGGATGCACACTTGCTCTGTGGGATCCTTGCAATTTAATATGTCATGTCGGTGTGCATGTAGGCTGGTTTCTTCTTTCTTTCATTTATGGCAGGATTATTCCTCACTAGCCGCTCCACCAGGAAAGAGACCATCCATGCAGCCTCTCTTCTCTCAAGGCTCAACACTTGGAATTTAGTTCTTCTTAGGCTGCTTTGTATCCTCAACTCTGGTTCAGAGAGACCATGATTTTGTAGCTTATCTGGCTAGTTTTGATTATTAGAATGAAAGTGATGCTCTGTTGTAACTTTCTACGTCCTAATCAGAAGTGGAATTCCTTCTATGGAATACTTTTTAAGTATATAGTCTGATAATACATAACTGACACGTTTTCTGTTGTTTCATAATGGTTGATTTTCTCAGGGCTACGTTTCTCTATTTTTTCCTGTTCTCAAATCTTAACTCTCCATCTCTGTCCTCAAGTGGTAAGTGATCTTGTGTCTTATTTTGAAATTAAAGTCATCAACAAATTATTTCAACTCATAGATTTATAGTTGTGGAAGACTTACTATTCAAATGGAATTAGAACGTTTTGGGGGATAGGATGCAGTAGTTCTTGGTAGTCCAAGACTCTTAATAAAACAACTAGAAAAGCCAGGTAATTTACAAAATTTATATATTTAGCGATAGAGAACAATGGGTGTAAAAATGATTAAAGAAAGCAAAATTTTGCACCCTGGGGGAATACCTTTCACAAGTGAGCTGAGAGGTCTGCAGCTGATCATTGTTTTTCCTGGGTACAGAGTAGAGGAGGCCTTTGGGCTGCAGCCTGAGTGGCAGATTGGAAATATGAGGGGCCTTTAAACACAGAGAACGCCCTCAGTATATTCCTAAATTCTGTAGTTCAGCTGGGCGGAAGAGATAAACCAAAATCTCAGAAAAGGAGATTGGGATATTTTCTAGTCCTATGGTGTTGAGATAAAGATTCTCTAGGGGAAGCGACTTGAGAACAATAGGTGAGAGTTGAAAGCGTTTGAGGAAGTGGTGAATACACACTGATGATTTTCAACACACCCAGTTTCTTCCCCCGTAGACATTTGCCAAATTCTGAAGCTGCTTAGGCTAGAGAGCTAAACCAGAAGTCTCTTAAAAACAAAGCAATTCTTATAGTATCTAGGTACCTAGAAGATAACGATCTGCTAGCTTTTGAAATGAAGGCTCTGCAGAGTCTCATCCTAGGAACAGGGACAAACCAGAGGTAGTCTCCTTCATAGCAAAACTGCTACTCAGCAGTGTTCTATGATTCTGGCATTATAGAGGAAGTAGTAAAAGTATATGTATGAAAATTGTGTTAAGTGAAGGATGAATAAGAAAATATCTAGGGTAACCACTAAAAGAAAAGAATGTAACAAATGAATACAGAAAAAAATTGGATATAGAATATGTGATAAATTCAGAAGAAGACAAGAAAGAAAATATAAAACAAGCAGGCAACTAAATTAGTAATTATGTTACATGGAAATGGGCTAAATATTTCAAGTAAATGGCAAAAATCATCAGACTGGACAAATAATAATTACCTAAATATAAGTACCTAGAAAGATTGAGAGAAAATGATGCGAAAAGGTATACCATCCAAATGCTAACTGAAGGAAATAAGTGTGGCTATACCAATCAGGCAAAGGAGACTTTAATACAATAAACAGTAGTAGAAAAAGAGAACTACATTTTATAGTGTAAGGGGATTGATCCACCAGAGTTACCACAATCCTTTATGTGTACCCAGTAAAATAGCCCAAACATCTATAAACCAAAAATTTTATTTTGAACTAAAAGAAACAGACAAATATGCCATCACAATGGATGCACATATATAGGACATACATACATCACAATTAGCAGGCTTGATCTAATTGTCATATGTAGAACATTGAAACTATTAATGGTGGTATTAACCATCTTTTCCCTTGCACATGGAAATTGTACTAGAATTGACCATAAGCTAGGGCCATGAACAAAGCCTCAGCAAATATCATTGATTTTAATAATTGAATATGTTGTTTGTATTATAGTAAATAAAAATAACTAGAAAATTCCTAGCTGCCTAGAAATAAAACACTATGCTTTTGAATAACATATGACTTAAAATAAGAATTTATGATGGCTATTAGAAAATATTTTAAACTGATTGAAAATGAAGGTGAACTACAATGATCTAGATTGCTGCTGCTGAAATGCTAAGATGAAATTTATAGCCTTAAGTCTATGCATTGGAAAAGAAAGCTTTTTTAAGGAGGTAGAAAAGGAATAGGAAATCAAACCTAAAGACAGTAGAAGTAAAGAAATAATGAAGACAAGAGCAGAAATTAGTGAATAGAAAGTAATCTTACATAGAGAAAATTGACAAAGCTAAGAAAAAGTTGGTTCTTTGAAAAGATTAATGTAATTGACCACTTAGCAAAACTGATAAAAGGAGGATGGGGAGGGGGAGAGAGAACATAAATTTAAATAATAGGAATTGAAAAATGTCACATCACTACGGATCCTACAGCCGTTAAATAGAGGCATTTATGAACAGTTTATGGAGAATATGGGATAGGCAGAGTAGGCAGAAATTTTGAGTAGTTAGGGCTGGATCATTCAATATGGGTAGGCAGCACCTTTGTGTAGCTATTGAGTACTTGAAATGTGGCTAGTCCTAGTTGAGTTGTCCTGTAAGTGTAAAGTACTCAACAGATTTTGTAGACTTAGTATGAAAATTTTTTTTATATTGATTGCAGGTTGAAATGATGGCATTTTGGATATATTGGGTTAAATACATCATTAAAATGTTGCCTATTTTCTTTCCCTTTTTAAAATGTCATTAGAGAACTTAAAGTACATATGTAGCTCATATTACATTTTTATAGAGGTTGTTATATTGGCTTTAAGATAGGTACTGTTATCCTTATTTTACAGCTGAGAAAACTGGGGTGTATAGAGGTTGCCATGCAGCTAGTAAGTGGCATCCTTGGGATTTGAACCTGGCCAATTGGCTTCAGAATCTGTTCTCTGAAGCATTACACTGTTTATGGGTTCTTAAAGGATATTAAGTCATTTTACTGTTACTTTTTGCAAATATTGAAGGATTTTTAGTAGTAGGGTGACATGCAGTATGCATTTTAGAAAGCTGTTTGCATCAAAGAAGGTAGAAGGTGGTGACTGAAAGACTAGTTAAATGATTTGTAGATTGAGAAAGGAGTTGGAGCTAAATGTGTCATTCTAATCCTATCTAATGGACTAATTTGTCAGGCACAGATAGCTCTGTTGATTGTATAAAGAGCTCAGCCTTTAATGGCTCTTTTTAGGTCTCCAGATTAGCTTCAGATTGTTATGTGCAACACAATGCATTGACACAATTAAGTACTTGTTCTCTGGCATCATGCTGCTTGATATAAATCCTAGTGTTGGCACTTAAAAGTTGTGTTACCATGTTGTGTTGCTATAAATTGTCCTTTGTATTCATGACACCTTTCTCCCTAATCATCCACTTTTTTTCCACATTTGATAACTCCTTTATATGTATTTCTTAGAATTTTTTTTTCACTGAACTTGGCGCTTTCTGAGCTCTCCCATATACCAGCATTGCGTTTCATTACCACATGACAGTTTGATCTCTCTGCTAAGCTCCAAACCTTTGTTTCTAGCTGCTTATCGGGCACCTCCTTCTGGAATTTCATAGTCACAGCAAATTTAGTTTGACTAACACAACACTTATGTTCCCCAAATACTTCGTATTTTGGCGAATTGTATTTTCATTCAACTGGTTTTTCAAGCAAGAACCTGTAATTTGTAACTTTTTCTTAATCAACTCTGTTCCTTCTATGTCCCTAATAGCTATTCTTCCTTTTGTGTATTGCAATTCTCTGCTGGTTGATCTCTCTGCCCTTAAAAACTTACCCCTTCTCCATTCCCCACTGCCAATACCTTGCTACAAAGGATTTCTTTTGTCCTACCCGTCCCAGCTCAACAGTGTAGTTTGCAGATGAATAACACAGACTGGATTTGAGAATAAACAGGTAAATACAGGCACAATAGACAGGCAAAAAAAAAAAATTGTTGAATGCAAAAAGGAATGAATAAATGGCAAGCTGCCAAGGAAGTGCAAATATTTCCTCAGGAAAATCTTTCCTGACGCCTAAAGCAAAATCAGATGGTGTTTCTTTGTGTACCTGTAATCCCCCTTGCAATTTCTCTTAATTGTCATGTGTATTTTAATCATGGCAGTCTTCTTCACTAGTCATTGACCATCCTGAGAAGAGGGAATATTTAAAAAAAAAAATTATTCTTCCATGTGGTGCAAACCAAAATAATGGAATTATGGAGAGGTTAGAGCAGGAATGCAGTTTGTGTACATTGGAAATGAATCTTAGCATATAATCTATGAAAATTAGCCATGTTCTTTGATGGGAAATAAATTTGCATCTTGTGTTAGGATCTTCTTTAACGTTAAGAATATGTGCAAAGTGTGCTTAAAAACTGTTTTTTTCCTTTAAAAATGTTTTATCCAGTTTTTTGTACACACATACACAAAAACATACACAATGGCCATATCATTCAGCCTTTTTCATCTTTTCACCCCCTTTTCTGCATATTGGTATATCTGCAACCCATATTAATATCCTAGATTTTTGTTTATACACGTATAATCCAGTTACTAGTTGTAACACGTGGCACATTGCCAGATTACTTAGAATAAAGCTGTCACATTTGACCTTTTCACCAGCAATGTGGAATGATAACAATTTCTTCACATCTTCTCCAGCAGTAGGTATTTTAATTAATTCAATTTTTGCCAGCTAGATTGGGCATGAAATGATGCCTTATTATTATTTTAACTTGTACTTCCTCCTCTACGTTTAAAAACTATTGTCTGATCATTATGATAATTAAGGAACAAACTAATGAAAATGTAAGCATCATTGTTTTCTTAAAGATACACTTTGAAAACTACAATTTCAGTATTTGGGGTGTGTGATGTAAAGACTACAGACCTCTTTACTTTCTAAAAAGGATGCCTTTTGGGAACTTTATTAAATATGGCAAATTGAACACATTCATTTTCCTTTTTCCTATATCTCACTAAAATTGAAGGCAAAGGAAAGAAAAGCGTAAGAGCTAAGATATTAAGAGCTTCTGGAGCGAAACAATTTTTAAACCCCAATTAAAGGATCAGGAATAAAAGTTATGTGGGACTTACCAGTATCAGTAGTGGAGTCTAGAAAATTGAGGGGACAGTGCTTTCTAAATTCTGTGTGAACTGATAAGGAATGACCTACAGGGAATTAAGCAAAAAAATAAAAATAAAAAAATAATTTCAAGATATACAAAATAAGGAATATTATGCTACTTTTGTACAGCAATAAGGTGGGAATGTGGTTAGTTGTATGTATACATGTTTATATTTGTAAAATGACGCTGAATAGACAAAACAGCTTAATAAAAATGATTCCTATGGAAGAGAAAAGACAAGGTACAATTCCTTAAATTGGGAAGAGAAACTATCTGACTTTACTCACTATGCAAATTGTTATTTAGATGAAAATGAAAAAAACATGTGTTAAAAAATTTCTCTCAAGAGCAGGTGAAACCGGACTACAGCTTTTCTCCACGGACTCTGTTTGCCATGTTTATTTCTTTATTCTTGATTACTTCACACTTTACGCATTTTCCCTTCTTGTAACTGTAGATTTTGCCTCCTATTAGTTATGAAAGTTTAAAACCCGGGGGAGAGTGGGCTTACAAATTTTCAATGTATTTTTGTATAGTCTTTTGAGATTAGAGTGAAGTTCTAAAAAGTAAGAGAACCTTTTGTGAAAATATTTTAATTGACACTACTAAGAGTTTAAAATAGTATTGGTGGTGAAAAATCGTTAAAAGTATCTGATTTTACTTGCAAAATTACTGTATTTTCCCACAAGAGGAGTCCTTACAACATTCTTGTTTTTAGAAGGGTTTGTTTCCATCATTCATTTAAATTCATAAAGATAACGTTTTCATGGGTGGAGAAGTCTATTGGGAAAGTCATAATTCGAATTTCTATCTTGCTTTGCAGTTTGCTTTCTATGATAAGTTGAAATTATTACTTGATGTTCAAGGTAGTCTCTACATCATCCTTTCAATATTTCTGCTAGGTTCGATACAAGAGGCTGTTTTCCTAGCGTGGCTTGCTGCCTTTGGTAAGAACATGTCGTCCATCTTGCCATTCACGCCGCCAGTTGTGAAGAGACTGCTGGGATGGAAGAAGTCAGCTGGTGGGTCTGGAGGAGCAGGCGGAGGAGAGCAGAATGGGCAGGAAGAAAAGTGGTGTGAGAAAGCAGTGAAAAGTCTGGTGAAGAAGCTAAAGAAAACAGGACGATTAGATGAGCTTGAGAAAGCCATCACCACTCAAAACTGTAATACTAAATGTGTTACCATACCAAGGTAAGTTTTGTTAGATCCCAGGTTTGATCAAATTATGTCAAGGAATCTGAAGGAAAGTTACTGAATTTGTGTTCCTTTCAAGTTGCCTGTAAAAAGTGATGATTGAAATATGACTGTTTTTAACCTTGTATAAATTGTTTTTGCTAGCTGACTTGTTTTATAAATTATTTTCTTGAATAGTGAGGTTTAATCAAGCTAAATAAGATACTTAGATTTATTATCTTCATTGCCTACATTTGTATGTTATCCTCATTTCCGTGATTGAATGATACTTGAATAAAGAATTGAAGCTTTTTCTATCACTAACATAGTAGCAACCTACAGTTTTCTCCTCCTTTAGTCAAAACTTTCATCAGGGGTGAAAAGAGGCTGCTCACTTTTTAATGAATTTTATATGGTTTTTCTTTGCGTTGCAGCATTGCTTCCAAGAAAGAATAGTGTGTTAGGTGGCTTCTTAATTGTTGTAGGCATTAGTCAGAACCTGTCTTAAAGACCTGCCTCTTAGGTTAGGAGGACCTGTTACTTTAAAAGTCTGAAGTTTTCTGAGGATAAATTTAATCATTTACAGATAAGTACCACTGTCATAAGTATTGTTTTTTAATTAAGTGACAGGTGTTTTAAAGTGTGTTTTACTACTTGTGTACATTACAGATTTTGGGGAGATTGTTAAATGTAAGAATTCTCTAAAATGATAGTTTGCAGTGTCATACCGTGGGCTAGCATATAGCATGTGAAACCATTCTACTTGACTTTGAACTTTGAGAAGTACACTTTTGATGCTTATAGATAACAGATCCCAATAACACCAGTGCAGCCTGTCTAGTTGCAAATACTAACAGTAGAATGTTTCTTGCCTTGTTTGGTAGACCATCCATTTCTTTCCCTTACTTGTTTTATGTATATCTTAAAGGTTGCTTTTTTGGTTTGTTGATTTGTTTTACAAATGCTTATTGAGTGTTTGCTATGTAGAAGGCACTGTTTCTAGACATATGAGGATAACAGTGATTAACAAAACACAAAACTCCTGCCTTCCTAAGGGATAGAAATACACGATAAACAAGTAAACAAATTAATTATAATTTGATATGGTAATGAGTGCAAAGAAGACAACCAAATGCAGTGATATGATAGAATGAAGAATTAAAAAGCTGCTTTGGGTCGGATTGTGATGCTTGCGTGGAGCTTGGAGAAGCAGCAGCCAACTGAGGGAAGAGTCTTCTAGGCAGAGGGAAGAGCCAGAGTGAAGACACTGAGGTGAGCTTCTTGTATTAGAATATTTAAAAGGAGCCCAGTGTAGATGGAGGACAAGACTTGCCCAAAGCTTATACAGGGCATCCTAGAGTGTGGTGAGAGTTTGAATGTTAGTCTGAATATAACAGGATGCAAGTAAGTTTATTCTGATGGATTTTAAAGAGGATCTTACATATTTTTACAAAGATTTTTCTGGCTGCGGGAGAGTGGTATGTGTGTAGTAGGGTAGATGGAAGCAGGAAAATTAGGAGGCTGTGAGGAATCTAAATGCAAGACGATAGAGGCTGGACTGGCGTGGTGGCTGTGCTAGCACACGAAGTAAACAGATTTGGCATGGGTTTTAGAAGTGGAACTGAGGACTTCCTGGTGAATGGGCTGAGAAGTCAAGCTATATTTCATTCTTCATTGTGTAGTGCTTGGGATTTCAATTAGGTAACCATTTATCATATGCCCACTATGTGCCTGGTGTGCTCTTCCTCACTGGAGTTAAGATACAGTGTTTGCTTTTAAACTACTTACTTCCTAGTAAGGGAGATAAACTTAGAAAAAGATGGTTTCATGAGGCTTGGTAGATGTTATAAAAGAAGTATGCTTGGGGCTATATCCAGAGGAGGCTTGTGGAAAGTTTCCTTCTGGAGGAATACTGGTGATTTTGAGTTGAGCGGGGTAAAGGAGGAATTAGGAGAAGCCTGTTTCATCACATGTAGTGCGGTGGTGTGGAGATTGGGAGGTGGGGGAGGATTGGTGAAGCGTTCCAAACAAGTTGGGTATCCTTAGAGTATAAAGTAAGGGGTGGCAAATGGCCATAGTGTGTATAGGTAGTAAGGAGTCACTTCATGCTGTGCCAGTGTTCACACTTAACCTGAGGGTGACGGGTGAGGTTGGGGCCGTTTAAGTGCCGTAGGGTCTGAAGGCTCAGAAGTCAGATTAATTTCAAGTGCAACGTGGGTTGCAGCGAGAAAACTCCTTGAGGCTGTCAAGAATGGAGGCCGGGAGACTGGTATCACTTGATTGAAGGGAGCTGTGTGATACAGCAGAGATAGAGCCATGTTTTTGCACAACTTCAACAAGGCTCAAGTTGCCATTGCAGTGAGGTTATCCAGAGCAGAGCCTGAGAGAGTCTAATCTTTTAGGGAGGTACAGCAGTACTAAAATTGGCCATTGCTGGTATTTAACCTGTGGAGGAGGTCACCTTAGTCATAGCTCTTTTCCTTATTTCCCATTCTTTTTACAGCCTCTTTTGGAGATAGAGATCTCTGAGAGCTCATATTCTGGAGCTGCTTCATCATTAAAAACATTTTTTTCTGCCCTCTCACCTGATTAATGAAGTTGAAGTGATAATTGTCCATTATCTTGTTTTTCACTATTGAAGTTTCCTTGAAGCGTAGAAATTTGCCTAATTTGGTGGTTTTTTTAGATGTTGCAAAAATGGAGATTTGTTATTATTGATCATGGTCTATCAAAAAAATTTTAACTTTTTACACACTGTAGCTTAGTGCCATATATTTTATAAAGCTTGTTTTTAGTAGTAGAACAATTAAATTGTGTCAGGTTATTAGTCATTTCTTAACAACTAAATATTCTTAAATGTAAGAAATTTAGTTGGAATTCAGGGAACTCATTTATATGTAGAGTGTAAAAGATGGGAAGTGGGATGGAAAAGATTTGTTATGGCTAAATCCAAACCTTAGCTTAAACAGAATTATTCAAAATGTGATACACAATGGATTTGTAAGCACGTTTACTCAGAATTTCAAGTAAAATGTTAGTAAAGTGCCTTTATGGTTTTATAAGCCAAAAAATACAACTAAGTTCAGCTGATGAAGAACGGGAAACAAATTGCTTAATTTTAAGAAATGGCAAATGTTTTCTGTTGAAATGTTTACTGAACAGTTCCTCCTCTCTACTTTCAGCCCCTTAATATTAGAGTGGGGTTAAAGTTAGGGCAGAAACATAGTCCTGGCTTTGTGTCCCTCCCACTCCCCTCATCTCATTACTCTTGTTGCCTCTGGCAGTTTAAAAGCTGTAGTTATAGATACGTCACTGTCGCTCCCTTCCCACCATTTTCTGTGGTGACACAGAGTAATTTATAGGTAGAGCTTAACCTCAATAAAAGCTGCAGTGAGCTAAATAATAAAAAATTTCAGGAAGCTTTTTCATCTCAAACATTTTTGAGTCCGAGGGATGGGAGACAACTTGGTCGTGAAATCAGAATGGCAATTGATATTTAGATAAAGAATCAGACATAAGGAAAAAGCTTTCAATATATTATTATCCACAGTAAAGCAAAATTGAAATTGCAGTGGGGATGGAGGTCTGTAAAGTTAAAAGTAAGGACTATGGGGTCTAAAATGGCTATTTTATAATATTGATTATACATAAATGTATAGGAATGCAAAATTTATTTTCATAAGCATAAATTAAAAGGACTTTCCTAAGGTGGTACTCTGACCATGTAATCACATTTTTGATCTTTCATCCCAAGGAAATAATCAGAATATTGTCAAAGATTCCTGATGTTTGTTTCAGTATCATTTTTTCCACCAGTCCATTGGAATCTGTATTGTTTTTAATATGAATTAGAAAAAACCCAGTCCTAACCTTTAGTTTCTTTAATAAAGAACACTTAAGCTTATTTTATACCACAATTAAACAAGAATAGCGAAAGAAAAGTTTATGCCACTCTTTATAAACATAGATGCAAAAGTCATAAATAAAATATCAGAAACTAGAATTCAGTGGTTTATTAAAAACAAAACCACAAAAACATAACTAGGCATGGTGGCTCACGCCTGTAATCCTAGCACTTTGGGAGGCCGAGGCAGGCAGATCACCTGAGGTCAGGAGTTTCAGACTAGCCTGGCCAACATAGTGAAACCCGGTCTCTACTGAAAATACAAAAACTAGCTGGGTGTGGTGGCATGTGCCTGTAATCCCAGCTACTCGGGAGGCTGAGGCAGGAGAATTGCTTGAACCCAGGAGGCACAGGTTGCGGTGAGCCCAGATTGAGCCACTGCACTGCAGCTTGGGCGATGAGCAAAATTCCGTCTCAAAAAAAAAAAAAAAAAAAATGTCTAGGTAATGTTTATTGTCATTCAAGGATGACTCAACTACAGGAAATCTATTAGTATAAGATACCACATAATCATATTTAAGAAGCACTTTATGATCATCATGGATCCAGAAAGGGCTTTCTATAAAATTTGCTATTCATATTAACAAATTAGAAATAAGAGTTTTCTTAGCTTGATAAAGCATACTTCTAAAAATGTTAACACTTAATTATGAACTTTTAGAGATTAATTGACCAAATTTTTAGTAATGAGTATGGGTGACCCAGAAAAGTCCTGTATTTTTTTTTCTAGTATTTATATATAAAAGTATATCACTTTTATAGTCAGCACAATTAAATGTTTAAATAGGACTTTTGGGCAATTTAATTCGTGTCTATTTATGACAAGACTATTCTTGTCTTTTTTCTTTGAAGTCAGTTTTTTCTGTTAAAAGGCAATTCTATTTTTTTTAGCATTCTGATATTTGTATGTTTATGACTGTTTTTGCCTTCAAAAAGTGTATTTCTAGCCAGACGTGGCAGCATTCACCTGTAGTCCCAGCTGCTTGGGAGGTTGAGGCAGGAGGGTCACTTGAGCCCAGAAATTCCAGGCTAGTGTGCAGTGATCACATCTGTGAACAGCCACTGCACTCCATACCGGGCAACATAGTGAGAGTCTGTCCCTTTAAAAAAAAAAAAAGTTACTTAAAAACATAAAGTAGCATGTACATAACTGAAAAATCAACCATGATTATACGGTGGAAAAATCAGTCTCCCTCCCACCCCTGTTTTTTCATCACCCAGTTTTCCTCTGTAGTGAACGTTGTATTACTAGTTCCTCATGTGTCCTTCCAGGATGTTTCTTTTTAATGCTGCCATTAACATTTGGATTTTGTTTTGCCTCTTAGAAACGAGACAGAGTTTTGCTCTTACTGCCCAGGCTGCGGTGCAGTGGCGGGATCTCGGCTCACTGCAACTTCCGCCTCCCAGGTTCAAGCGATTCACCTGCCTCAGCCTCCCAAGTAGCTGGGATTATAGGCATGCGCCACCATGCCTGTCTAATTTTGTATTTTTTAGTAGAGACAGGGTTTCTCCATGTTGGTCAGGCTGGTTTCGAACTCCTGACCTCAGGTGACCCGCCCGCCTCGGCCTCCCAAAGTGCTGGGATTACAGGCATGAGCCACCATGCCCGGCCACCTCTTACAGACTTTTAAACATCAGAGTAATTAGTAACTTTATGCAGACTGTCTTGGAATAGAGCAGTTGTCATTAAAAAAACTGTCATCTTTTATTTCTAACCTCATGTTCATACCCTTTTGCTTCTCTAGGTAACCAGGAATAGCTAAAGAGAAGTCTTTTTGAACCCAAACTGTAGTATTCTTCCATTCTTAAGCAACTGCTTTTTCATAATAGGATAATTCTTTCTTCTCATTCATACATAGGCATGTGCGTGTGTCTGTCTGTATCGTAATATGTATGAAACACTATGGTGGAGGGAACTCTGAATTTCAAGTTTGATAACCTGTTTTTGTGTCAGCTTCTTTAGTATTGATGAATGTAGATCCTAGGGAATATGACTGTACTTTTTTTACTGTTCACAGCTGTGAAAGGCAGTAGTGCTATCTGAGTACTTTCACAGTATGACTTTTGGGTCCATTGAAATAATGTAAATGAGCTTCATAAGCTATAAAACATTATAGCTAGGAATATGATTTATTGGAAATATTCAGATATTCTAGGTCTTCGTTCTCTATTTTTGTTTTTCAGGAGAACTCACATTAAATTGTAGACATTAAAATGTATTGTCTCTGCTTAGAAAAAGTTTTTGCCAGGCAACATTGCATGATGTATAATTTAGTTTATTAAATGTATAAAATTTGTTGATAAAGTCAGAGCAATAAAACTTTATAAATATGAATTAGAACTTTGAGGTTATGGGGAATAGGGACCTTTTATCAGCCTTATCATCCAGTTTGTCATATACAGTTTATAAATGTGAAAGCACTTGTGATGAGGTCAAGTATCACGTGAAACACACTTTGGAAGGCACTTTGCTAAGCCCTGGACCTTATCTGGTGCCTACATTTACAGTTAGGTATTTTGAGGGGGCTCCTGCTCCAGGACCTGGTATTCAAAGTCCCTTGTGTATATGGTATATTCTTGCATGGGGCATTTTTATCACTTACCTTATCAGGGAAAATACCTACCTGCCCTAGGACCTTTGTCCCTTTATAAAAATTACTGAAATTATACCTAAATTAATCAATTTCTGTAATTTTATCATGTAACACCTGATGCAATGAACAATATACCCTCTTTTCTTGTCCTGTTTAACATATTAGCTTCAGGAAAGAGTCAACCTAGCTAAAATAGGCATTTAAAAAATTACAGTAATCTTTTGTTTTCCCAACATCCTTGGTCTGTTTCCAGTCCTTTTTTTTTTTTTTGAGATGGAGTCTCGCTCTGTCACCCAGGCTGGAGTGCAGTGGCGTGATGTCGGCTCACTGCAAGCTCTGCCTCCCGGATTCACGCCATTCTCCTGCCTCAGCCTCCTGAGTAGCTGGGACTACAGGCGCCTGCCACCATGCCTGGCTAATTTTTTGTATTTTTAGTAGAGACGGAGTTTCACCGTGTTAGCCAGGATGGTCTCGATCTCCTGACCTCGTGATCCGCCCACCTCGGCCTCCCAAAGTGCTGGGATTACAGGTGTGAGCCACCGCGCCCGACTGTTTCCAGTCTTACCTGGAACCATTCTAGGCTACCCAGGCCTTTTTTTTTTTAAAGTATTTACCATCCAGCCCAAAATGTCATACCCAGGACATTCTTATGTGACTACATTCTGGGAAAAACCATACTGTTTACTCCTTCCCCTTCCTGTCTTGTAGTAGAGTCCTTCCAGGCCTGTGTGGTCCTCACTGGCAATATAAGTAAATGTATCACTATCCAAAGTGCCTGAGATAGACAATACCCACACATGGACTATGGAGAGAGGTGAGATAATAGTAAAACAGCAGTTTAGGATATCTTGCTTTAAATCTTCTGTTGTACTTGGGCTAAAATCAGAACGTCTCTTACAGTTCTGTTGTTTTCATTTCCTTTTTTTTCTTTTTCTCTTTTTCAATTTAGATATTTTCTGTTGATCTACTTTTGAGTTTACTGATCCTGTTTTTGTGCTGTATTCAGTCTGTTAAGCCTACGTAAGTTCTTAATTTCAAATATATCCTTCAGTTATAGTATGTTCCTTTGATATTATAGACCCCAAATCTGTTGAAATTCTCCATTTTGTCTATTTCCTTAATATATTTATAATAGTTACTTTAAAGTCTTCTGTGTGGCAGTTCTAATGTCTGGATCATCTGTTGGTCTGCTTCTGTTATTGTCCATTCTTTTCTTTCTCAAATTTTCCTGCATTTTCATGTCATACAGCTTTTATTGTATGCCATATGTTTTGTACATTATGTAAAATTCACTCATAAAGATCTTGCAAATAATGCTCTCCCCAGAGTATTTGACCTTTCCTACCTTTACCAGGTAGATAGAGAGAAGCTCCCCTTAATCTAATTAGCGATTGAGCTGGGTGGGGCTAGACTGCCATTTTAATTTGGTTTAGTCTGCCACTGGATTATACCTTTCCTGCAAACAGCGCTCCAGGGATTTTGATTGAAAGCTTGTTAGACTGTCACCTAACCCCTGAAACACTGGGAGATTCACTTCTACTTTTTCGAAGTATGAGGTGACTTTGAAAGTATGAGCTCTTTAGCCTCAGCTTTAAGATCTGATAAGCGTCTTGAGGGGGAATACTCATGTGACTGTCAAAAGTTCTACTGTTTTATTCCTCAGAGCTTCTTTTCTCAGACCAAGCCTTTAGCCTGCACCTAGAATCTACACGTGACTCCAGGGGAGGAAGTGATAGGCATTTGTCAGTTCACCTAGAAAGCTGCTTTGCTGCAGTTTTAGTTCATCTGGATCTCATTAGTTTGATAGCTCTCCATTGTCTTTTGAGCAAGTTTTTTTTTTTTCCCTTTTTTCCCCTCTAGTAAGAACATTGGACTGCTGTGACCTGCTTATATTTTACCTGGAGTTGGAACTATAGCAGAATGTTATAATAGGAAATGTTCTGGTATTTACCAA
Source organism: Homo sapiens (assembly GCF_000001405.40). Taxonomy (NCBI): domain Eukaryota; kingdom Metazoa; phylum Chordata; class Mammalia; order Primates; family Hominidae; genus Homo; species Homo sapiens. The sequence goes on along the minus strand of NC_000018.10, from coordinate 47,888,086 downwards.
ATCTGGTATTTACCCCAAATCTGAGAACAGTAGATTGCCAGTAACCTGCATTCAAAATTGAGGTGCTATAGTGTTCATGCAGAACATGCAGAAAAGACACCCTGAGTCAAGCATTGCTACAGTTAAAACCTGTTACTCACCTGTAGGCTGTATAAAGATCGTGAGTTCAAGAGAAGGACCCCATAGTGAAAAGATTTTTGGCGAGAGTAGTATATGTTAAGGTATTTCTCCCTTTTGTTAATCCAATTTGAAGGACTTGACGAGAACTTCTCAGTTTGACATGTGTCTGCTGAGGTTTGAGAGATAAATAGACTGGTACTTGACTTCTATCTGAAAAAGCCTAAAAAGTGAGATAAAGGCTGGAGCTGCCCCTGTATCGGTAGAATGAAGAAAGGGCACAATGGGAGTGGGCCAGCACTTTGTCAGAGTTTGATGGGTCAAAGGTGGAAGAATTACCCCCATGGACAAAGTAGACGTTAGTAAGACATAATAGTTGAAGTTGGCTTACCTTGAAAGGATCAAGAGGCCATACTTGGTTGAAGGGTCACAGTGATCCAAGCAGACAAGCCTGAGAAGTTCCTGCATCAGGAACTAACTATAGGTGAGAGTCTGCATTTGGACTTCCAACCTCCACAGGACTCCATCACACATTACTGTCACATCAGATTACAGTCCAGCCAGCCACTTAAGATCGTGCCCCTTTTCTCTCAGACTCCCTCTTCCTGCTATTTCAGAACCGGGAGGGGCCTTAAAAATAATAGCTGGAGAGTACTGGAAGAGGTAGCGTGAAAAGAATTAATGAGATAGTAAGATTTTGGCTTTGCTGTGGCTGGATTTTAATTTCTGAAGACATTTATTGTTAATACAAATATCTGGATATGACTAGGAAGTGTTGAAATCTTTTTGGGATTTTGTGCAGACAGGATAAAAGCAGCTTGGGAAGAGCTTGTTGGAGAGCAATGACTAGAGTGGTGGTGGAAGGGAGCTCACTAAGTCTAGTTTGTTTCATGAGCTGTCTGTATCCTCTTTTTGAAAATTGAGAATTCCAAATTTAGTGGTTGCTGGGGACAGGAAGAATATGTGGGGAGAAAAGAGGGATGTTACGTGTGTCTACGTGAAATACATGCCATTTTAACAAAAGCCTTTTCTTTTTTTTTTTTTTTGCATATAATCATGATACTGGTTAAATTAGCCAGTGATGCTTTATTTTCAAAGAAATGTTACAACTACAGTTTTCTTCTATTATCATCATCGTTTTCCTTGAAGCGGTAGGTTAGTCTTTACTCTCAAAATCCAACTTTTAACTCTGACTTTGGGTTATGATGGGAAGCGCTATGAAATGGTCTTGGTGCTCTTATGAAACTGTGATCACTAATAATACTTAAATTAGAACTGAAATATATAAGGAGACTTCTCACTAACTCCTTCACCCCAGCCTTTTGTCTTTTAGAACTTTGCTTATCTTTATGGTTAGATAGATAGATAGATAGATAGATAGATAGATAGATAGATAGATGGATAGATATAGATATAGTTTCTCTGAAATTTGCTAGGACAACGGGGTTTGGGGGCAATGAAAGAAGGTTTTATATTTATGTTTAGGATGATAGGGACATTGAGAGATACTGAACACAAATTTATAATGAAGTTAAGTAATTTAAAAGGGTTTTCCTGTAATTTTTATATGATGCCTTATATAATTTGCATCCACAGGTATAAAACATTAATCTATGTGCTTAAACATTTGCCTAAACATTTTAACATGTTATCTAAACATAACCTCTATGCATAAAAGCAGTTTATCACATTCAGAGTGCTATACAGATTTGAGTTGATTTTTATTTTGTGGGATGCTAATTGTCAAAAATTGTCAGATTATAAAAACTTTTACAATCAAAGTCAAGCATTATAAAACTGTATAACTTAAAAAGTTGAATTTCATGGAATCACATTCTGTATTGTAATCATTGTTTTATGGTTGATGTAAAGTCATCCCTTGGTATCCTTGGGATACCCCATATCTCCAAAATTTGGAGACGCTCAAGTCTCTTATATAAAATGGCATAGTATTCGCATATAACCTATGTACATCCCCCACCATATACTTTGTTTTGGAGGCAGTGGGGAGACAGCGTCTGGCTCTGTCGTCCAGGCTGGAGTGCAGTAGTGCAGTGTTGGCTTACTGCAACCTCTGCTTCCTGGGCTCCGGTGATCCTCCCACCTCAGCCTCTTGAATACCTGGGATTACAATTGTGTGCCACCATGCTAGGCTAATTTTTGTATTTTTGGTAGAGACAGGGTTTCATCATGTTGCCTAGTCTGATCTCGAACTCCTGGGCTCAAGCGATCTGCCTGCCTCAGCCTCCCAAAGTGCTGGGATTACAAGCGTGAGTCACCATGCCCAGCCTGTATTCTTCATTGTTGTATTGTTATTTTATCTAGTTTTTCCTCTAGTATTTTCTGTCCATGGATGTGGAGCCCACATATACAGAGACCAACCATGTATTCCAGATTTTATGCACTTATTTTAAGATTAGAATAACATGTACTTATATTTTATATTTATTTTGTCATTTATGTTACTATTTTTCTTTTTAATTGTTAAAAACAGTATATATTGGCCAGACACGGTGGCTCATGCCTTTAATCCCAGCACTTTGGGAGGCTGAGGCAGGTGGGTCACTTGAGGTCATGAGTTCGAGACCAGCCTGGCCAACATAGTGAAATCCTGTGTCTATTAAACATATAAAAATTAGCTGGGCCAAGTGTCATAATTCCAGCTATCTGAGAGGCTGAGGCATGAGAATTGCTTGAACCCAGGAGGCGGAGGTTGCAGTGAGCCAAGATTGTGCCACTGCACTCCAGCCTGGGTGACAGAGACTGTCTTGGGGGGGGAGGGTATATGTGTGTGTGTGTGTGTGTGTGTGTGTGTGTGTGTGTGTGTGTGTGTGTGTATATGACTAAATCTAGAAAATCGATAAGCTATGTTATTAAAGTAAATGTACCTGAACCCTTTCAGTGTTAGCTTTTGTTTTCTTTAAGTAAAAAGTTTGTATTTGGAAGGGCTTGAAATACTTCAACCATTTTTAGAATTGATATTTAAATCTTTTCAGTAGTAGAGACTATTTTGTGTGTGGGAGATACTTTGTTTTTTCAGGGGCAGCAGAAATATCAAACGGTATCTCAGAGTAGAGTTTTTAATAACAGCATTTGGAGGTGGAGGTGGAAAATATTGAGAAAGTTTTTTTCAATCATCACCTGGTCCTTCTTCTAAGAAAGGCTATACTATATCAAAGATGAGTAGAAGTGTCAATTTTATTCTTATAGGACTGTGTGACTTACAGGAGTGTGATTATGGAAGTTCTGTTGTCTCCGCCTATTTTTTATTTAGTTATTAATATTTGGAAACCTAAGCTGCTTATTTTAATTTGGAAGGGGCTTTCTCAATTTACTTGTCCAAAGAAATTTTCTTTCCTGAGAAAATGTCTCTTACAGTGAAATCTTCAGTTTTTATAATTAAACATGTTGTGTAAATGTTTTACATACCTGGGATATTATACCAGTTTTATTGTTTTAGCTTTGATTTGCTATGTTTATATTACTTGTTTCTTTTTAGTAACTATATATGGGGCGGAATAATGTTAATAATTAAAAATGTGGCCTCTGTCTCTTCCACTTGCTGGCTGTAGGACCTTAGACGTGTTACTTTGTGTTTCCATTACCTCATTTGTCAAATGGGGACAACAGTGCCTGATTCATGGCACTGTTGAAGGATTAAGCGGTTTAATATGTGTAAGAGCTTGGTACATAGTTGGTGCTTAATAAGTGTGAACTATATGTGGGATGGGATTTTATATATAAAATTTGATTTTGAAGTGAAACTGATGATGTCACCTATATTACATGCACCAAGAGGGCATGAAAAGGTTTATTACTCACATAATGATGCTGTCTGAGTAGAGCATGGCAGGCTTCCAAGTTGGTCCAAAAATGACTTGAGAGAGCAGTGATAGGAGACTGGCTTGGGGTTTTATGGTGATTAGGGAATGGGGCTGTGGGCTGGTTTTTACACTGTACATATGCTGAGACTTGCCTGGTTTGAAATTTCTCTAATATCAACAGGTGGAGCACCTGGGCTTTCTTACCAGCTTGCCCAGATTCGAGGCAGAAGGGGAAGAGGAAATGGTGGGGCTTGAAACCTATCAGCAGTCAAGTATCAGAAATGGAGTTGGATTTCTTATTCAACACAAACAGGATAAATAAAAAGAAAACCACACTTAGATATATCATGGTCAAACTCATGAAAGAGGGAATCTTAAAGCAGCTGGTGAAAAATGGCACGCAGCATACAAATGACAGGTGATCAGCAACAGAGAAGATTGTAAAGTGATATATCTAAATCACCAACATCAGGGAGTCATAACAATAAATTGTATCTGCTTAATAAAGGAACTTAAAAATACATGCAGCAAAACTGGGTAGAATTAATGGGACAGAATCACAAATCCACAATTGGAGAGTTCAATTAGAACAAAAAAATCAGTAAAGACATAGAAGTTTTAAGTTACATTATTAAGTTACATTATTAACTACCTACGTGATATTTATAGAATACTAAACCCAACATGAGTAGAAATACAAGCGTTTCAAGTGTTCATGGTAACTTCACCAGGAAAGACTGTTTACAGGGCACAAGTCTCAATCAATTTTAAAAGATTGAAATCCAAAGTATGTTCTCTGCCACCAATAGAATAAGAAATTAATACCAATAAGACATCTGTTAAGAATTGGAAATTAAACCTTAAAATTCTGACTTATGGGTTATTCAGGGGAAAAATGAGGTAAAATATATTTCAAACCAAATTATAATGAAAATACAGCATATCACATATGTGGGATGTAGCTGAAAGAGTGCCTAATGGAAAATTTTATAGTTTTAAATAATCTGCTAGGAAAGAAAGTTACCTAAAAAGATAAAATAGAAAGTAAGTAGAAAGAAGAAATAATAAAATTAAGAGTAGAAATCAGAAAGCCAAAAGCGAGTTCTTTGGAGAGATAAACGCTTGTTAGACTGATCAAGAAAAAGACAGAGAGCCCACAATCACAAATGACCTATATTGGTACTGAAAGAGGGATTGTCATGGTAGGTCCTACAGACAGTAAAAAGATTATAAGCAAATATTATAAACAATTTTATGCCATTAAATTTGATGACTAACTGTAATGATGAAATTTAGGTTACCCCCAGCTGATGCATGAAGAAATACAAGATCTGGGTAGCCCTATAACAATGAAAGAATTTGACTTCATAATCAAAAGCTTTCCTGCAAAGGAAACTTCAGGCCCACATGGTTTTACTGGTAAATTTAAGCATTTGTGCAACAAATATCACCAATCTTATAGACAATAAACTCAGAAAAATGTTGTTTTATGAGGCTCACATAACCCTGAAACCAAAACCTGACAAAGATGCAACTAAAAGAAAAGTTAAAGATTAATATATCACTAACATACATGAGAAAAGAATACATCATAATTGAGTTCTATTCCAACAAGGTTAGTTTATAACTTTCAAAAAGTAATCAGTGTAAGCCAGCCGCAGCGGCTCATACCTGTAATCCCAGCACTTTGGGAGGCCAAGGCAGGAGGATTGCTTAAGCCTAGGAGTTCAAGACCAGCCTGGTCAACAAAGCAAGACCCCATTTCTATAGACAGATAAAATTACCCACCCAGGCATGGTGGCATGCCCCTGTGGTTTCAGCTACTCAGAGGCTGAGGCAGGAGGATCACTCGAGCCCAGGGGTTCAAGGCTGAAGTGAGCTATGATTGCACCAGTGCACTCCAGCCTGCATGAGACATTGGGACCTTGTCCCCCACCCCCGAAAAAAGAAAAATTAATCAGGTCAGATGCGATGGCTTATGCCTCTAATCCCAGCACTTTGGGAGGCCAACGCAGTAGGATTGCTTGAGAGTTAAGGAGTTTGAAACCAGCCTAGGCAACATAAGACTCTGTCTCCACAAAAAAAAAAAAAAAAAAAAAAAAAAGCCAAGCGTGGTAGTACATTCCTGTGGTTTCAGTTATTTGGAAGGCTGAGGTGGGAGGGTTACTTGGACCCAGGAAGTTGAACCTGCAGTGAGCAGTGATCACGCCACCACACTCCAGTTTGGGTGACAGAGCAAGACCCTGTCGGGCAAAACAAACAAACAAACAAAAAAACTATGTAATTTACTGCATTAACCAAGGAGGGAAACTATAAGATCACCTCACTTGGTCAAAAGCATTTGACAAAATTCATCATCCATTCATGATAAGCATTCCCAGCAAATGAGAAACAAAGAGACTTTCTCAGTCTGATAAAAGGTATTTAAGAAACACTAACAGCTAAGGATTTACTTAATCATGAAATACTGTGTTTTCCCTCAAGAACAAGACAGGGATGTCTACTCTTGTGTCCTTATTATTTTAATAGAAGACCTAGCAAGCGCAATGAGTCAGGAAAACAAAATATAAAAGGTTTAAAGATCTGAAGGAATGTTTCAAAATTCTGTTTGTAGATGACATGCTTATTTATGTAGGAAATCCTAAAGAATCTATAAATATAGCCACTAAAACAAATGAGTAAATTTAGCAAGGCTGCACTTTATAGATTCAGTGTCTAAAAATCAATTGTATTTTTGTAAATACTAGCAGCAGACAAATAGGGGTGTTAAGAAAATTCATGAATAGTAGCATCAGTACTAAATACTTAGGAATACATTAAACACACACACACAATGACCTCTGCTTAAAATGCTGAAACCTTGCTGAGAGAAGTTAAACAAATGAAGAGGGAGTTGTGATTCTCATATGGCCAGGTATGCTCTTACCAGACTGACACTCCCTCAATAACAAACTGCACAAAATTCTAAAAATAACATGAAGTACTGGAGAATAAACAAAAATAGGCATGTTTTAGAGGGGATTGACACTCGGAAGAAGGAAATGGCGTAGGCGAATTTTCTGTTTTACAGCTTTTGTCCATGCAAAGTGTGCAGGGTAGGTAAAATTCCAACACAAAACCAAGTCTTTCTGGCCTTGAAGCACCATAGGTAAGACTTGGGAGAATCACAACTATTGGAGAGTGAGGAGTGAATATCAGCAAGGAGAGTTTCAGAAAGAGAGCCCTGGATTCTGCCTACAAACTTTGCCAAAATCACCTGCTGATCCCACATGTGTACGGTAGACAGTACAGCCAGATAATCAGCCTGATTTGAATTGCTCCAGGACAGAGTTTGTGGTTTGAATGCAACCAGGTTAGTTGTCTGGTGAAACAAAAATGAAGACTTTTGGAAGATTGTAACAGAACCTCTAACTACCATCAGATAAAATTCACAATGTCTAGCATACAATCCTAAATTACCTAACATACAAAGAACAAAGAAAATGTGACCCTTTATAATGAGGAGACCAACCCTAGAAGACCTACATGTTGGAATTACCATGCAGTAAACTGATGGATACACTTGTGAATTGGAAAACTCAGTAATAAGTTAGAGTACTTAAATTACCCTGACTTCAAGACTCACCTTGAAGCCATAGTAATCTGTATAGTGTGATACTGACATAAAAACAGATAAGATAGCCCCACATAGATAAACACTGTGTGCCTATATGATTTTCAACAAAGTTGCCAAAGCAACCCAGTAGGGAAAGGAAAGTCTTTCAACAAATGGTGCTGGAACAGCTGAATATCCATGTGGAAGAATGAACATGACTCCACCTTACACCAGTGAAAACAAAATATTTCTGGATAAATTGTAGTCTAATTAAAGCTAAAACTATAAAGCTTTTATAAGAAAATATAGGAGAATATTTATGACTTGGGGGTAAACAGAGAATTGTTCAAAGTATATAGAAAGCAGTGACCATGAAAGCTGCTAAGTTAGACTCCATTGGTATACAAAACATATTATTAAAATACATTGTTAAAAAATAAGTCAGAGTGGGAGAAAATATTTGCAAAACATTTCTGAAAGGATTGAATCTAGAATTTATAAAGATTTCTATAACTCAGTAATGTAAAGATAGCCTAATTTTAAAATGGACAGTAGTTGGCTACTTCACTGAAGATAAAGGTCCAGTAAAGAAATGGAAAAATGTGTAATATCGGTAGGCTTCAGGAAAATGACAATTGAAACCACAATGAAATACCACTGCACAATCATCAGACTACCTATAATTTAAAGACTGACCACACCAAATGTTGATGAGGCTTTGGAATAACCAGGAGCTCTCTCTCATACATTGAAAGAGGGAGGACTGTAAAATCGTACTCTGGAAAATGATCTGGCAATTTATTGAAAAGCTAAACATGCATCTATCCACTGACTCAAGATTTTCACTTCTAGGTGTTTACCCGAGAAAAAAAGAAATCATATTTCTATATAATGATATGTACTTTCTTGAATGTTCATGACAACTTTATTCACAATAATTAAAACCTGGCAACAGGTCAGGTGTCTATCAGTATAAGAATGACTAAATAAATCATGCTTGTTCAAGTAATGGAAAACGACTCCACACACACACACACACACACACACACACACACGTCATATACATTAACATGGATGAATCTCAAAATCATGCTGAGTCAAAAAAGACCCAAAAGAATATGTACCATATTCCATTCATACATAGACTTTCCAGAAGACACGACACCTATGGTGAAAAGATCAGATTAGTGGTTGCCTCTGGGGATGAGCGCATGGATGCCAGACATTGAGAAATGGACATGGGTGATGATCTTGACAGGGTTGAGAAGTGTACAATGTATGCATCTGAGAAAACTCAAATGGTACCATTAAGATGTGTGTTTCATGCTGTGTAAATTTAACCTAAAGAAAAAAAGAACAGCGAACTCTAGTTATGTGCATTCTTAAGTGTCTAGATTTGTGTTATCTGCAGCTTTTATTTTTCTCTCTGAGACAGGGTCTAGCTCTGTCATTCAAGATGGAGTGAGTGCAGTGGTGCAGTCTCACTGCAGCCTCCACCTACTGGGCTCAAGTCTCGGCCTCCTGAATACTAGGAGCATAGGTGTGCACCAGCACACCCAGCTAATATTTTGTATTTTTGATAGAGACGGGGTTTCACCATGTTGCCCAGGCTGCCCACATACACCCTTATTTTTAATGTTCCAAAAAGTAAGGGATGGATAGAGAGGTTAAGTAGATACATGAGAGAGCAAAAGAAAACAAATCCAAATTACAGAATTTAGCTGATCAATGTGTAGGGTGCTTACTCGTAACTTTAATGGATGTTTGAAATTTTTTATCATACAGAACTCAGGAGAAGATGGAAAGCTTGTTCATGGAAGTATCTGAGAAGTTGGAATAAATACTTAGAAACTGTTGAGTTTTTCTTTTCTGAGATATTCCTCTCCAAAAGTTTGCTTGATTCTTTCGTTTTGTTTTGTTTTTTAAGATGGGATCTCACGGTTACCCAGGCTGGAGTGCAGTAGTGCGTCATAGCTCACTGTGGCCTGAAACTCCTGAACTCAAACTATCCTCCTGCCTCAGCCTCCCAAATAGCTGGGACTGCAGGCACATGCCACCATGCCTGGCTAATTTTTTAATTATTTTGTAGAGATGGGGTCTCACTTTGTTGCACAGGCTGTTTGCTTGATTCTTAAGAACGTATAGGGATCCAGCTGTACAGAGCTTTCTGCAGTCTTTTGTAATAGAATTAGTTGTTAAAATTGTACTTATTACATGAGCATCAAAGACCTTGGAATAAAGCTATTCCTCACATATCTGGACATTATTTGGACTTACTATGTTACCGATTAGGAAGACTTGGTATTAGTTTATTTTTTAAAATTCTGTTTCATGTGTGTTCTTATAAAATTATACAAATAACAGTACCACACCATTGTGTGGTGAGCTCTACTTAGAGCTCTGTACAGCTTGGGTATCTGGAATGTAGACATGCTCTGTTCTGATTTGAAACTTAGAATGAAACCCTGACATACCGGAATGCACATTTGGTGACTGTTTGTTTTTGAATGGTTACTATTTCATTGCTACAAGATAAAATCGAAAAACATTTTCTACACAGAGTGAAGGTTTAAGCCAGTTAAGGACCCTGTTAAACTGTCTCCAGATTTAATTACTGCCCAATTATGCCTTAATTATGAAGGAATGTGAGCACTTATTAGCTATTGTTGATGATTCAACCTTTTTGAAATAAATTTCTTAATATATTTCTTTTATATTTTCAATTTTTATTCAGGAATATCTCAAATTTTCAAGAGATACAGTTTTTTGCATCTGTAATGCAGCAACTTAAAAAATCATTTGCACCTACTTATTTCTCAATCAGGATTGTCTACATTTTGCAAATAAAATATGGGGAAGAGACTGGATTCTGAGGCAAATAAAAGGCTATCATTCTTAATCATTGATTAAAAATTTAAGTTTAATCAAAGTAGTCACATTGTTTTCAGTGATGTGATAAATGACATTTAAACATTTGTAATTGAATACTACAATCTATTTTGTGTCTTTCAATTATATTTGTAGTCAAGATAAAATATACAGCCACACATAGTACTTGTAATTATGGAGACTTAAAAAAATTATTACAGTGATTAACTCTTCATTCCTGAGCTGTTTAAATCTAAACTTTTAGTCTTAAGTCACATATAAAAATGAAAGGATTATTTTAAGTAGAAATAATTATGGATGCATAGTTACAGATTACTCCCCTAGAAGTCTGTATTAAATGAGTAGATCAGTAATCAAGAGCTGGAGCCTTAGGAAAGTTCCTTTTGTTGATAATATTCTGCTAATTGACTAATTTTACTGAGTGTTCAGCATGCTTTTAATCTTACCAAGGTGGCAACTTAGGTTGTTATCCCTTTTGATTTGTTAAAAAAAAAAAAAAATACACTGTTTAGGCAAGAAGATCATGAAAAATAATAAATTAGTAAAACAATGGGGTTTATTACTTTTGTTATTGGTTGTCTAACTGCAGCAGTAAATCTTGCAGATATGGTAGGAACAGTAAAACTGGTTTAAAGGGTTACCAGATTCTGTGATGCGAGCCACCTTTTGCCCAAAGTTGGTAGTGTTTTCTTCAACTTAATTTTCACTGCTTCTCTTTTCTTTCTCCATAACAAAGATGTGAATAAATATCTATATCCTTAACGCAAAAAAAGTAGTAAATTGACCAAACATAATATCTGGATAATTGGAACAAAGTGCAAAATGTTAATTTAGATGTGTATATATGTAGGCGAGTGTATACTTTGTAAATTGTACACTAGATATTAAATTTTAATTTCAGTTTTCAAAAGTCAGCTTATTCTTAGATGAAGAAAATCTTTGATGTGTTTTACTGAAATACTTATTGTAAAAGTTATTACTAGGGAAATTTGATAAGGATTTCTATTAGGTTTATTACCAAGTCATCCTGTTAGTTTAGTGATTAATATACTGTATGCCAACAAAGGTAGTTGCTATATTAGTATGTTTATGACTTTAATAGCTGTTTTGCCTCTCCTCCCCACCTCTTTTTAATTTAAGCTAGATATATAAGCAAGAACATTACACAGTTGATGGGGGATAATCTGTCTTTAAGAAACTGTTCCATGCAAAGAACTTTGGGACTTTGCGTGAGATAACATACGTATGCTTGTTCATCTGTATATTGATGCAGGGACATCATTGTAGTTAGTTAATGGTCTGCTACATCTTATTTCAACATATTGTAATATTTCACATTAATTTGTTAGTAAACAGTATCAAATTTGTTCAGGCAGAATTTATGAGACCAATTTTTGCTGATATTTTTCAATACATGAGAGTTTTAAGAATATCCTGAAGTTAGATGGTCAAATAAATTTAGGAAATGTTGAGCCAATGTGTTTGGGATATTGCTATCATTGTTATAATAACTTAATAATCTCTTTAGGATATGTTGATTTTACATAGCAAGTAGTCTTAGTTTAACATTTTCAGACCTATTTTCTATCCTTAGTACTTTGTAAACAGCTTGATGTTGTACAGGTTTCTGTTTTTCACATTTGAGTAATGTACAGACATTTCTTGTGGACTTCCTTTAATATTATTTAAATGTATAGAAACATACTTAAGTGCAAACTTAACGCTAACCAAAAGACAAATTTATACTCAGTTATATAACCCACAAAATTCCAATTAACATCAATTTAATAGGTGATGGATACTATTTTTACATAACTTGCAGGTTACTTTGAGGTCCCTAATCCATTTAGTCTTACACAGTGCTTGATATAAAGTAGCTAGCTTATGAAGACAATTGTCATTAAATATTTGTTTGTAAGATGCACATTTTTTTCACTTTGAGATGCCCCTTATAAATAAAATTGAAAGAGGATTTTCAAGTGTTACACAAATAATGTTGCATTTTAAAGTAGATAATCTTAGATTAGTGAAATTTATTGAATGTGTAAAAAGCTTTTTATATAGTTGTTATAATCAGTGCTACTTCTCTAAAATTTTTCCTGCATTTGTTTCTTTTAATATTTTTTAGAAACTGGCCATACCTAGAAGTTATAACTTACACTTTTTATTAACAAAATGAAAACCTGGGAGATACAGTTTTTCCCCAGTGTTATTTAGGATGTTATGATTTAATGTGATAAGGAATATTATAATCCACTTTTGTACTATGAAAATACCAGTTGGGTCACCAAATATGTTGTTTGCTGGGTGGTACACAAAGGGCTTTGGGAGCTCAGGGTGTTGTTGGGAAATACATTGTGGTTAGACAGAATCTTTAAGGAAGAGTGGGTGATTAAAACTGCCTCATTAAAACCTACCAAAGGCATCTTAAAAATTGACCTCGTTTGTTAGACTTATTAAAGAATTAGTAGTAAAGTTAAAAGGTGGCTAGGAAGGGGCAGTTAACATAAATTGCACATGGAAGAAAATTGGTACCAAAGGTTCATGTGAGACAGAAAGGACATTGTGTGAGAAAAGAATGATCAGGGCTCAGGCTGGCATGTTATTATTTGTCTCTTATAGTAATGCCCAAACTGCGCTTTAAATGATGCAGTATAGGAAGTAATGTGCCTCTAATGTTTTAGAACCATATCTTTTTATAGAAGTGTCAAGATGACATTGACTTGCATTTTATTCTCTGGCAATATTTTCTTCTGTTTTATTTTTACAATTTTGGTGAAAGGCAATATACATTCACATGGCTCAAAAATACGTATGTTTATGTATGTATACACATACAAGCATGCATATACACATACATTGGAACCTCTCCCTTCCCACTCTGCACCTCAAGTAACTACTGTCCATGATGTATGTGTGTCTTTATGCATATATTAGTGAGTAATTACAGATCTTTTTACCTGTCCTTTTTTAATACAGGGAGTAGCATATTTTAGACCTTTCCATATCAGTTCATAGGGTGCCTTCATCATATGCTAAATTGTTCTATGAATTTTTTGTTGGGACTTTTTCTGTTTTGGTTTTTACTTTTCTTTGCATTCTTTTGTGTTTTTCCTTTTTTCAGGTAAATTTTTTATAGGTGAAGTGCACAAATCATATATTCAGTTTAGTTAGATTCAACAAATGCATATACCAGTGTTTTAAGATAAAGAAATTTCAATCATCCAGAAAGTTCTTTCATACTCTTTCCTAGCGGTTCTTCTGGAAACAATTACTGTTGTTTTTCACTTTGAATTTGTTCTGCCACTTCTAGAGCTTCGTATAAGTGGAGTCATTCAGTGTAGATACTTTAGTGTTCAGCTTCTCTTGATCAGAATATTCCCAAGATTCATCCATGGGTCAGTAATTCTTTTTCAAGATTGTTTTGCTATTCAAGATCCTTAGTATTTCCATATACATTTTATATCAGCTTGTCAGTTGCTACAAAAATATTTTTGCTGAAATGGTCACTGTAATAGATATAAAACAAATAGGCAACAATCATTAGGGAATTAGGTCAGATGGACATCTTAATATTGACTCATCTGTGAATATGCTGTATCTCTATATACTTAGCTTTTAAAAAATATCTTTGAGCAAAGTTGAGTTTGGGCAGAGTTCACAGTCACATTGTTGATGTTTTTCCCTTGTGCCTCTTTCTTTACAGGGTATCTTCCTTCTTTTTTCAAACTCTCTGGCAGCCCCAAATGTGTCCTCTGATTCTAGGTCAGTAAAACTGCAGTTTTCTAAAAACAACCCCCCTGCAGTGTTCTGTTTGAATTCTAGTTGCCCTGCCTAGCTGTGGCTGGGGAGTGCCCTTGGGTACACAGCCACAGAAATGCAGCTCTCATCCAGTACAGTTTGCAGCTTTGACAGTTGGACCTCCCTTCAGCTTTTGTCTGTTTTTGATCTGTGTCTGCTATTTTCAAATAGTTGATTATTTTGTTCAGAGTTTATCATTGTTATATGAAGGAAAGTTAGCCTAATTGAGGCTGCTCTGCCATTACTGGAATTAGAACCTCCATTCTGTTTTGTGTATTCTTTTACTAATTGCATACTGTTTTAATTATTGAGAATTTATTATGTGCTTCAGAATCTGGTAGGACAGGTCTTTACTATTTGTTAGAATTTTCTGGTCATACTTATTTGTTTTGGCTTATTACAGTATTTGGACTAATACCTGGATTTTTAAAACATTTATTTTTATTGAGATTGCATCAAATATATAAATTTGGTAGAGTTAATACCTCTATGATGGTATCTTCCTGTGTAGGGACGTATGTTTTTCTTTTTTGCTCAGTGCACTTTTGTGTTCTTTAGTTATGTTTAAAATGTTTCTTTGTATAGTTTGACACAGTTTTAATTACATTTATCTAGATGCTGCTTATACAACTCTCACTATCTAAGGGGGATTGGTTCTAGGATTTCCCACTCATACCAGAATTAGTGGATGCTCAAGTTCTGATAAAAAATGGCATTGTAAGCCTGGGCACGTTGACTTACTTCTGTAATCCCAGCATTTTGGGAGGCTGAGGTGAGAGGATCACTTGAGTCCAGGACTCAAGAGACTTTGTCTCTACAAAAAGTGTTAAAATTAGCCAATCGTGGTGACACACGCCTATAGTCCCAGCTACTCAGGAGGCTGAGGCTGGAGAACTACTTGAGGCTGGGAGGTCAAGGCCGCAGTAAGCCTTATTTTAAAAATAAAATGGCATTGTATTTGCATATAACCTATGCACATTTTCTCATACTTTAAATCGGCTGTTCCCAACCGTTTTGGCACCAGGAGACAGAGTCATGAAAGGCAAGTTTTCCACTGACCGTGGTGGTGCGGCAATGGTTTTGGGATAAAGACGTTCCACCTCAGTCATCAGGCATTAGTTAGATTCTCTTAAGGAGTGCCCAGCCTAAAGCCCTCGCATGTGCAGTTCACAATAGGGTTCTTGCTCCTATGAGAATCTAATGCCACTGCTGATCTTCCAGGAGGCAGAGCTCAGGTGGTAATGGTCTCTCCCCTGCTGCTCACCTTCTGCTGTGTGTCCTGGTTCCTAACAGGCCGTGGACCGGTATCAGTCTGTGGCCTCTGAGACTCCTGCTTTAAGTCATCTCTATATTATGCATAATATGTAATACATTGTAAATGCTGTGTAAATAGTTGTTATACCATATTGTTTTTAAATTTTGTATTTTTCAATTGTTGTATTTTTTAGTTTTAAAAATTTACTTATTTTTTCTACTTTTTGATCCACGGTTGGTTGAATCCAAGGATGTGGAACCCTTGGATACAGAGGGCTCTATGTTTTATTATAAATTGGCTTATTTTAAAAAATATTTTTTATTATGTAAACAGGCAATGATTTTACTAGCTAGAAGCAAATTTAATGTTTTAAAATAAACCTTCCAATTTTGTTAGGCATGATAATGATGGAACTGAGGCTTAAATATACCCTATGGCAGCAGTTGGAAAGTGGCCGAATTAGGGTTGGGGTCTAGATCTGTCTGCCTCTAGATTGATTGCAAGTTCTTAACAATTACTGTTTATTCTTCTCTGATTCCTTTCAAGGATTAAATAAAGTACAATGTAAACTTCATGCTCTATTTTAGATTCTGGTTCTCATGTGAGTCCCAGAATAACTTGAGTGAAATGTTCTGATACAGAGCAGAATAGCCTCTTGTGCTACACTTTTGTTAATTATTTTCAAAGAATAGTCTCCTGTATACCATTTCTTTAATAGACTCAGAAGTCTGTAGAATTGAGGTGATTCTGTTGTGATTTAAACTACATCATGCTATATGTTTCCAATAGATATTTGAAAATATCTTTTAAATAAACCATTAATGTCATGGTTTTTAAATCAGTATATCTTTGGAAAAAAGGGAAAGGTCTAAGCCTTAATTTACCTGGCTTTTTCTGGCTTTTATAGTCTGGTAAATTTTGCAGCCTGAAAAAGCAAGAGAATCTATAAAATACTTGAATGAGATGCTGGAAAATTTCAGAACAGGTTTTGTTTTGAACTGTCGGGTCACTGTAGCCCCCAAAGCAGGGCATGATGTGTTCCTGCAGCCTGATAGCTATGTGACAGCACCTGTAGTACTAAAGCCAAGGATGCCAGGTGGTTCTGTTGCCTGGCCACAGGAAGCCAGCGCTTCTCACCATTGCCCTTTGAACTGTTGATCCAGTTAAGCTCACTAACAATGTGTAAATATGAAATTTAATCAATTGCTTGATTCATTTTCAAAAGATGTTTTGAAATACTCCTTTATCCGCATTGAAGTTTTGATGATTTTGTAATATGTAAGAAATGGACTTTTCAGAAAAGTACAACTTAGTACTTGAGACATTGGCTGTCAAAGTTCCATTCCAAAACTTCCTTTTAAGCTCTCTTTCCCTTCTCTCACTGACCAGAAGTTACTATGAAATGAAATAAAGGTAGGGAAAAAGGGAGAATTATCTCTGAGCTGCCCATATTCTGGAGAGAAATGTGGGAGAAAATTTTTAAGGTGGTATACTAAATTAGAATGACTTCAAAGTCTATTTCTTTATTTATTCTAGAGATGAGAACAAAATAATTTTCAGTAAAACTTAAAAATATCATGACCAGATAACCTGAAAATCTTAACTGTGGATGCATGTCTATTTTTATTGGGATTTTTTTCTATATTAAAAATCAGTTGACATCTGTTTTTAGATAATTTTTTAAAAAACTGGATTATAAAATGAAGCACTTAGTAAAGCTGATGGCAGAGGTTTTAGATCTTTTGAATACAGGAAAGTGGTAAGGGCATTATAGGTATGATTCATTGAGCTAGAGGGCGTTGGTGTTCACATTTTAAAAACATAATCATGACTTATCTGGAGTCACATGTTCCATTTTATTGGCTTCCTTCATATAGAAAATATAGTAACCAGCACTACATGCCTGTGAAAAAGTGAAGCAATTGTATATTTTCTGGGTGAAGGAAGTATTCTGTACATTCTCCATGTTTTACATCATGGTATTTTGAATAACCATGCTTCCATGTTCACATCAATTTTTTGTTTTTCAATTTATGCACAGCACTTGCTCTGAAATTTGGGGACTGAGTACACCAAATACGATAGATCAGTGGGATACAACAGGCCTTTACAGCTTCTCTGAACAAACCAGGTGAATATTCTGCCCTCTGTCGAATCTTAGAGATCTTGTGGGAGGGGGGTATATTTTGAAAGACCTATATGGGGTTGCTTAGTATAATTTTGCCTAGGATGTTTCCTTAATGTAAAATAAGGCATAGCATTTAAAATATCTGCTTGCCAGTATAAAAAATATATTAAATGTTTCAGCTGATGTTTTAATCAATGCAATTCTAGTTTGAATCTTCTTTAAATTACTGTATCCCCTAAAGAATAATAATTTTGATAACTATATATTTATTTTAGCTTGAGATCAGATTATAATCTGTTGTTGGCCTAATTTTTAAGTAGATACATGATGAGTTTTGCTAAATTTCTTGTTATCAGAATCTCATCTTTATACTAATAAATACATACTTAATGAACCCCTTATATCACAATTAACAGTAGGTTAACTCATTTTTATGTTACTTTTTTTAATCACTTCATTTTCTTTTTTGCGTATATGGTATTTGTTCATTTCATCTCATCATATTCATCACCATCCACATTTATTTGTGAACTACATAAATATACCTCAGTTCTCAAAACAGTCACAACTGGGTAAAGAGTTGCAGTAGTCTGAGGAAGTTACTATCACATCATTGTTGGTATTTATCATTCTTCACACTAGTTCCTTTTCTGACTCTTCAGTCACCTCCAGAATTAATATCCTTAGAAGCATCTCTAAAATGAGTTTGATTTACTAAACATAGAAGTTGACAAAGTTTTTCAAGTATAACTGCATAAACTCTCTTTTTTAAAAAATCAGTTTTTCCCAAGTTGTTAGCCTTTCATTGGCATTTGAGTCATTTATGTGACATATTTATAAGAAACATCTGCTAGTGCTGCTGCATACTTTTATCAGATCCATTAAATAGTACATTTTTGTTCTTGATTCTCACTAAAACTAACTAAATGGCTGTCATTCTTTTCTTTATGCTTTTATTGTACTAATTTAGCCCATTTGACTGCACTTTTTTTTTTTTTTTTTTAAAGTTCCCTCCTTTCTTTTCCCCTTGCTTCCCAACAGGTCTCTTGATGGTCGTCTCCAGGTATCCCATCGAAAAGGATTGCCACATGTTATATATTGCCGATTATGGCGCTGGCCTGATCTTCACAGTCATCATGAACTCAAGGCAATTGAAAACTGCGAATATGCTTTTAATCTTAAAAAGGATGAAGTATGTGTAAACCCTTACCACTATCAGAGAGTTGAGACACCAGGTAGGAATATTGCAAGTTTTTTTCTTGGTTTTGAATTAAATGCCTGAACTTCAGTATATTTAAGTACTCTTGTGACCCAGGAAAATTTTAGTGTAAATTCTAATAAATTACCTTAAATTGTGCATATTATTTGGTGGTAATTAAAATTTTTTTATTTTTAAAAATTTTTAATGAGAAAACATATCTGTTTCTTGGAATAGCATATGATTTGGCATGAAAGTGCATATCCAGGAAATCCTGTAGATTGGCAGTCTGCTCAGCGCTATGCTGATGTGCTTCTACATGTCCCTGCTGCAGTAACATTTTCAAGCATTTTGCACTTGGAGTGCTTTTAGAAGTACTTTAATGACATCATTTGTATGTACACCGTTTAGTAAAGCTTGTAACAAGACTTTTCATTTAGTTAGCTGTCTACCTGAAACTATTAAAAAATATAGCAGTAGCTGCGTTTTTGGAAAATTTCCTATATCTGATTTTACAGATAAAGACAATGTTAAGTTTTCCAATGGGGATTTATGAACTTTTATGGTAATATAATATTACCAGGATCACATTGTTCCCAAAAGTTTGAGATAAATTAGAACTTGGAAATTTGGATAATAGACTACCTAAGTTAGAGCCATAATCAGATTTGTCATTTTCTCAGTAACTAGTATATATCGAGTAGGTGGACCCTAGCTTTAAAAATTAAGCTACAACTTCTCTTCTTGTTGAAAACTTTAAAAAAGGTTCCCCCACTCCCCTTTGCTCTTTGCCATTAACTTGGATTTCTTGAACTTTTTCAGTTTTGCCTCCAGTATTAGTGCCCCGACACACCGAGATCCTAACAGAACTTCCGCCTCTGGATGACTATACTCACTCCATTCCAGAAAACACTAACTTCCCAGCAGGAATTGAGCCACAGAGTAATTATATTCCAGGTATTTTTGCCTTCTGAATCTCCTAAAACTTGGATAGATACAAATTTTGTTCATAAGCATTCAAGTTTTAGTAAATTGTGGTTTCACTTTTTTAAAAATGCTTTTGAGTTTTTAATAGAAAAATTGGATTCGTTGGGTGATTATTTTGTGAAATGTATAAGCCTAGTACATTAAACAGTTTTGTTTGGAGAAGAGTTTTACTTTATATTTCATTTTCTTTTGCAGTGACTTTAATCAAAGTACTGTGAGAAGCAGAAAAGAAAAGATCTTAGTAAGTTTGTCTTAGTTGTTGAAGCTAAGCGAGATGCAGAATGTAAGCAAAACAAATGGTGTAGGAGAAAAGTACCCCCCAAACACATGTAACTGAATATCCACCCAATGATCACTTTTTCTTAGATAACTTGGTAATATTTAACAGAAATATAACATTTCTATAAGAAATATAATACTTAGTTCTATAGACATAGCAACACTTACATATTATAACACGAACGTCAGAAAACCTCCTTTAATTATGTTTCGTCTGCATCTCAGTAATTTCTGATGAAAATTGAATTCAGCTACATGGTTCTCAAATTTTGTTCTGATGTATTATGTGATCCAGTAATACTCCACGATATGATATCTGGCCTTTTCGTTTTTTATGGTTTCTTTTTTTTTTTTTTGGAGAACAACTAATACTTTGTTACTTTTCTTGTATGTTTTCCTTTTTGTTTGGTTGATTTTTCTCCCTAGCAGAAACAGCATGATGTTAGGATGAGGATTAAGCTGTAGTGTCTCGATTTCTTTCTTCCTTTTGTAATATTCTTTTATTCCACTCTTATTTTATACACTAAAAATATGTAAGGAACTTAAGAGCATTTACAAAATTCTTAAAATACAGTTTTAGTACATTTAAACAATTATTTCTTTCATGTATCCATCATGGAAATAATGCTTATTCATTGAAGATAATTTTTTAAATGTAAGGAAGAAAAAAAAGAAAAGATAACTAAGAAAGATAAGTTTTTTTTTTAAATAGCTGGTTTTACAAATGGGAAGTGGTTTTTGATTGTTTTAATGTATATTTCTTTGATTACTGTTTTATTCCAGAAGAGGATTTAAAGCTGCTTTATGGGTTGCTAGGAAATACAAACTTACTGAAGTTAAGAGAGGGAGAGGGTGGGATGTAGTATGATAACACTAGGAGGAGGGAAAACCCGGGACTATGAAACAGGGCAATTGCTAGGTAGAAAAGGGAGTGGAGTTGTGTGAACGTTGGTGTGGGGAAGGGGAGGCATTTTAAGTCGTTAGTGTGGGAATTACTGTTATTCAGCCAGCAATACTAACCTTAGGTATAAACATGCAGTCTTAGGGACAACACGCATATCCAGTAATTATTTGGAAGGCTATTCACCAGAATGTTTAGTGGCTTTCACTTGTGAAGATGTTTGGGCTCATTTTTCCTTTCTTTTTTATTCCTTTAATTATTGAGATTTGAGTATTTTATAAAGTAGAAAATCAGAAGTGGATTAT
Organism: Homo sapiens; assembly: GCF_000001405.40. Classification (NCBI taxonomy): domain Eukaryota; kingdom Metazoa; phylum Chordata; class Mammalia; order Primates; family Hominidae; genus Homo; species Homo sapiens. The sequence continues at coordinate 47,866,807 of NC_000018.10, read as the reverse complement.
ACCCATTTGCTTTTCTGGACAGTGGGGCTTTATCCGGTTTCAAGCAACAGCAAAACCAAAGGGTTCACATTTTATTCCACTTAAAAGAAATTTTAACATTTTCTCAAAAATGCTAATAGCTTTATTATTTATTACAATAATGGAAAAAATAAACACAGTAAGATAACGTATTTTAAGGTTCAGCATTTCTTTCTGATTAGATCTTTGAAATACAGGTTAAACTCAAAAAGCTTAGCGCCGTTTAACTTTATTAGCTTTAACTTTTAAAATATGCATAATATGTACCCTTATTTTTATGTTCTTTGAGTATATGAAGATAATTTATTCTTAGAATTTTTGTTTTAAAAATTTGGGGGTACTGACACTTAAATGAAAAGTTTGATACTTAAAGTTTGTGGTTAGTTTATTGAATAGATATTGTAAAAGGTTATTGAAGGAGACCCTTAACCTGTATCTTCTCTTCCTCTTTTTTTTTTTTTTTTTTTTTTTTTGAGACGGTGTTTTGCTCTTGTTGCCCAGGCTGGAGTACAATGGTGTGATCTCGGCTCACCGCAGCCTCCACCTCCTGGGTTCAAATGATTCTCCTGCCTCAGCCTCCCTAGTAACTGGAATTATAGGGATGCACCACCATGCCCGGCTAATTTTGTGTTTTTAGTAGAGATGGGGTTTCTCCATGTTTGTCAGGCTGGTCTCGAACTCCCCACCTCAGGTGATCTGCCTGCCTCGGCCTCCCAAAGTGCTGGGATTACAGGCATAAGCCACCGCGCCTGGCCTCGTTCTTTTGATAATTTTAAAATTGTTTGGATATGTGTCTTTGTTATCTTGAATCGCTCAAAACTGTTCAGTGTAAATGTAAAACTGATGAAAGTCTTCTGAACTTATTTTTCCTCCCTGGAATTACAGTTGATTAAATTGTATACATGTTTTTATTTTACATGCAGTTTATTCAGCTATTCAGATACCTTTCTGAACATAAGTGTTTTATTCAGACAACATGTTGGAAATAATATATTAGAATCCTAATGGTTATTTTCAGGGAGCATTTTACCTCTTTATACAGTAGTCTATATTTGAATTGAATTTTCTGCTTCAAACACTTAGACTTTACCAGTTAGGAATCCTTGGAGAAACACACTTTTTAGATAGAATTCAGCCTGGACCAATCCGGAACCATACTCTACCATATTTTACCCTATAGAACTTAGTGTAAGTTGTAAGCCTGTATTATTTAATACTTTTATAATCCAAAATCTTGTGTGTTTTTTAATTTTCTAAGTACTCATAAAATAACGATGTTCATTAGATTAAACAACAACAACAAAAAATTGTAGTTACTGATGGTTTTGCAGCCTACTGATTCAGATCTGAGGCATTTTTAAAGTTACGTTTTTGGCTCTTGCCCCAGAATATGTACATATAGGAATGAGCAAGATACGTACATAATGTGTATGTCCAGAGAGTAGGATTTTATTAAAAGTGGATGTTAAGGATTCACTGCAAAATTTGGACAAGATCCTGAATTATACACCCTCAGTATGCAATATTACTTTTTATAATATTATATAACATTATTATTTGTTATTTGGAGTGATTCATTGGTTATCTCTGGTAGCTGAGAGAAAAGGTAGTGAGATTATGTTGCAGCTGTGCTTGATTTGTTTTAAACTTTTGTAGAAACGCCACCTCCTGGATATATCAGTGAAGATGGAGAAACAAGTGACCAACAGTTGAATCAAAGTATGGACACAGGTAAAAAAAATGTCTTTGAAAATTCCTCAGTTATTAGATATACATTTCTTGTATTGTTTGAAATTCACAAAAGATGTTACTCTTAAATTTAGAGAAGTTGAGACGCATACCAAAAAAGATGATCTTCTATCTTGATTTAACATATCTGAACTACCAAAGAGGTCCATGTTGTCACTGAAAAATTATAACGTATGCTACTCTGCAGAATAATTGTTATTTTTTATTAGAGTAAATGAAAATTTGAAAACATGCACATACTTTTATTTCTTTTTAAGTATTTGCTTCTGTTGAAAATTTTAGTAACCCTATGACTAAGTATCTCTCTGTGATAAAAAACCATAATTACTCAAATAACAGATTTTCAGAGGAATTTGGGGGTGAAGGATGGGGATCAGCTTTTCACTGCTTTTTTAACCTAATAGTGAGTTTTGAATTATAGTAGATTAATTTCTTATGCTTAGCTATCAACTCCAAAAAGTGATGAAGAAAAAAATTAAAGCTTTAAATCACGTCTTACGTAATAAAATGTATAACTCAGCAGAACTAATAAACTACCAGTGAAATCACTTTGATGTCATTGTAATTGTCCAGTTTGATTCATTTTACCTGTCTGTATCTTAACTGTTGGACACCTTAATATCACAACCTGACAAATTATACCATCAGTCTTTCTCCACATCTTAACACTAATGCATTCTTGGTTATGATAATCTAAATTATTTTTAAGTGGATTAACATTGGTGGGGGAGGGAGGGGTTACAATAATTCTCTTGTTTAAATCCGTTTTTTTGGACTCCCAGGTAAAGAAGTTTCTGCTGTAGCTAATCATACATTTGGGTGTTTAGGAGTACCAGATAACTAAGAAAGGTAGATAATCTAATGAACGTTGGAAATAACGTGTTATACATCTTAATGCAAATAATATTTGACTTTCCACATATGTTTTACTAAAATTAGATGACACTCTTCTTGAAGCAATAATATTCTTTTTTGCCTGTGATGGACAGCTGTTACTGTGACATTTAAAAGTGAATGATGGGAAAAGATACTGAACGTCATAAACCACAGTGAGATACTACCTCACACCTACTAGATGCTATAATCAAAAAAGGACAATAACAAATGTTGGTGAGGATGTGGAGAAATTGGAGTCCTCATATATCGCTAGTAGGAATGTTAAATGGTTCAACACTTTGGAAAAGTTTCCTGTTCCTCAAAAAGTTAAATACAGAGTTAACATATTGTGGCCAGCTATGTATCCAAGTGAACTGAAAACATGTCTACTCAAAAACTTGTACATGACCATTTATGCAGGCATTATTCTTAATATTCAAAGTTAGAAACAACTCAGATGTCCATCAAATGATGAATGGATGAATAAAATGAGGTATGTTTCTGCAATGGAATTATTCAACCATGTAAAGGAATGACAGTATAGCATGACGTGTGGCAACATGGATGGACCTTGAAAGCAGTATGTTAAGTGAAATAAGCCAGAAAAAAAAGGCTGCAGGGATTCTAATTTAGTGCACAGACACCTATTCAGCAATATAACTGAAACACAGGAGGAGCAATAATACAAGTATTCGTTATGTATGATAAATGAATCAAAGTACAAAAGTGGAGAATAAGCTGAATCAGCCAGCTAAAATAATTGCAGTGTTGGGGCTAACTTTGAACCCAACCTAATATTTCTGTTTCAGTGGAGCAGTGTTACTGGCTTTCTGAATGACAGGTTTAAAAATTACTGTATGGCAATGGGAATATGTGATTCATGAGATGCCAACAGTTAGTTTGGCTGCCAGCCTCTTACCCAATATCAGTTTCTCTCTTGGGGCCATGGCAAGAAACAATTCTGACTGATGCAGGGCTCCAATTTAGAACAAAGTTGGCCACCTCTCTAACTCTGGTTCATACCTTCCAGAAGGAAGGACATAATTAAATTCATCTTTCATAACCTGCTGTTAAAAATAATGAATTGAAATTTTTTAAAAGGGCAACCAGAGGATAAATTAGGCATAATAAGTAAGTGTACGAACAAGCACTTGTTACTTTTTTCTTTTTTTTTTTGATTTAGATTTTGCTGGTCAAGACTTTATTCTTCCTTTATAGTGGATATTAGAGATCAGGCTGGACATCGTAAGAAATTTATAAGTTCGATTAACCTTTGTAGTATTGTATAATCAGTCCCTTTTCAAGTCATGATTTTTATGAACATATTTGTTCAAACAGGTATATAGAGAAATAGAATATAATAGATCATAAGATGTGGATTTCATAACTCACAATTCAGTTTTGTATCTTCTACATACACTGTGCTTGGTCCAAGATACACAAAGAGACTTAAAGGGTTTTTTAATCTGCCTGTGTCCCAGAAGATAAAATGAGGTGCTAACCTCCAATACCTCAGAATGTGGCCTTGTTTGGGAGTAGCATCTTTGTAAATGTAGTTGTTTAAGATGAAGTCATACTGAAGTACGATGGGCCCTAATTCTATATGACTGGTGTCTTTATAAGATAGGGAGGAATGTGCTATATGAAGATGGAGGCAGGTAACTGGAGTTAGCACCTGCAAGCTGAGCAATTCCTAGGATTGTTGGGAAACCCAAAAGCTTAAGAGAAAGGCATGGAACAGATTCTCCCCTTGAGCCTTTGAGAGAGCATGGCTTTGCTGACACCTTGTCTTGGGACTTAGGTCCTTCAAAGCTCTGAAAAAATAAATTTCTGTTGTTTTAAGCCACCCAGTTTGTGGTATTTTGTTAGAGCAAGCCCTAGGAAGCTAATACAGTGAGTATTAAGATTTTGAGAGTATCCTACTAATATGTACACTTAATTATTTGTAAGTTATATACAGGTACTTCAAGTACATTTAAAAATATATACAAAAATTAGAAATTGAAGGATGAGATTAAATAAATAGAAAATACATTTTAATTTTTTCTTCTTGTAAACTACTAGTTTTTTGTACTCCTAGACAGTTTTCCCATACACTCCACTTACAAGACTTACTCCTCTTAACTAAATGCATATAATCAAAATAGCATAGTGAGACTCTGAGCTAGACTATCTGAGTTTGAAATGTTCCTCTTACATATGCTAGCTAGGTAACCTAGTTTTTAAATCTGTAAAATAGGGACAATAATAGCATTTAACTCATAGAGTATTAATAGGACTGATATTTATAAGGCATCTATGTGTTCTAACCTGTAATAAGCACTGTATGAAGGTAGTTAAAATGTTAAGAGGAGTTAACCATTAAGAAAAAGGAAGATAGTGGATTGCACAAAGATGTGAAGGAAAGTGAAGAATTGAGATCCAGACACAGAAGCACTTGATTTTTGTGGTTTAGGATCAGCTCTATAAAATAGGAAAGTAAGATTTTTGTCAAAAATGAGGGGTCAGGTTTGACAACTTCAGGATAATAGTCTTATAACAATGCCTTTTCTCTGCCATGTGTTAAACAGTTTTTGATGTAGATGTATAGCATGTCTTTCATTAGATAAATTTTTTAGTATTTTATACTTTTAGTGCTGTTATACGTTTTTGTTTTTACATTTTATTTTCCAGTTGTTCCTAGGATATGGGAAATACTTGATTTTTGTATATTCTTTTCTCCTGCATTCTTGTTAAATTGACTTTTTGGTTCTAGAATTCTGTAGATTCTTGAGGTTTTCTGCATACACAGCCATGTCATCTGTTGATAAGGACAGTTTTTTTTTGTTTGATTGTTTTTTGAGAAGGAGTTTCACTCTTGTTGCCCAGGCTAGAGTGCAATGGCATGATCTCAGCTCACTGTAACCTGAACCTCCTGAGTAGCTGGGTTTACAGGCATGCACTACCACGCCCAGCTTATTTTTCGTATTTTAGTAGAGACGGAGTTTCTCCACGTTGGTCAGGCTGGTCTCGAACTCCCAACCTCAGGTGATCCACCCGCCTCGGCCTCCCAAAGTGCTGGGATTACAGCCGTGAGCCACTGTGCCCGGCTGACAGTTTTTCTTTTTTTCCCCAGTCTTCATGCTTTTTTCTTTTTCTGTCCTAACTAAGACCTACAATAAACTGTTGAAGCTATAAGAATGGACATTTTTGCATTGTTCTGATTATAGGAAGAACACATTTCACAATTCCCCCTTTAAGTATGATGTTAATTGTGGATATTTTGGAGATTGTATCTGATTGAGGAAGTTCTTTTTCCTTTTTGTTCTTAATGTTCTAATTGTGTTTTATAAATGGCTGTTGAATTTTGTCAAATTTTTTTTCTGCGTTTATAAAGAGGATCATATAGTTTCATGGATTTGAATTGTTTTATTTTTGAGAATTTTTCCATCTATGTTTATGAGAGATTGGTCTGTAGGGTTTTTTCCCTTGTAATGTGTTTATTAGTTTTAATATCATAAAATGTGTTGGAAAGGGCTTTCTCCTGTTTTCTCGAAGAGTTTCTTTAAGGTTGGCATTATTTCTTTCTTAAATTTTTGATAGGGCTGGGCATGGTAGTTCTTGCCTGTAATCCTAGCATTTTAGGAGGCCAATGCTGGAGAATTGCTTGAGCACAGGAGGTCAAGACCAACCTAGGCAACAAAGCAAGACCCCGTCTCTACAAAAAAAAATTTTTTTTTTTTTAAATTAGCCAGGGGTAGTGGCATTCACCTGTGGTCCCAGCTACTTAAGAGGCTAAGGTGGGAGGGTCACTTGAGCCCAGGAGGTGGAGGTTGCATTGAGCCATGTTTGCGCCGCTGCACTCCAGCCTGGGCAACAGCGAGACCTTGTATTCAAAACAAAGTTTGATTTTTCCAGAGAAACCATCTCTTGTAGGAAAAGGTTTTTTAAATTGAGAATTATTTACATTTTTAATTTTGTGTATGTGTTTGATAAACTTGGATTTTGTTAGAAATGTGTTCATTTCATTTAAGTCATAGGATTGATTAATTGAGACAGGATCTCACTTCGTTGCCCAGGCTGGAGTGCAGTGGCCTGGTTGGCTCACGGCAGCCTCAACCTCCCAGGCTCAGGCAATCTTCCCCACTTTAGCCTCTCGAGAAGCTGGGACCACAGGTACATGCTACTGCACCTGGCTAATTTTTGTGTTTTATTTAGAGATAGGATTTCACCAGGTTGCCAAGGCTGGAGAATGTATTGATATAAAGTTATTTCTGATATTTGTTATTCCTTTCATATATGTGAGATCCATTTTAAAATTTATAATGTTAGTAATTTGACTTTTTAATTTTTTATTAGAATGTCTTGTAATGGATTAATCAGTAGTCTTTGTTGTCTTTGTCTCTTTTCTGTTTTGTTTGTATTCATCTTTTTGTCTGCTTACTTTTCATTTAATCTGGTCTTTTCTAGCCTCCTGTGGTGTACATTTAGATCATTGATTTGTTTATAATGTACACATTTAAAGCTATAAATTTCCCTCTAAGCTTTATGTTAGCTCTATATTACAAATTTTATGTTGTTTTTAAATTATCACTTATTTTCTAATTCTTCTTGATTCATGAGTTATTTAGAAGTTTGGGTTTTTCTTAGGAGTGTGAGGATTTTCTAGATACTTCATCAATTTCTAATTTAATTCTGTTAACAGTCCAGCATATAGTGTGTGTGACTTTAGTCCTTGGAAATTTATGAAAATTATTTTATGCTATAACTTGTAACTTATCTTGATAAGAGTTCCATATATAGTTGGAAAGAATGTATATACTATAGTGTTCCAAATGTCATTTAGGTCAGGGTGGTTGATAGTGTTTACATCTTCTTAATTCTTTATGATTTTTTAAAATCTCCTTATTTTGTCAGTTATGATAAGTGTTAAAATTTTCAGCTCTGATTTTAGAGTCATCTGTTTGTGCCTTTAGTCCTGTCAGTTTTTGCTTCGTGTGTCTTTAACCTCTGTTATTAGATGATACACATTTGGAATTATACATCTTCCAAATTAATTTGCCCTAATTATAAAATGCATTTCATATTAACATCACCATATCTTCTTTCTTACCTCTGGTTACATGATATATTTTTAATTGTTTCAGTCTATCCGAATCTTTATATTTATGGTGTGTTTCTTGTGGACAGCATATTTTTGGTTTTATTTAATCTAACAATTTTTGTCTTTTAGTTGGAAAATTTAGTCCGCTTATATTTAGAGGGATTATTGATACTGGCTTTAGGCTACCATTTTGCAATTGTTTGTCTATTTGTTCTCTCTGGTTTTTATCTGTTTGTTTTCCTGCCTTTTAGACTAATCAAATAATTTTTGTTTCATTCTGTTTACTCTCTTGGCCTTTTACCAGTAACACTTAGTATTATTTTCTCAGTTGGCATTCTCGTGATTACATTGTACTTATGTTATACCTAGAAGTTTATTTAAGTTGTAATATTTTACAACGTCATGTAAAATTTAAGAACTTTACACCACTCTAGTTTCATTCATCTACTTCTGTTGTTTGTACTATTATTGACATGTATTTTACTTAATAAAAATATATAAACCCCAAAGTTCAGTGTTATTTTTTGCTTTTGATATCAAGTTGATTTTTAAAGGAAATTAGAAGGGATAAAAAGAAGTATTTTATATTCACCTACATATTTACCAGTTTGGCTCCTTTTTGCTGCTTTTTATTCCTTTACTACAGACATTTCTTTCAGTTGTTTTAGCACCATTTTGCAGAGACATTCCTTTCTCCATTGATTTACATTGGCTCCTTTGTTGAAAATCAAGTGATAATATGTATGTGACCCTGACTTTGAGTCTGCTCTTAATCCAATTAAATGAATTTTTCATTTCAGATCCTTTATTTTTTAGCTATATAATTTCCATTTTAAAGTCTTCGATAATTTGTGTCCAGTTAATATGTAACATGGCCTGCTTTTGTTGACTGTTTTATCTCTTGATTATGGGGTCATTTTTTTCCCCCTCCATCTTTGAATATCTCTTGTTTTTTAATTGGATAGTGGGTGTTGTATATATAATAATATTAGAGATTAAAATAGATAACACTTTCTTTGGAAAGACCAACTCTTTTCTCTATTTGCCAAGTTGAGGAGCTGATCCTTTCCCTGCCCTTAGGATTTGAGTTGGAAAGGTGATAATTTGGTGCTTTAATGTCACATCACTCAGGTTTCAGGGAGGGTCAGTTCCCTACCTTATCAGAACTTTCAGATACAAATATGGCAAGACTGCATATTCTTATTTCTTTCCAGCCTTGCCCAGGACTTCCTATGCTAACATGTACTCAGCTAAAGACATGTATTAAAACTGACTGGTGAAGAGGAGCTCTGTGCTTGCAGCTTCTTCGATTCCTGTCGTCTGTGCATGGCCATTGAAATTTTAGTTGGCTTCTCCTTTGGCAAGCTCAGTCCTTTGTCTGTGTCCTGACTTGGCAGATGCTGTCAGTAGTGAAAGTGATTACCACTCTCTGTTAACTGGGGAGGAGCTCATCCCTCTCTGTAAATTAGTTCCTATGGACTTATTTGGATCTATATCTGTGTGATAACTTTAAAGAAAAATAGAATTTTTCTTTGTTTATCCACTGTTTTCTTACTGCTATTTCAGAAGCAAAGGTTTTCCCCAATCTTCTACATACTAACTATAAGGGGAACTCTGTAGGAGTTTCTAATAAAAACAAAAGCAGCCTTTTTTCTCATTATGAACAGAATTATGCTCTCATAGAAAAATTGGAAATATGTAAAACCTAAGATGCTATCGCACTGGGGATTAAGTTTTTTAAAACAAGAAATGAAAAAATGATCATTCATGCATTATATATTTCATAAGCTGAATTTGATGATTATAATGTTGTATCACTTTGGCAGGGAAGCTTAATCTCTTATTTCTACCATTATTCTGTGTCAGATAAAAGTTAAACAGTGTTCTACACATAAGATTATGATACAGCATTTCAAATTATACAACAAATGGATGTTCATTATAAAAAATTAGCATAGTCACTTTGGGAGGCCGAGGCGGGCGGATCACGAGGTCAGGAGATCGAGACCATCCCGGCTAAAACGGTGAAACCCCGTCTCTACTAAAAATACAAAAAATTAGCCGGGCGTAGTGGCGGGCGCCTGTAGTCCCAGCTACTTGGGAGGCTGAGGCAGGAGAATGGTGTGAACCCGGGAGGCGGAGCTTGCAGTGAGCCGAGATCCCGCCACTGCACTCCAGCCTGGGCGACAGAGCGAGACTCCGTCTCAAAAAAAAAAAAAAAAAAAAATTAGCATAGTTAGGCAAAATAGGAAAACTTAAGCATTATATGTAATTGCATCTAGCAAAAAATTAAAATTTTAAAAGGTTCAACTTTTACCAGAAATTAAAAAACAATGCTGTAATGAACCTCATTAAAAAATAGCTAGAAAATGACAGAGAAATTCAGTAGGATGTCAGATTCTAGAGTTCCTGTTCTTGTTTATTACACTATATGTCTGGCTGGTTTTAGGTGACATGGGGGAGAAGTGGGTGCTTTTGATACATATTGCTGAGGCTTAGAATATGACTAGTGATCATATTTGGGTTAAGGTTGAAGAAGCAACCCAGGATGATTCCCAGTTTTCTGGAAGGTTTGTGAACACTTTAGTCTGTATTCAGTAAATTAGACTTTTTAAAGCATACATTTTTATTGTATATGTTTAAGGTATATAACATGATATTTGGTGTATGTAGTGAAATGGTTGCTGTAGTCAACTAAATCCATCATCTCACATAGTCACCTTTTTATGTGTGTGATAAGAGCACCTAAAATTGACTTACTAAATTTCCAGTATACAACACAATATTGTAACTGTAGTCCTCAGGTTGTACATTAGATCTCTGGGCATATCTTACATATCTGCAACTTTATACCCTTTGACCTATAATCTCCCTATTTTCCCCCCAACCTGTAATCACCATTTTATTATGTTTCTATGTATTTGGCTTAAAAAAAAAAAACCCCACATATGAGATTATGCCATGTGTCTTTCTATGTCCACCTAATTTCCTTGGCATAATGTCTTCCAGATTCATCCATGCCAAAAGTGGTAGGATCTCCCTTTTTAAGGCAGGATAACATTCAATTGTGTGTATAACCCTCCATTTCTTTATTTATTCATCTGTTGATGGGACACTTGGGTTGTCTTCTGTATCTTTGCTATTGTGAATAAAAGCAGCAAGAGTAAAAGCAACGTGCCACATAACAAGGGAGTCTTCATTAGACAATCAGCTTTTTCAGCAGAAAGTTTGCAGGCCAGGAGAGATGGGTGGTGTATTTAAAGTGCTGAAAGAATTAAAAAACAAAACTGAAATTAGCCGGGTGTGTTGGTACACACCTGTGGTCCCAGCTACTCAGGAGGCCAAGGTGAGAAAATTGCTTGAGCCTAGGAGGTGGAGGTTGTAGTGAGCCAAGATTGTGACACTGCCCTCCAACCTGGGTGACAGAGTGAGACCCCATCTGAAAAAAAGAAAAAAGTACCCCTGCCAACCAAGAATACTATAACCAGTAAAGCTGTCCTTCAGAAATGAAGGAGAAATAAAAAATTTTTCAGACAAAAGCTGAGGGAGTTCATCAGTGCTGGTGTGGTGAGGATGGGGAGCAACAGGCACACTCATTTATTACTGGTCAGAATGAAAAATGGTATAGCCACTTTGGAAGACAGTTTGGTGATTTCTCACAAAACTAACTATATTCTTACCATATGGTTTAGCAGTCTTGCTTCTCCTTGGTATTTACCCAAATGAATTGAAAACTTAGGTCTACACAAAAACCTGCAGATTGATGTTCATAGCAGCTTTATTTATAATTTCCAAAACTTGGAAGCAACCAAGATGTTTTAATAGGTGACTAGATAAATAAACTGATATATCCAATTAATGTACAACAGGTCCTCAAGTAATAATGTCATTTCGTTACAGTGTTGATGATTGGGGAATGTTGGTTTTGTTGTACAATTATTTTGCTTAAGTCAGTTTCCAAAAACCTATGGAAGATGTTAAATGAAGACTTACTATATATGACATTCTGGAGAAGGCAGAACTATGGAAGCAGTAGAAAGATAAGTGGTTACTGAGGCTTTGTGGGAGGTAAAGAGGACTAGGTGGAGCACAGGGCATTTTTAGGGCAGTGAAACTACTCTGTTTGAAACTGTAAATGGATACACGTCATTATACATTTGTCAAAACCCAGAGAATGTATAACATAGCCCTAATGTAAATTATGGACTTTCAGTGATAATGATGTATCAGTGTAGGTTCATTATTATAACAAATGGACCATTGTGGTTTGCGGATGTTATAGGGAATTTGGGGAAGCAGGGCAGGGGTCATATGGGAGCTTTTTGTACTTTCTGTTCAGTTTTGCTGTGATCTTGAAACTACTCTAAAAAAAAAGTCTTTTTTAAATTAAAACAATTTAATGTCACCTTAAAAGATATAACAGATTTTTTTTAAAAAAAAACCTGGGTGAATATTTGCAAATAGATGACAAGTCTAAGAACTGATTTTTAAGTTTAAAAACTTACAAATCAAGAAGAAAAAGATAGTTAATAGAATTGGCTAAAAGAACAGAAATACACTGTTTACAACAAAAACAAGAAATTAAAAAATTGCTCCTTTTAAACCTATCATATTGGCAGATGTCAACATGTAGTGACACGGTGTGAAGAAACACTAGCTTATAAATTCTTAGTGAGATGAAACATTTTTGAGAGGGTATTTTGGCACTTATAAAAGTTTAACACATTTTATTTGACATTTGTTAATTTGTCAAAGGTTTGACGAATGTATCCTACAAATATATGTGAATTTGTATGCGAAGATACATGCACAGGGATTTCTGTAGATGGTTTAGCTGTAAGTAGACACTGCTAATTCACACTGGATCTCAAATAGGATATTTATAATATTCTAAGTGGAAGACCTGTGGTAGGTGAGACTCCAATAGCAGCATTTATGTATGAATAATTCATAGGCTAATCATCAGTTCGTTGCCTCTGGTTTTTTTTTTTTTAAAGGCTTCTATTAATTGTTAGCTTATTTTAAGTTTTTAAAATTTGTCTTTTTTGTAATCTGTAATTCTAACCTGTCACATCTGACTGAACGCCTGTTAATTTAAATGATCCTACTGGTCATTTCTAAGTATTTAATAGAGGAGTAAACAGTTAAAAGATATGAATAGTTGGGCAGTTTCCTCCATTTCTAATAGTGGCTTTGTTTATTTTATGTTGGTTTCAGGAAACAGCAGTGAATTTTAGCTCATTGTTCCAAATATGTTTTGACCTATCTTAGTTGTACCTGTTGTGACTTGCCAGCAGATTTGTGACTTGCCAGCAGATTTGTGACTTGCCAGCAGATTTTTCAAACTGAGAAAAAAGGAACATAACTTAATTATGTTGTGGAAGACCGTACTGTCTTCTAAAAACTAAGCATCCCTTCTCTGATTCATTTATTTATCTAGGGGCTACCATTTCACCTTTATTGCCTGGTATTTTATGTCATGGTTATAATAGTGTGTGGTAGGGAGGAGGTGTGTAAGATGGTCTGACCTATCTTACTCTTTTTTTTTTTTCCCTCTCGAGACAGAGTCTTGCTCTGTCGCCCAGGCTGGAGTGCAGTGGGATGCCCTCAGCTCACTGCAACCTCCGCCTCCTGGATTCAAGCGAGGCGACCTGCGACTCCTTGACTTTGACAATCGAGTAGTACTCCCGGTTGAAGCCCCCATTCGTATAATAATTACATCACAAGACGTCTTACACTCATGAGCTGTCCCCACATTAGGCTTAAAAACAGATGCAATTCCCGGACGTCTAAACCAAACCACTTTCACTGCTACACGACCAGGGGTATACTACGGCCATTCTTCTGCCTTAGCCTTCCGAGTAGCTGGGATTACAGGTGTATGCCACCATGCCCGACTAAGTTTTGTGTTTTCAGTAGAGATGGGGTTTCACTATGTTGGCCAGGCTGGTCTCTAACTCCTGACCTCGTGATCCACCCACCTCAGTCTCCCAAAGTGCTGGGATTACAGGCATGAGCCACCATGCCCAGCCTGACCTATCTTATTCTACAATTATGCTCTTGGTATACATTTGAAGCTTGGGTCATGCTCTTTTAGGTAACTGTGCCTAAACGTGTAGAGAATGATGATCATAAAAGAAAATATATTTTATATTTTTAATAAGATTATTTAACAATGTTTATAGCAAATGTGTTTTAAAATTGAGTTGCATGGAACTGAGCAGACTAGTTGCGCCATGATTTTTCATATGTTGTCTGTGGTGGTTCTTATTTTGTATGTTTGTGCCCCCTTATTTTCTTGATTAGATTTAGCCTGTTTACCCAAAAGAAGAAACAGATCATTTTCTAAGAAAGTGTAATTTACCAGAACTGACTCCAGAAAATAGAGCTATCTGAACAAGTCACCCTTCATAGAATAATGTCTCGTAGTAAACCCTAGAAAGTTACTAACTATAATTTCACAGAAGAATTCTACCAAACTTTTAAAGAATATGCTGTTATAATACTATTTAAACCTTTGCAGAGGATAAAGCTGCTAGATTGTCATAACATTGACCACAGAGCCTTACAAACATAGCACTCATGTAAATCTTCAGGCTTGTATTGCTTGAGACTATTGATGCAAAAATCCTAAATAAATATTTTATTACTGTTAGCCTGAAAGCCAATGCCATGCTTAATGGGAAAATGGTAGAAACATTACCCTAAAAGTCAAGAGTAAGATATCCACCGTCATCACTGTTTTATCCCAAAGTGTGACGCTAACCCAAAGATGATTGATAAATCTTGTAGAAGGGCTTTTATTTTAGTGCTACATGATCAAAATTAGGATTAAGAGTCAAAAGACCAATGATTAAATATTTGTAGCTCATACCATAAGAAGACTTACATCCCTAATACACATAAAGAGCTTTCAAACAATCAGTAAGAAAATGATCAACATCGCAAAAGAAAAGAACAGACTATCACAGGAAGGAAATATAATATAAACATGTGTAAAGCTACTCAAAATTAAAACTGTACTTGTGACCATGTTTTCATCTAGAAGCAATAACACCTCAAGCATCCCTTTACTATGTTGTGACTGGGAATGTAAACTGGTACAACCTTGATGAATGATAATTTTACCCAAATCTATCAAAATTGCAAATACACAAACCTTTCGACCTGGCAGTTTCTTGAAGAATGTATCTTTCAGATGTGATTGGAAGCGTGCAAAACGGTCAAGATTAGTTATTGCAATCTCAAAGCATTGGTTCTTATAGCAAAAGATTGAAAATAGCTTGAATATCCATCAATGTGGGATCGCGATGTTATGTGACTAATTGATATGTAGATAGACAAATAAGGAAACACATTGTGAACAATCTGATAGAATAATATAGAAGATGAAAAACGGTTACCACTTGTATATGAAAAGAAAGGACACAGAACAAAAATGTATTTGCTTATGTGGTTCATAGAGTATTTTGGAAAGATACCCAAGGAACCGTCAATATTAGATATCTTTGGGAAGATGAACTGTTGGGCTAGAAGCCAAAACTGTTGCACCTTTTATACTGGAACCCCCCCTTCTCTTCCCCCGACCCCCCACAAATTAAACTAAATTTAAGCACTTACATATTCTGAATTCTTGGTATTTAAATTATCTTTGTATTATTGTTGATAATTATAACCAGATAAAGCTAGTTTTATGATTACTTGATCAGAAGTTCTGGAAATACTTCATTTATTTTTAAATCCTTTTGTTTTAGGCTCTCCAGCAGAACTATCTCCTACTACTCTTTCCCCTGTTAATCATAGCTTGGGTAAGTTGCACATATGTTCCCCTCATCATTTTTATACTGTATCACCTACTTAATAATAAAAATCATCTCTAGGAGTTATTTTTTATATATCCGAGAAAGGGATCCTAATGAATAGCCAAATAATTATGTATGTGGTTAAAGTAGTGCTTTTTAAAAAGAATATTGACACCATCCCTCAAAATTATTAAGTCTTTTCTGCTGGCACATATAAGAAATAGGTATAATCTATTTATTATTGAAATCATATTCCTCATAGAAAATTATATAACCTGTTATGGCTAGATTTTTATGGTTATGTTTATTTTATGATGTAATTAATAAAAGGTATGTGTATTACATATATACACATTGACATAAATATGTATACATGTATACGTAGTATGGGGATTTATATATATTATACATAATATATATAATATATATAATATATAATATACATAATATATATAATATATAATATATTATACATAATATATATAATATATAATATATATTATACATAATGTATATAATATATATATAATATATAATATATATTATACATAATATATATAATATATATATAGTATATAATATATATTATACATTATATATATAATATATATATAGTATATAATATATATTATACATAATATATATAATATATATATAATATATAATATATATTATACATAATATATATAATATATATATAATATATAATATATATTATACATAATATATATTATATATATAACATATATTATACATAATATATATTATATATATAACATATATTATACATAATATATAATATATAATATATATTATGTATAATATATAATATATATTATACATAATATATATAATATATTATATATATTATACATAATATATAATATATATTATATAATATATATAATATATATTATACATATTATGTATAATATATATAACATATATTATACATAATATGTATATAACATACATAATATATATTATACATAATATATATAATATATAATATATATTATACATAATATATATAATATATAATATATAATATATATTATACATATATATAATAATATATATATACTATATATAATATATATATGAGAGTGTGCACATATATGTACAAATGTGTATGTGTATGGTCCCTTCATAACCATGAGTTCAGCATCTGCAGATTCAACCAACTGCAGATTGAAAATAATCGGGAAAAAATGAAAATAACAATACGACAGTAAAAACTAATACAAATTGTATTTATTTTTATTTATTTTTTGAGACAGAGTCTTGCTCTGTCGCCCAGGCTAGAGTGCAGTGGCGCAATCTCGGCTCACTGCAACCTCTGCCTCCTGGGTTCAAGCAATTCTCTGCCTCAGCCTCCTGAGTAGCTGGGACTACAGGTGCATGCCACCACACCCAGCTAATTTTTGTATTTTTAGTAGAGATGGGGTTTCACTATGTTGCCCAGGCTGGTCTCAAACTCCTGGCCTCAAACGAATCACCCACCTTGACCTCCTAAAGTGCTGGGATTACAGGCGTGAGCCATCGTGCTGGGCCCAAATTTTAAAATACAGTATAACAAATATTTGTATAGCATTTATATTATTAGGTATTATAAGTAATCTAGAGATTATTTAAAGTATACAGGATGACGTGAATTTAAGTTACATGGAAATACTACACCCTTTTATGTCAGGGACTTGAACATCTAAGGGTTTTTAGTTAGGGGGAGCCGGTCCTAGAACCAATCCCCTGTAAATGCCAAGGGATGACTATATATATATATATATATATACATACATTTCTGTATTACTATTATTATTTTTGCCCTCATTTTACCCTATTTCACAATTTCTCTTCGGTTGTTACATGTTTGGAATTTATTCTACAAAATTGTGAGGTTTTTTTCTTTTGCAGTATTCCTTATGATATGTTTTAGTCAAACTGCAGAAGCTAAATATATAGTTTTCCAGTGAAATAAGTAGTCTTTTGACTCTATGGTCTGTTTCTACTTGCATGATCTTTGTGTGTTACTGCTTTCTGGTTCTTATGTATGAGTGGGTTTTCTCTTTTTGTAGCTAGGGTATCTCACCAAGAGTTTGATGTTAAAATAGACAAATGTCAAAAATATGTCATATTTTGTATCCTTTTATTATTACTGTTTTTCTTTGTGTGGCTTTTGACTCATTAATCTTTGCTCTGGCTTTATCTTACCCCACTTTAGCTTTTTTATGTGCTTTAGAAATGCACCAAGTATGGCAAGTTGACTGACTTTGCCTATGATTGTTTTGTATTTGAACAGGAGCTAGACTAAAACTACTGGTAAAACAAAGAATCCAACATAAAGTGATTTAATGACATGGGAGAAATTTGAAAAAATCTGGTATGATCTATGAAACTGGAGTTTTGTGTGAAAAATACTGAAAATCTGGTATCATCTGTGGAAACCGATACAGATACTATGTCTACTTCCTGAGCTTTTGCCAGTGCAGGCTGGCATAGAGCATGTAAAGATGATTATATTAAATCTATTTTTGGCTTGAATTGTTCACGCATTTCTTCCTTTTATTATTTTTTTATTTTTTTCTTTTTCAGATTTACAGCCAGTTACTTACTCAGAACCTGCATTTTGGTGTTCGATAGCATATTATGAATTAAATCAGAGGGTTGGAGAAACCTTCCATGCATCACAGCCCTCACTCACTGTAGATGGCTTTACAGACCCATCAAATTCAGAGAGGTTCTGCTTAGGTTTACTCTCCAATGTTAACCGAAATGCCACGGTAGAAATGACAAGAAGGCATATAGGTATGTTTTATTTTCCTTGTTGTGAAAAATAAATGCTGTATACTCATAATGTAGGCATTGCATGGTGTGCCACATCAAGAGCTTGTGTGCAGTAAAACCAGCTTTCTCTCTGGTGGTTTAAGTGCCGACACATTTAAGTGCACAGGCTTCACTGCTTCTAATAGATCCTGGTGATGCTTCAGCTGCAAACTCTTCAACTTTTATTTGGCACCCTTGGTACTGGAAAGTTCTTCAATAAATATGTGTTAAGATAAGTTTAATTTGCTGAGTCTCTACCAGTCATAAAATTGCCATGTTCAGATTTGGGGGTTAATACTTTTTTATAAATCATGTTTTTTTGTTTTGTTTTGTTTTTGTTTTTTTTCAGTTTCTTTATATAGCTCCCAGGTTTTTTCCCCCTTTGGTGAGTTTATATATTAAATGAAATCTGCTTGCTGTTCATCTGAAATGAGATATCTAAAACAAGAACTGCATTTAATATAGTTCAAAATATAATTCAGGGACATCTCAAAATGTGGTCTGGGGACTTCTGGTAGTCCCAGAAACCCTTTCAGCTAGTTTGTGAGGTCAAAGCTATTTTCATAGTAGTACTGAGATGCTGTTTGCCATTTCTACTCTCATACTCTCATGACTGTACAGTGGAGTATTCCAGAGCCTACATGCATATGATTTTGCAAGAGATGAAATGTAGATTTGATAATGAGACTCCAATTCTGTTACACTAGACATGAATGTTGAAATGTTGCCACTCTATTTTTTTTTTTTTTTTTTTTTGCTTTGGAAATATAGTTGTTTTTCATAGACAAAAATGGTGAAATGTTGCCACTCTATTTTTTTTTTTTTTGCTTTGGAAATACAGTTGTTTTTTATAAACATTGTTAATATGTAATGGATTTGATTTTTAAATGAATTTTTTAAATCTCAGTTTTTATATCTAATATGGTCATTTTCCATAATATTCACATAAACAAAAGCTCTTTGGGGTCCTCAGTATTTCCTTAACGATGAAGTGAAAAAGTGTGAGAACCATTCATAATTGAACATCATTCTCATCACCTTAAAGTAACTTCTTTTAACAGTAGTTTGCTTCTGTTTTTTTTCTAATTAACCATTACCTCCTGTGAGAAGTAATGCTGGTTATCAAAGTGTGATTTTGATACTGCAAAATGATAGTGACTAGAAGATCTATTACTTGGTTCCAAGTGGAAGTTCTCAAATCTTGCTTGATGTATAAATTTGGATAATCTTATTAAGATACCCAGTGTCGCTGTAGGTGCTTTAACTAAAATAGTTTTTTGTTTTTGTGACTTAATTGGGGTTCTGCAAAAAAATTTAATGGGTTTTCTCTGCCTTATTCTCTTCTCCCTCCAAAGTTTTAGATTGCTGTCGTTATTGGATTTTTTTAAATTTTTTATTTCTAGTTTTATAGGTGATATTGATCAGGGAATATAGCCTGAAAAATCTCTACTTTTTGGACTTAGTGTTTTCCCAATGACCACGTGCATGACTGTTTTACAGATATTCCATAGTCTTAACAGAACCACCGTACCAGGTTCTGTATTAAATCTGGAGTGTTAGTTGTTTGATTAGTTTTCTTTTGCTGTGTAACAAATTACCACAAACTCAGTGGCCTAAAACATCAGTTTTTTACCTCACGGTTTCTGTGGGTCAGGAGTCCAGACATGGGTTAGGCGGTCTTTTCAGGGTTTAACAAGGCCAAAATTGAGGTATCAGCTGGCTTGTGTTCTTATCTGGAGCTTGAGGTCCTCTTCTAAACCCACATGGTTGTGGCAGAATTCAGCTCCTAGATGCCTCCTGAATTCCTTGTCACATGGTGCCATCCATCTTCAAAGTCAGCAATGGAGAATGTCTCTTGTGTTGAATACCTTTCATGCTTTGAATCACTTAGCCTATGACAGTCTAGTCCCTTTTAAAGGATTGCCTGATTAAGGTTAACTGATTTGCTGCCTTAATTACATCTGAAAAAATCCTTAACAGCAGCACCTAGTGTTTGATTAACAGAGAATGTATGTGCACCTCAGGGCTGAGACTCTTAGGTGTCATGTTAGAACTCTGCTTCTCACAATTTTTTTTTTAATTCTTATATCTCATATTATTTTGCATCTGTGATCTCTCAGATTCTGAAAGAAGTATATTAAAAATCTCCCAGTAGAATTTTTTCTCACCTAATCATGCTTATACATCTAGAGGTTGGGTTTCCACCATAATATATAGTTTTTAAAATGGCAAATGACTTTTTGATGTTTTTACATCTTTTTTCTTAACATTAAGTGGGATCTCTAAGAAACTACAGTTGTAATGAAGATATATTTCTCCAAACATTAGTGAATTCCTTCAAAATTAACTCAATCTTTTACTTATCTTAATATATATCATTTGTATGAAACTATTTTACTATGTGTACTTTTTCTACATTGTTTAAATACTTTCAGTCAGTACACATGTATTTTAAAATCAATAAAATTATTGTTAGAAAATACTTGGGAGAAATATACAGTAGTATATTTAAAGTTAGACTTCAGAAAGACATTATCTGTGAAAAAGATCCTGGAAATACCTTATATCATTTTAGAATTTTTCCAAGAAAATGCTTCCAAAGTCACACTGAAATAGTAAATGTTACAAAACTAATCTCATTTGTATTTTGTTTCAGGAAGAGGAGTGCGCTTATACTACATAGGTGGGGAAGTTTTTGCTGAGTGCCTAAGTGATAGTGCAATCTTTGTGCAGAGCCCCAATTGTAATCAGAGATATGGCTGGCACCCTGCAACAGTGTGTAAAATTCCACCAGGTATGGATTCAATAATGTACATAAACCTATCATGTCAACTTGCTTAGTTTTTCTTGTTGCTAATTTTAGGAATCAGTAGATGATTGCATGCTCATATTCTAAAACTTGTAACCCTTTTAAAATTACTTTTTAATAATGATACTCTTTTGACAATTTCTTTTACCTTTTTTAATCATAGGCTGTAATCTGAAGATCTTCAACAACCAGGAATTTGCTGCTCTTCTGGCTCAGTCTGTTAATCAGGGTTTTGAAGCCGTCTATCAGCTAACTAGAATGTGCACCATAAGAATGAGTTTTGTGAAAGGGTGGGGAGCAGAATACCGGTATGAAATACATATTTGGTTCTTAAATTTCCACAGTGTAATTATGTTTCATTGCATTCTTGCATATTCTGGAGTTCATTTGTATCTATTTTCAATGAGGTTATAGAGTCAGCTGATCTTTATGTAAAATAAAGTTGGAGGCCTCCAAATTCAAAACTGTTGCAAATTACTGAGCTGCCATTATGGAAGATATTAAAACATGCACAGGCGTGCATTTTAACGTAATTCAGAGTGTTAAATATCATAAAAGGGGTGTATATGAAGGGTTATGTCAGTTTATGGAAGGAGAGATGTTTGCACACGGTGCTCAAGGAAAACTTGATGGCACATGATCTAGTTGTAAAAGGTGCATTGGATTTCAATAGTCATAAATGGGGTGGGCAGAGTTGGGAAGTGATAATCTTGACAATAGCATAGCAATTCAGTTTGGAGAATAGAAAAATAAGGCTGGACAATTAAATTGAGACAAACTAGATGTAGGTTAAGAGGAGGAACTTCATTCAGAAGTAGAAGGAATACTTGCTAATGTGCCAGGCACTGTGCTGTTTTAAGTGTAGTATCTAAAAATTATTATTTCTGTTGTCAATTCATTCTTTGTAAGGTTGAAATATATGAAATTGCCATCGTTGCAGGTAACACATGGTTCAAACTAATACATATTTGGAAATAGACATAGAAAGCTGATAATTTGCCCAAGGTTACATTATAAGTGGTTGAGATGGGACTGGAAGATAGTTCTCCTGGACTCTTTACCTCTTTTATAAGGATAGTAGTAACAATTATGTTTAAGTTTTACAAAAACTAATTTGTCATCAGTGGATAAGATAGTCTAGATTATTGATGAATTAAACAATAGATTGGATTTCACATCAAAGAGAGAGAAGACTTCTTGACCATATTTAAGAGTAGGAATTAAGTAAAATACTTAGTCTTTCTTCAATTCGTATTGCTTACTCCATATGCCTGCTTAAGAAATATTCATGTAATATAGTGATTGTATTCCTGCTTCTTCCAGCAATTTAGTCCCTTCCAAATTTATTTGTTTTGGACTTGCTTGTCTATCTTAAGTTTTGTCAGAAATCTGATTTGAGATTGTGCAATGTGAGGTCTACTTGTTGAATACATTTAAAAATATATGGTATATATTTGTATCAGAGAATGAAGACTTGTCACTATTTTTTTCTGAGTTATATTGGTAGAATAATTCATTTTGTGATTTTGCTGTAGTTCTGTTTTGATTATTACCCTTTTGAGATGTTGTTACCTGTTAAGAATGCTGAATGCCGTTTTTTAAAATTAGACTTGACCTGAGTTGATAGCAAAATTAGATTTAAATTATATTGTCTAATAAGATTTCAGGTCAGACTTTTTTTTGTTCTTCAGAAGGTTAGAATAATGCAAAATATGGTAGGAATTTAGTGGAAGTAAGAGTGAATTACAGAGAGAATTCCATGTGTATCTATAGATCTGCTAAGAACAGTTTTACTTGGTAAAGATACTGCCCTTCTTCATTCACTGTGGACTCTGCTGTTCTTTAACTCACAGATAAAGTAAAATCTGTAATTACAGAAGCAGTAATATGCAGTATGTTTTTATGAGTATTGGGAGTCAGGTACATCTGACTTTGGAAAATCAAGTAGTTTCCTGTAACATTTACAAATCAAAATGGCAAATATCCATCTATCTGTGGATATGTGGGTAGCTACCAGGAACTTACTGTCTGTAATCATTCTGGAGCTGAGGAAATAGACCTAATGTTTAGGTTTCTAAAACTATTTTTTTTAAATTTCCTTAATGTCATCTTGGTTGTTAGCACAAAAATGAGGAAATGTAGTAAACAGGAAATTTAGATGTATGAAGAATTTGTATTTAATCGAGTGGCAGCCTTCTTAAACCTACTCCCCTTGGGTGACCTGGATTATGGATTATTCTAGAAAGGGAAGTGGGACAGGGGAGAACAGGGCAGCCAGGACCATTGTTAAGCCATCTACCAGAGTGGGTGGGTCACTAGAACTGACACCCTTGGGGAAACTCTAGGAAACAGTAAACAGTCTACAGAATTATCCTACCCAGGGGAACAGAAGTGCTGGGCATGTAAATGTCAATTTCTGTTTCCTTGGTTGAGGGCTGCTCCTGGGGATGCTTCTTTCCTGGCACCTCTAGCCTTTTTGGGTATATCAGAGAAGTTCCTGGGCACAGAAATGCAGATACCTGCAGTTGGAAGTTGTCTAGAGCACACTGAAAAATCCAAAGGGTACAGTGGGGCACTGATACCATCTGCCTCAGAAAGTGACATCCTTGGAAGTACAGTTTTAAATTACATTGAACATGTGTTGCTTGGAGATGAAGAGTTGATAATGGGCTTTTCTCATATTTGAAGGGCTGTTAGTTTGTAGAAGCAAGTGGATTTATTGACTTTATTCTGTATAGCAAATAAGATGGAACTAAAATCAGCGCATGGAAGTGACAGGATGTCATTGAATAATTTGTAATTCTCTTAGAGTTGCCCCTTTTGTTGAAGCACTATTAAAAGCCCGAATGGTGTTGCTAAGAGGGATGTTCATTGGCTTTGGCAGGGAAAGTTGAATTCCAGCTTTTAACACTCTCTGTGGTGTGGGTTTAGCTTGGGCCAAAATTTTGTTTTTGCTTTGGTATACTTTTACTTAGATTCTGTTTGATATTTGAGTATCTACTATTCTGTGGTTGATTTGGTAAGTACAGTTACTTTATGTCTTGGTTTGCTTGGACAATCCTGATTCACGTGTCTCCTTTTGGCCTGATTTTTTTCTGCCCCCCACCCCGAGACAGAGTCTCACTCTGTCGCCAGGCTAGAGTGCAGTGGCATGATCTCGGCTCACTGCAGCCTCTGCCTCTTGGGTTCAAGTGACTCTCCTGTCTCAGCCTCCCGAGTAGCTGGGACTACAGGCACACGCCACCACGCCCAGCTAATTTTTATATTTTTAGTAGAGACGGGGTTTCACCATGTTGGCCAGGATGGTCTCAATCTCTTGACCTTGTGATCCGCCTGCCTCGGCCTCCCAAAGTGCTGGGCTTACAGGTGTGAGCCACCACGCCTGGCCCTGGCCTGATATTAATAGTATCTACATTCTCTCTCAGGTGTTCCATTTTGGATGATGGTGAATAATAAGATCACCTTATTAATTTTAGTGCGATGAGAAAAAGATGTTCTTGTAAATCACTTCTAAAACAAGGTCATCAGAAGTACTTTGACTTTGAGGATCAACCATTTTGCGGAATAATCGTGTCCAAAATTATATACACAACCTTTTAATTTCTGTAAATTTTTAATGCAGTGTACCTAAACATAGCCATTTTCCCTGCCTGTGGACTTGAATTTCATAATCATTTTCCTGTATTCTTTTAAACAGAAGGCAGACGGTAACAAGTACTCCTTGCTGGATTGAACTTCATCTGAATGGACCTCTACAGTGGTTGGACAAAGTATTAACTCAGATGGGATCCCCTTCAGTGCGTTGCTCAAGCATGTCATAAAGCTTCACCAATCAAGTCCCATGAAAAGACTTAATGTAACAACTCTTCTGTCATAGCATTGTGTGTGGTCCCTATGGACTGTTTACTATCCAAAAGTTCAAGAGAGAAAACAGCACTTGAGGTCTCATCAATTAAAGCACCTTGTGGAATCTGTTTCCTATATTTGAATATTAGATGGGAAAATTAGTGTCTAGAAATACTCTCCCATTAAAGAGGAAGAGAAGATTTTAAAGACTTAATGATGTCTTATTGGGCATAAAACTGAGTGTCCCAAAGGTTTATTAATAACAGTAGTAGTTATGTGTACAGGTAATGTATCATGATCCAGTATCACAGTATTGTGCTGTTTATATACATTTTTAGTTTGCATAGATGAGGTGTGTGTGTGCGCTGCTTCTTGATCTAGGCAAACCTTTATAAAGTTGCAGTACCTAATCTGTTATTCCCACTTCTCTGTTATTTTTGTGTGTCTTTTTTAATATATAATATATATCAAGATTTTCAAATTATTTAGAAGCAGATTTTCCTGTAGAAAAACTAATTTTTCTGCCTTTTACCAAAAATAAACTCTTGGGGGAAGAAAAGTGGATTAACTTTTGAAATCCTTGACCTTAATGTGTTCAGTGGGGCTTAAACAGTCATTCTTTTTGTGGTTTTTTGTTTTTTTTTGTTTTTTTTTTTAACTGCTAAATCTTATTATAAGGAAACCATACTGAAAACCTTTCCAAGCCTCTTTTTTCCATTCCCATTTTTGTCCTCATAATCAAAACAGCATAACATGACATCATCACCAGTAATAGTTGCATTGATACTGCTGGCACCAGTTAATTCTGGGATACAGTAAGAATTCATATGGAGAAAGTCCCTTTGTCTTATGCCCAAATTTCAACAGGAATAATTGGCTTGTATAATCTAGCAGTCTGTTGATTTATCCTTCCACCTCATAAAAAATGCATAGGTGGCAGTATAATTATTTTCAGGGATATGCTAGAATTACTTCCACATATTTATCCCTTTTTAAAAAAGCTAATCTATAAATACCGTTTTTCCAAAGGTATTTTACAATATTTCAACAGCAGACCTTCTGCTCTTCGAGTAGTTTGATTTGGTTTAGTAACCAGATTGCATTATGAAATGGGCCTTTTGTAAATGTAATTGTTTCTGCAAAATACCTAGAAAAGTGATGCTGAGGTAGGATCAGCAGATATGGGCCATCTGTTTTTAAAGTATGTTGTATTCAGTTTATAAATTGATTGTTATTCTACACATAATTATGAATTCAGAATTTTAAAAATTGGGGGAAAAGCCATTTATTTAGCAAGTTTTTTAGCTTATAAGTTACCTGCAGTCTGAGCTGTTCTTAACTGATCCTGGTTTTGTGATTGACAATATTTCATGCTCTGTAGTGAGAGGAGATTTCCGAAACTCTGTTGCTAGTTCATTCTGCAGCAAATAATTATTATGTCTGATGTTGACTCATTGCAGTTTAAACATTTCTTCTTGTTTGCATCTTAGTAGAAATGGAAAATAACCACTCCTGGTCGTCTTTTCATAAATTTTCATATTTTTGAAGCTGTCTTTGGTACTTGTTCTTTGAAATCATATCCACCTGTCTCTATAGGTATCATTTTCAATACTTTCAACATTTGGTGGTTTTCTATTGGGTACTCCCCATTTTCCTATATTTGTGTGTATATGTATGTGTTCATGTAAATTTGGTATAGTAATTTTTTATTCATTCAACAAATATTTATTGTTCACCTGTTTGTACCAGGAACTTTTCTTAGTCTTTGGGTAAAGGTGAACAAGACAACTACAGTTCCTGCCTTTGCTGAGACAGCAGTTACACTAACCCTTAATTATCTTACTTGTCTATGAAGGAGATAAACAGGGTACTGTACTGGAGAATAACAGATGGGATGCTTCAGGTAGGACATCAAGGAAAGCCTCTAAGGAAAGGATGCATGAGCTAACACCTGACATTAAAGAAGCAAGCCAAGTGAGGAGCCAGGGGAGATAAGCATTCCTGGCAAAGAGAATAGCATCAAATGCAAAAAGGTTCACACTAAAGGAAACTCCTGATTAGGTATTAATGCTTTATACAGAAACCTCTATACAAATCCAAACTTGAAGATCAGAATGGTTCTACAGTTCATAACATTTTGAAGGTGGCCTTATTTTGTGATAGTCTGCTTCATGTGATTCTCACTAACATATCTCCTTCCTCAACCTTTGCTGTAAAAATTTCATTTGCACCACATCAGTACTACTTAATTTAACAAGCTTTTGTTGTGTAAGCTCTCACTGTTTTAGTGCCCTGCTGCTTGCTTCCAGACTTTGTGCTGTCCAGTAATTATGTCTTCCACTACCCATCTTGTGAGCAGAGTAAATGTCCTAGGTAATACCACTATCAGGCCTGTAGGAGATACTCAGTGGAGCCTCTGCCCTTCTTTTTCTTACTTGAGAACTTGTAATGGTGTTAGGGAACAGTTGTAGGGGCAGAAAACAACTCTGAAAGTGGTAGAAGGTCCTGATCTTGGTGGTTACTCTTGCATTACTGTGTTAGGTCAAGCAGTGCCTACTATGCTGTTTCAGTAGTGGAGCGCATCTCTACAGTTCTGATGCGATTTTTCTGTACAGTATGAAATTGGGACTCAACTCTTTGAAAACACCTATTGAGCAGTTATACCTGTTGAGCAGTTTACTTCCTGGTTGTAATTACATTTGTGTGAATGTGTTTGATGCTTTTTAACGAGATGATGTTTTTTGTATTTTATCTACTGTGGCCTGATTTTTTTTTTGTTTTCTGCCCCTCCCCCCATTTATAGGTGTGGTTTTCATTTTTCTAAGTGATAGAATCCCCTCTTTGTTGAATTTTTGTCTTTATTTAAATTAGCAACATTACTTAGGATTTATTCTTCACAATACTGTTAATTTTCTAGGAATGATGACCTGAGAACCGAATGGCCATGCTTTCTATCACATTTCTAAGATGAGTAATATTTTTTCCAGTAGGTTCCACAGAGACACCTTGGGGGCTGGCTTAGGGGAGGCTGTTGGAGTTCTCACTGACTTAGTGGCATATTTATTCTGTACTGAAGAACTGCATGGGGTTTCTTTTGGAAAGAGTTTCATTGCTTTAAAAAGAAGCTCAGAAAGTCTTTATAACCACTGGTCAACGATTAGAAAAATATAACTGGATTTAGGCCTACCTTCTGGAATACCGCTGATTGTGCTCTTTTTATCCTACTTTAAAGAAGCTTTCATGATTAGATTTGAGCTATATCAGTTATACCGATTATACCTTATAATACACATTCAGTTAGTAAACATTTATTGATGCCTGTTGTTTGCCCAGCCACTGTGATGGATATTGAATAATAAAAAGATGACTAGGACGGGGCCCTGACCCTTGAGCTGTGCTTGGTCTTGTAGAGGTTGTGTTTTTTTTCCTCAGGACCTGTCACTTTGGCAGAAGGAAATCTGCCTAATTTTTCTTGAAAGCTAAATTTTCTTTGTAAGTTTTTACAAATTGTTTAATACCTAGTTGTATTTTTTACCTTAAGCCACATTGAGTTTTGCTTGATTTGTCTGTCTTTTAAACACTGTCAAATGCTTTCCCTTTTGTTAAAATTATTTTAATTTCACTTTTTTTGTGCCCTTGTCAATTTAAGACTAAGACTTTGAAGGTAAAACAAACAAACAAACATCAGTCTTAGTCTCTTGCTAGTTGAAATCAAATAAAAGAAAATATATACCCAGTTGGTTTCTCTACCTCTTAAAAGCTTCCCATATATACCTTTAAGATCCTTCTCTTTTTTCTTTAACTACTAAATAGGTTCAGCATTTATTCAGTGTTAGATACCCTCTTCGTCTGAGGGTGGCGTAGGTTTATGTTGGGATATAAAGTAACACAAGACAATCTTCACTGTACATAAAATATGTCTTCATGTACAGTCTTTACTTTAAAAGCTGAACATTCCAATTTGCGCCTTCCCTCCCAAGCCCCTGCCCACCAAGTATCTCTTTAGATATCTAGTCTGTGGACATGAACAATGAATACTTTTTTCTTACTCTGATCGAAGGCATTGATACTTAGACATATCAAACATTTCTTCCTTTCATATGCTTTACTTTGCTAAATCTATTATATTCATTGCCTGAATTTTATTCTTCCTTTCTACCTGACAACACACATCCAGGTGGTACTTGCTGGTTATCCTCTTTCTTGTTAGCCTTGTTTTTTGTTTTTTTTTTTTTTTTTTGAGAGGGAGTCTCGCTCTGTTGCCCAACCTGGAGTGCAGTGGTGCGATCTTGGTTCACTGCAAGCTCCGCCTCCCGGGTTCACGCCATGCTTCTGCCTCAGCCTCCCAAGTAGCTGGGACTACAGGCGCCCACCACCACACTCGGCTAATTTTTTGTATTTTTAGTAGAGACGGGGTTTCACCGTGTTGGCCAGGATGGTCTCGATCTCCTGACCTCGTGATCTGTCCACCTCGGCTTCCCAAAGTGCTGGGATTACAGGCATGAGCCACCGCGCCCAGCCTAGCCATATTTTTATCTGCATATATCAGAATGTTTCTCTCCTTTGAACTTATTAACAAAAAAGGAACATGCTTTTCATACCTAGAGTCCTAATTTCTTCATCATGAAGGTTGCTATTCAAATTGATCAATCATTTTAATTTTACAAATGGCTCAAAAATTCTGTTCAGTAAATGTCTTTGTGACTGGCAAATGGCATAAATTATGTTTAAGATTATGAACTTTTCTGACAGTTGCAGCCAATGTTTTCCCTACGATACCAGATTTCCATCTTGGGGCATATTGGATTGTTGTATTTAAGACAGTCAGAATAATGATAGTGTGTGGTCTCCAGAGGTAGTCAGAATCCTGCTATTGAGTTCTTTTTATATCTTCCTTTTCAATTTTTTATTACCATTTTGTTTGTTTAGACTACACTTTGTAGGGATTGAGGGGCAAATTATCTCTTGGAGTGGAATTCCTGTGTTTTGAGCCTTACAACCAGGAAATATGAGCTATACTAGATAGCCTCATGATAGCATTTACGATAAGAACTTATCTCGTGTGTTCATGTAATTTTTTGAGTAGGAACTGTTTTATCTTGAATATTGTAGCTAACTATATATAGCAGAACTGCCTCAGTCTTTTTAAGAAGGAAATAAATAATATATGTGTATGAATTTATATATACATATACACTCATAGACAAACTTAACAGTTGGGGTCATTCTAACAGTTAAAACAATTGTTCCATTGTTTAAATCTCAGATCCTGGTAAAATGTTCTTAATTTGTCTGTGTACATTTTCCTTTCATGGACAGACCATTGGAGTACATTAATTTTCTTAATCTGCCATTTGGCAGTTCATTTAATATACCATTTTTTGGCAACTTGGTAACTAAGAATCACAGCCAAAATTTGTTAACATCAAAGAAAGCTCTGCCATATACCCCGTTACTAAATTATTATACATCCAGCAGATTCTGGGATGTACTAACTTAGGGTTAACTTTGTTGTTGTTGATAATACTAGATTGCTCCCTCTTTAATTCTTCTTCTGGTGCAAGGTTGCTGCTTAAGTTACCCTGGGAAATACTACTACAAGGTCAAATTTTCTAGTATCTTACAGCCTGATTGAAGGTGATTCAGATCTTTGCTCAATATAAATGGATTTTCCAAGATTCTCTGGGCCATCCTTGACCCACAGGTGATCTCGCTGGAGTATATTAACTTAACTTCAGTGCCAGTTGGTTTGGTGCCATGAGATCCATAATGAATCCAGAACTTCACCATTGCTTAGATATAAGAGTCCCTTGGAAGAATAATGCCACTGATGATGGGGGTCAGAAGGTGTATTAACTCAACATAGAGGGCTTTTAGATTTTTCTTCAAAAAAATTTCGAGAAAAGTATTCTTTTACCCTCCAAACAGTTAACAGCTCTTAGTTTCTCCAAATATGCTCTTTGATTTACTTATTTTTAATTAAAGATGGTAATTTATTGAACAATGAAATCCGTAATATATTGATTTAAGGACAAAAGTGAAGTTTTAGAATTATAAAAGTACTTAAATATTATATATTTTCCATTTCATAATTGTTTTCCTTTCTCTGTGGCTTTAAAGTTTTTGACTATTTTACAATGTTAATCACTAGGTAACTTGCCATATTTCTGGTTCTATATTAAGTTCTATCCTTTATAATGCTGTTATTATAAAGCTGGTTTTTAGCATTTGTCTGTAGCAATAGAAATTTTACTAAGTCTCTGTTCTCCCAGTAAGTTTTTTCTTTTCTCAGTAAGTCCCTAAGAAAACATTTGTTTGCCACTCTTACTATTCCCAATCTTGGATTGTTCGAGCTGAAAAAAAATTTGATGAGAAACAGGAGGATCCTTTTCTGGTGAATATAGGTTCCTGCTTTAAGAATGTGGAAATCCATTGCTTTATATAACTAATATACACACAGATTAATTAAAATTGTGAGAAATAATTCACACATGACAAGTAGGTAACATGCATGAGTTTTGAATTTTTTTAAAAACCCAACTGTTTGACAAAATATAGAACCCAAATTGGTACTTTCTTAGACCAGTGTAACCTCACACCTCAGTTTTGCTTTTCCAACCCTGACTTGAAAGGCATATTTGTATCTTTTTATTAGTGATAGTGAAGCTGTGACACTAACCTTTTATACAAAAGAGTAAAGAAAGAAAAACTACAGCGATTAAGATGAGAACAGTTCTGCAGTTGTTGAACTAGATCACAGCATTGTAGGCAGAATAAAAAATGTTCATATCTGAGAATATTCCTTTCGCCATCTTTTCCCAAGGCCAGACCTCCTGGTGGAGCACAGTTAAAAGTAACATTCTGGGCCTTTGTAATCGGAGGGCTGTGTCTCCAGCTGGCAGCCTTTGTTTTAATATATAATGCAGGACTGTGGAAAACAGTTGGCATAGAATATTTTCACCTAAAAAAGAAAGAAAAGACATACAAAACTGGATTAATTGCAAAAAGAGAATACAGTAAAATACCATATAACTGGACAAAGCTAGAAGAACCTTTAGAAGATTTGTCTGAAAACAGATTTCAAGAGTGAGCTTTTATACACTGCTCACTAATTTGCTTGATTACTACCAACTCTTCTTAAAGTTAACACGTTTAAGGTATTTCTGGACTTCCTAGCCTTTTAGCAAGCTTAGAGGAACTAGCCATTAGCTAGTGATGTAAAAATATTTTGGGGACTGATGCCCTTAAAGGTTATGCCCTTGAAAGTTCTTACCTTTTCTCTAGTGATATTAAGGAACGAGTGGGTAGTGTTCTCAGGGTGACCAGCTGCCCTAAAGTGCCTGGGATTGAGGGTTTCCCTGGATGCGGGACTTTCCCTGGATACAAAACTTTTAGCAGAGTTTTGTATATATGTGGATTTTTCTGATAAGTAGCACATCAGAGGCCTTAACCACTGCCCAAAAGCGATTCTCCATTGAGAGTACATATCTTGAACTTAAGAAATTCATTTGCTCTGATTTTTAATCTTGTAAAGTTTTTGCTAAACTCAAAACAAGTCCCAGGCACACCAGAAGGAGCTGACCACCTTAGGTGTTCTTGTGATTTATCCTTACTTCCCTATGTTGTCATAGTTGCTTCTAAACTCAGCTGCACTATGGCTGTCAACATTTCTGATACTTATTGGGATATGTGCCATCCAGTCATTTAGTACTTTGAATGGAACATGAGATTTATAACACAGGTAATAGCTGAAGGTACCAGTATGGTGGTGAGACTCACACTTAGTGATCCAGCTAAGGTAACTGATGTTATAATGGAACAGAGAAGAGGCCAACTAGATAGCTAAGTTCTTCTGAACCTATGTGTATATGTAAGTACAAATCATGCGTCCTTATGGGGTTAAACTTAATCTGAAATTTACATTTTTCATAGTAAAAGGAAACCAATTGTTGCAGATTTCTTTTCTTGTGAGGAAATACATGGCCTTTGATGCTCTGGCGTCTACTGCATTTCCCAGTCTGTTCTGCTCGAGAAGCCAGAATGTGTTGTTAACATTTTTCCGTGAATGTTGTGTTAAAATGATTAAATGCATCAGCCAATGGCAAGTGAAGGAATTGGGTGTCCTGATGCAGACTGAGCAGTTTCTCTCAATTGTAGCCTCATACTCATAAGGTGCTTACCAGCTAGAACATTGAGCACGTGAGGTGAGATTTTTTTTCTCTGATGGCATTAACTTTGTAATGCAATATGATGGATGCAGACCCTGTTCTTGTTTCCCTCTGGAAGTCCTTAGTGGCTGCATCCTTGGTGCACTGTGATGGAGATATTAAATGTGTTCTTTGTGAGCTTTCGTTCTATGATTGTCAAAAGTACGATGTGGTTCCTTTTTTATTTTTATTAAACAATGAGCTGAGGCTTTATTACAGCTGGTTTTCAAGTTAAAATTGTTGAATACTGATGTCTTTCTCCCACCTACACCAAATATTTTAGTCTATTTAAAGTACAAAAAAAGTTCTGCTTAAGAAAACATTGCTTACATGTCCTGTGATTTCTGGTCAATTTTTATATATATTTGTGTGCATCATCTGTATGTGCTTTCACTTTTTACCTTGTTTGCTCTTACCTGTGTTAACAGCCCTGTCACCGTTGAAAGGTGGACAGTTTTCCTAGCATTAAAAGAAAGCCATTTGAGTTGTTTACCATGTTACTATGGGACTAATTTTTAATTGTTTTAATTTTTATTTAAACTGATCTTTTTTTATATGGGATTACATTTTGGTGTTCACTCCCTAAATTATATGGAAACCAAAAAAAGTGATTGTATTTCACATATGGACATATGAT
This sequence comes from Homo sapiens, assembly GCF_000001405.40. Lineage (NCBI taxonomy): Eukaryota > Metazoa > Chordata > Mammalia > Primates > Hominidae > Homo > Homo sapiens. Next base: position 47,832,957 of record NC_000018.10, on the reverse strand, counting down.
TTTAAGAGTACATGTTTTTGTTTTTTTAATTTGGTGTTACATAAAAGATTATCCTATCCCCCCGGGAGATAAATTTATACTACTTAATATAACCCCACAACAGGCGCACACCACACACTGCACAGTGCTATTTATACATTTTTATTTATTTCAGAGTTTGCCTATGCTACATTAGCGCTCTAATACATAAGATCTATGCTGTAAACAAAAACATCTTCAAAGTTGAAATTTGCTGAAATATACTTTTAACAAAATAACATTTTTAAGGCTCCATTGAAAAATACTAGATAAGATATAATCTCATATAATCAGTATGAATAATTTTAAAAATGAGAAATATTTAGGTCAGCCACACTTCCTTTGTGCCTTGCAAGAATTCAGTTCTGTGGATGAATCAGTACTGGTTAGCAGACTGTTTTCTGCAAACCATTTTAAACATGCTTTAGTATGCAACAAAAAGGGACCTCAAATGCTAAAATACACTATTTTACGTGGCATTGAATAGCCTTGGGACTGGTGTAGTTTTATCAACACTTTTTTATTAGGAAGAAACCCAAGAAAATTTACTGTAATTGCTACCACCTGCCACTGTATAAATAATCTAAAAGGGACTTCCCAACATTGAACAACAACATTGAGGGCTGACTCGAGATCCTTCTACATTGTCACCTCAGCCTGGCTTTGCCTGTCACTGCTTAGCTTGAAGTAGTGACACTGTTCTGTATCAGGAGATTTTTATAATGGCCCTAGCATCCATAATTCCACATGTTCATCAAATGGCTGAAGAGTATGAGAGAAGTATTAAGGTCTATGTTTGGGCTGTCTCCCCACTTGGCATATTCTGTTTTTCCCTCTTCAAAATAGATTGAAAGCCTCTTAGTGCAGGAAGCAGGCATCAGTATCAAACTGATGTCATCCAATGTAATTATTTTAAGCTCCAGGTTTGTCTAAGTTTGGGTGAAGAATGTTCAGGAACATGTTTGCAACATACAGTTATCCAGCTTACCCTTTGACAGATTCACCCTTCTCATCAAAATAGTAAGCCCAACCTAAAAATTATAAGTTTACAAATAAAGGAATAGAAAAACCCAAAAAGCTAATTTACACATAAAAATTATCTTTTGCTGCAATAAATAGGTATGGAAATATTTGTAGAATTGGTTTAACTGATTTTGTAAAACAAATGTCATGCTATTTTGCCATAGTGAGACATGCAGTAATTCTTAAAATCACATTAATAGAAGGCAAGAACATTGAATCAGACTTAGCAGATAACAGATTCAGTGATAAATGAACAATAGACTAAGCATACTTAGGAAGCTACATGAGAACAGAATGTATTACTGTGCTCCCGTCCAAACTGCATGACTTTATTGGTTATAGAATAAATGGAATTTGAGATGGGGATTTGCCAGTTTTTACAGTCTGTCTTCAATAGTTTTGTTGGCTGCCTCTGCACCTTTCTAAATGTTATGTGAAAATAAAATTATTTAAGTTCTAAAGTAGTTTAGGAAAGAGATGTGATGACAGGAAAAAGAAGTTAACTTCTGAACAGTTTGGTCCAGGAAGAAGATGGGCAGAATACAGTAAGCCCAGGGTTGAAGAATACATTCAATTTGGAGAGATGGAGAAGACCTTTGAAGAAGGTCAAAATGAGATCTTGGAACAGAACTCTCACCTGTGTGTCTGGATATACATGAAAACTGGACGGTGTTATTGAGCTACTGCTTATATGGTGAGCAGAAAATTGATAACCACAAGCCTGGTAGGTTCTGCTATGAAGCCCACATATAATCACAAGGCCTAGATAGCTTGGAGTTAAAAGCCAAGGATAGCTGTATAGTTTGGGTTCCATAGTTTGCAGTGAGATTGTGCTTCTGAGCAGTCATTTGGGGGCAGTGGTTCTGAGATTACAAGCCATAACCCAGCCAAGAACGGGCTACCTGTGGAATGAGGATGAGGAAGTTGCTACATATAAACCCTAGTGTGTGTGTGTGTATTAAGTGAAACTTAGTTAACTTTTTTGCTCACAGCCAAAGATGATTCATCTAGAGAAGCCATTGGAATTTTAGCAGAGTTTTGTATATATGTGGATTTTTCTAATAAGTAGCAAATCAGAGGCCTTAACCACTGCCCAACAGCGATTCTCCATTGAGAGTACGTATCTTGAACTTAAGAAATTCATTTGCTCTGATTTTAAATCTTGTAAAGTTTTTCTTCATGAGAGGTCTTGCCTCTAAACTATATTGTGGCAGTATTTGATCAAACTACATAAGTACCATGTAAATAAGATTTTAATACAAATGATGACTCACTTCTAAATGGTTTGCCATTTAGAAATGTGCTGCTGTGAGAAAAACGAATTTTTTTTTTTTTTTTTTGGAGACAGAGTCTTGCTCTGTTGCCCAGGCTGGGGTGCAGTGGGGCGATCTCGGCTCACTGCAGCCTCGCCTCCTGGGTTCAAGTGATTCTCCTGCCTTAGCCTCCTGAGTAGCTGGGATTACAGGCACACACCACCACGCCCAACTACTTTTTGTATTTTTAGTGGAGACAGGGTTTCACCATGTTTGCCAGGCTGGTCTTGAACTCCTGACCTCAGATGATTTGCCTGCCTCGGCCTCCCAAAGTGCTGGAATTACAGGCGTGAGCCATCATGCCTGGCTGAAAAGTGAAAATTTAAGCCAGCTTACCACCTGGAATAAAAATGTTTTATAGGAATGTCTAGGTTGCTCTTTTATATTGAAAAAAAACTTATTAGTGTCTGTTTTACCCAAGAACCACAAGCTACTTCATTTCAACTTTTAAATCATGAATAATAACGTGTTATCACCACATTTAAAAATGTACATCGTCAATCACAAACACATATTCTAAGGAATTGAATTTTATAGAGATAATTGAATGCTTTCATCTGTAAAAGAATTAGTGGCCTGCAAACCACTGTGGATTCTTGCTATGCTTTGAAGTTGTCAGTGGGGGAATTTGCTGCTGCAAGTTACTTAGACTTGTAGGCAAAGGGAAATTCAAATTTTTAATTCTAAAATGAAAACCACTGACAAAATTTTATACTCTGAAAGTTTGGTTGTTAGCTTAGTCATTATTTTCCTGTTCTTTATCATTTCGGAATTCAGATGCTTAAATTTAACATACAAATTATTTGTTGGTAAAACATAAAACATAAAAAGCTACATTTGGTAAACTAAATTTTAGGATTCAAAGTCTCTAACAATTTCTATGTGACATGTCATACGGTGCAGTTTTTATTTGCCAAAGTGTCTACTTCATACTGCCTATGCACTGCTTCCCGTTTTTAATCTCTCTACCCCAACCCCCCTATAATTAAATAAACCCCTAGAAAACTGCCTTCTTTTAGAATACCTAATTGATTACTTTAAATATTTTTTCAGAATCAAAATTACAAAAGGGAGAGATACCTAAGAATCTGGCTTGTTTATATTCTTTAAAAGATCGCATTTGATTGAAGGTGGGTGCATATTTTTTATATCCACTCTTTCCCCATTTGTATGTGACCATTGTAAAAGTGGATGTGCTTTTTTTTTTTTGCTGAGGTCTAGAGACAATGTTTTAGAGATACAGAATGAAACATTTATGGGTAAAATACAATGGGTAAGACTTGCTTCAAAATAGTATGTGACAGAGGAAGTAGATGGAGGTATGAATGAATAGGACATTGATGGTTGTTTGTTGGGATTGGGTAAGGGAGCTTTGTTGTATTCTATTTCCTTTTAGATAAGTTTGAAATTCCTTGTAGTGAAGAAATTAAACGTCTCCATCAGGTGCATTGCCACGTCTTCTCTAGGAAGCCTCCTTAACATCCTCTGGTGGCTCCTGAACTTTTTCTGTTCTCATTCACAGGGAAGCTCATGGGGCTGCCTGGAGACTTGAGGTTACATCTTGCCTAGTATTACCAAAATTGTGATACTTTTCTCCACCCCATAATAGCACAGTCTTTGGTCTCAACTTGAACTAAAGTCTTTTTTTTTTTTTTTTTTTTTTTTTTTAGTATTTATTGATCATTCTTGGGTGTTTCTCGGAGAGGGGGATGTGGCAGGGTCATAGGACAATAGTGGAGGGAAGGTCAGCAGATAAACATGTGAACAAGGGTCTCTGGTTTTCCTAGGCAGAGGACCCTGCGGCCTTCTGCAGTGTTTGTGTCCCTGGGTACTTGAGATTAAGGAGTGGTGATGACTCTTAACGAGCATGCTGCCTTCAAGCATCTGTTTAACAAAGCACATCTTGCACCGCCCTTAATCCATTTAACCCTGAGTGGACACAGCACATGTTTCAGAGAGCACGGGGTTGGGGGTAAGGTTATAGATTAACAGCATCCCAAGGCAGAAGAATTTTTCCTAGTACAGAACAAAATGGAGTCTCCTATGTCTACTTCTTTCTACACAGACACAGCAACAATCTGATCTCTCTTTCCTTTCCCCACATTTCCCCCTTTTCTATTCGACAAAACCGCCATCGTCATCATGGCCCGCTCTCAATGAGCTGTTGGGTACACCTCCCAGACAGGGTGGCGGCCGGGCAGAGGGGCTCCTCACTTCCCAGACGGGGCGGCTGGGCAGAGGCGCCCCCCCACCTCCCGGACGGGGTGGATGCTGGCCGGGGGCTGCCCCCCACCTCCCGAACGGGGCAGCTGGCCGGGCGGGGGTTGCCCCCCACCTCCCGGACGGGGCGGCTGGCCGAGCAGGGGCTGCCCCCCACCTCCCTCCCAGACGGGGCGGCTGCTGGGCGGAGACGCTCCTTACTTCCCGGACGGGGTGGTTGCTGGGCGGAGGGGCTCCTCACTTCTCAGACGGGGCGGCCGGGCAGAGACGCTCCTCACCTCCCAGACGGGGTGGCGGTCGGGCAGAGACACTCCTCACATCCCAGACGGGGCGGCGGGGCAGAGGCGCTCCCCACATCTCAGACGATGGGCGGCCGGGAAGAGGCGCTCCTCACTTCCCAGACTGGGCGGCCGGGCTGAGGGGCTCCTCACATCCCAGACGATGGGCAGCCAGGCAGAGATGCTCCTCACTTCCCAGACGGGGTGGCGGCCGGGCAGAGGCTGCAATCTCCGCACTTTGGGAGGCCAAGGCAGGCGGCTGGGAGGTGGAGGTTGTAGCGAGCCGAGATCGTGCCACTGCACTCCAGCCTGGGCAACATTGAGCACTGAGTGAGCGAGACTCCATCTGCAATCCCAGCACCTCGGGAGGCCCAGGCGGGCAGATCATGCGCGGTCAGGAGCTGGAGACCAGCCTGGCCAACACGGCGAAACCCCGTCTCCACCAAAAAATACAAAAACCAGTCAGGCGTGGCGGCGCGCGTCTGCAATCCCAGGCACTCGGCAGGCTGAGGCAGGAGAATCAGGCAGGGAGGTTGCAGTGAGCCGAGATGGCGGCAGTACAGTCCAGCCTTGGCTCGGCATCAGAGGGAGACGGTGGAAAGTGGGAGACCGTAGAAAGTGGGAGACGGGGGGAGACGGGAGAGGGAGAGGGATGTGCTTTTTTTCTAACCGTTATTGCCACCAAGTAATAATGTCTTAATTCACAATTTACATAGTGATTGGCTGGAGAGAGGTATTGAGCATAAATTTTTTTTTAAGATTCAACTGGGAAATGGATGATTTACATGATTTTAGTCTCTTTAGTTGTCTGGGTATTTCTTGACTGGGAATAGCAATATCTTAAAGGCCATTTTTAACAAGAATGCTAAGGATGGAACACTTGAAGGAAGCAGTCCTGTACAGTCAAATACTTCAGTTACCTTGGATAATAGAATGAAAACTCAATTGCCTACTTTGAACAAATTTTTTTTTTGGATTTTAATGGCTGGACAGAATAACATTCTGCTAATTTTAATCCTTGGTCATTTCCGATGTAATGGAAAATGCAGTTTGACTCAGAATCGGAGGCCTGGGGTTTGGACCCTGATTGTGCCAATTTATGTGACTTTAGATAAATCTTTTCATCAGTCTACCTTAAAGTTCTTCATTTCCTCCAGTTCCCTAAAATGAGGAAGTTAGTTTTTAGGGTGGTTATGAGAACTAAATGAGAGCACTTGAGAGATCATTCAGCCTGAAGTGGGTACTCAGTATTAGATGGCTAAATCTGCACAGTCTAGAATACCAGGCAAAGGTTACTCTGAAGGTCTTTGCTAATAACAAATCTTTCTCTAAGAAAGTTTGTAAATGTGATGTTAAACTCAGAAATGTCACATAGAACATATTGGAGCAATTATTGCCGCAAAAGTAACTCGTAGCAACCACAAAAACCCAGTGGTGTGCAGCAATAAACAGTTTATGAATTAGATAAGTGATTTCGGCTAGATGTCTCTGGAGCAGTTGTAGTCTTTCCTCGTTCATGAGGGAGTTGGCCTCACCTGGAAGGACTTGGCATTTTTCCACATGCCTCCTATCCTCCATTAAACAAGCATGTTTTTGTGGAGGTTGTAGAAGGCAACAACAGCCAAGCCCAATCCCATAACTCCCTTTCATGTCTGCATGCTTCATGCTAACTAGCATTCACCAGAAACAAGCCACATGGCTAAACCCAGTGTGGAAAGGCACTACAGAGTTATTAGACCAAGGGAGAGAACATAGGAGGGGTGAAGAATTGGAGCCTTAAATGCAGTCAATCTACCACACCCTTGCTTTGTATTTAACAGGTTACTGTACTGGTTTGCCAGCAAACAATGGAAAATGTGGAGAAGCTGAAGAATGCTCAAGCTGGGACTTAATAGAGTGGCCTATTTGGTTTGAAATGTTTTAACTTACAGAGCATTGAGTAGAAGCCTAATCTAATATACATAAGGAAGACAAAAGCAAAGGATTGTGTTTTCTATCTAAAGGTTAATCATTGTGGTTGCTCCTGGCCATTATCACATGACTGGAAGTTAACACTCTCCAAACGCTGAGCCTATCCTGTACAGCACTAGAAAGTAGAAAGAATCACTCAATTCAGGGAAACCGTTTTCTCTTAATGTGAACATTTACATTAATGCCATTTCCAAAACCTTTCTGGGACTTCTTAAATGCAAAGATGCTATCTGCTTTACTTCATGCTGCCTGTTTTTAGGAGCTTGGAGTGCTTTAGGAAGCTTCCCAATACTGGTTTAGCAGTAATTTGGTTGACTGATCAAGGCATGTTTTAACTTTGACACTGAAATTTTAAAAAGACAACAGTTATCTTGCCCGGAGAGTCAAGTTTCTGCTTCCAAGGAGGTCAGGAATTGTTCTCTTTGGTGATGTGGCTGTGCTTGGTAGCCCTTGAAAGTGGAGTCGACAGCAGTCCTCAGCTTTTGTGTGCCTGTCTTAGTCTGTTTTGTGTTACTATAACAGGATAGCTGAGGCAGGGTCACTTATGAAGGATGCTCACAGTTCTACAGGCTGGGAAGTTCAAGGGCATGGCCCTGGCTTTTGGCAAGGGCTTTGCTGCTGCTTCATAGCTTGATGGAGAAGGTCAGAGGGGAAGCAGACGTGCAAACAACCCACTTGTTCACAACAACCAAACAAGTCTCTTTTTAACAACCCACTCCTGGGGACTAATCTAGTCTTGAGAGAGTGAGAACTCATTGCAAGAGCAGCACCAAGCCATTCATGAAGCATCTGCCTCAGTGAACCAAACATCTCCCACTAGGCCCCAGCTCTCAACACCACCACAATGAAGATAAAATCTCATCATACATTTGAGGGACAGTTTGGGAGACAGACCATAGCAGTGCTCAGTATTTCTACCCAAATGTTCAGGTAACTTAATATATTTTTCCTTGAATATATGTTTAAATGGGCTTCCCTTCCCCACGCTCATCTTGAATGGTCCCACAACAACTTTTGATTATCACGTTCCTGTAAATACACAAAAATATTTTGTGGTCTTTTACTGGCAGCCCAGTGGATGGGACTTTAAAAAATCACCCAGATTCCAACAACCAGAGAAAACGACTGGTGTATATTTTTTCCAGTCTTTATTTGTATGTCTGTGTATATTCAATGGAAAATGTTTGAAGCTTCACTCACAGCACATTCCATTAGAGAAAGCTACTAAAATCATAAGGAAAATCTAAAATGCAGTAAGCCAGTCAGCAAGCCATAATGGGCATATGAAAACAAAGTTTTTTGCCATGATTTGTGGACCACAGAAGATCTGTGTTATTAGTCTATTTAAGTTTGGTGTTTGAAATTAAAAATGTTCGACATACTTTTTATGTTTTTTTTAAATATACTGTCTATATTTAAAATTGAGTATACTGTACTTTAGTGTGTTTGGAAGCAGATATCCCCAAATAAAAGTATACAGTAGAACCAAAGAATTTTATTGATCAGCTAGAATTTAGTTTTCAGGTGTAATAACTGTCAACCTAAATAACAGAGGCTTTCTAAAAGAAAATGATGTTTATTTGGGAATAGGGCATTGTGAAGGCAATATGCATGCCATAGTAAACTGTGTGTATTCAGGAAGGTAAAGGAAGACAGGTTTTTAAAGGACAGATAAAGATTATATAATTGTCTTGAAATAATTATTCTTGGCTACAAGGATTAATAACAAGGATGCTGCCAGTTCGGGTTTGGACAATCGGCTTCTAGGCAGATGTCCCAAAAGTATTTTCTGTGTAAGGTTGCGAATAGTGTTTGTGCAAGCTGGCGTGGTTTCTTCTGGGTCTTTGAGGTAGTGCGTAAAATCCCTCTCTTCATGGACTTCCCTGGCTCCATTTGTCAGGGCTTTTGGAAACATGACTCTTGATTCTGACAGCTTTCACCTTTCCCTCTCTTGATGAAGATGTTTTTCCGAAAGTATCTATGATGAATCATCTTGTAGTTAGGCTTTGATTGTCCCTTGGTGACAGAATAGACCTTTCCCGGGTTATTGGTCTGGTCCTGCATCCTGCATTGGCAGGAGTGATTGGCAACTAAAAGTCAGTGTTAAAACCCTTTTAGCCACCTTTGAGGGCAGGGAGGCTTTAAGGGAGTGGCACTTAGGCTAAGTCCACCTGGAGTCTATTATTAAGTCCAATTTTTTTTCCTTAGTCCTTTGTTGTCCCCTCAAAGTGCTGGGCTAGCATTATTCTGTTAGGAATTGTACTTCTTTCTGCAGAAAATTTGGCAAATAACAGATACAAAGTTTAAAAAGGAAATACACAAAATTAATAGTAATGTGACAATCCCAGTTTGCATAATGGTTTTGAGCCCTGAACCTAGGCTTACAGGCAACCAATTGAATAAATCAAATTGTAATACAATTCTTGCTCTGATGTCTTAGGAAAAATGTCTACAGCCTGAAATCATCAACTTTTTGTCCTGGTTTGCAGTTTGAATGTCTCTAGCTATGGCATTGGTTGGTATGGTGAACTTTTGTGTGACCCATACATCAGCATGAGACTTGCTCCTTTAAAAATTAATCACATCTTAGCTTATAGGCCTCAGAGCATGGGAGTAGTTTTTTTTCTTAGAGAGTCATAGCCAAATATTGAAGGAAATTAGGAGGATTCAGGAGCAAATCCAGTCTGCAGGTGGATAACAGGAGTTTCAAAACGGTACAGAGCTGTGATCTAATAACAGGTACATATAGCTTTCTTCAGAAACTTAAAGTTACCCTGATTTTTACCAAAGATGTTCAGAATAAAACAGATTTGTAAACTTTATCAGATTTTGTCTGCAAGAATAGTAGTATGGTCACAGTAATCTCAGATTTAAAAACCTCCTTGAGGCTAAGAAGCTAAGTCAAGGTAGACTTTAGATTTTACCTATAGTTTTAAGGTTCCTGGGCCTGCCAGGAAATGATAATTTTTAATTCAGTGTAATGCTGAGAACCATTGAAGCCAGGCATTCTACACATTCTCAAATATGACATTTTAATCAAAGCCTTGGTAATACAACCAGTGTTTCCAATTGTATCCTGTTATAACGAGAGCCGATTTTTATTGAACTTAGGCAAATCATATTGCCTTAAGAGTACTCACAAATAGGCTGGGCACAGTGGCTCATGCCTGTAATCCCAGCTCTTTGGGAGGCCAAGACAGGTGGAACACCTGAGGTCAGGAGTTTGAAACCAGCCTGGCCAACATAGTGAAACCTCCCCCCGGCCACCGTCTCTACTAAAAAATACAAAAATTAGCTGGGTGTGGTGGTGCATGCCTGTAGTCCCAGCTACTTGGGAGGCTGAGACAGAATTGCTTGAACCCTGGAGGCAGAAGTTGCACTGAAACAAGATCGTGCCACTGCATTCCAGCTGGGGCAACAGAGCGAGACTCCGTCTCAAAAACAAAAACAAATGAATACTCAAAATAGTTTCCAAATTGGAGGGATCAAGAAGAAAGGAAAAGCAAATATTTCTACCTTTGTTCACAAAAGTATTCCAAATTGCTGTAAACTATAGATAGCATGAGAGAATTTCTTTAAATATGGAAAACAAAACATTTAAGTAAAAAAACAATAATGCTTCAAATAAAAGTCACAGACACATCTTCAGTTACTTAGTCTCATGTAACTTTTTTTGTTGTGGTTGATCTTAATTAGTAGTTACATGGACTCATCAGTTTCTTGAAGTTCTGAAAAAATATTTAGTCCATTGGTATTAAAGTGATTAGTAACCTGTATTTAAAAGTGTGTTAGCATCTTTTCCATGAATCTGATTGCAAATGCTTTTAGAGAAAAAGCAATAACTGGGAATTACAAAAACTTAGAATAACCATGATTAAAAATCTGATGAGAGTTTACCATAACCAGAAATAGACAAAGAGTTTTGGTTATTTTTGTGGCAAACAGCATAATCAGAATTATGACTGATGACATATTTCTAACGGCATCGTACAATTTTGGAACACTCATATCAATAACATACTCATAAATGTAACTGTGTCTAGTATTACATCATTAGACAATGCTTTTCATACAATTTAATACATCAAAGAAGCCTAATTAGCTAACATCTCTACCAGATGGCATACACATGCTCTGAGGCTTTCCAGAGGCCCAAGTGGAAAACTCAAAGGTAATTTTAAGTCAAAAACACTTAATTTAGAACTTGAGCCTAGAGAAGCCTGTCAAAGATGTCAAAAGTTCGAAACAGGATCACAGGTCACTATAAAATATTTAACAAGAATGATAATCAAAAGACTTAAGAAGCAATGCAGAAAGTTACATACATTTAAAAACCATCTTTTCAAAGCTTCATTTTTCCCAAGCAAAAAAAAAACTTAAACACAAGAATTTATCTTGATAGAACATAAAATTTTTCTTAGGCCAGTTGCCAAAATGGTAAAGAAAAATCTCTTGCAGTGTGACTGCCTTTACTTATGGGAAGCCTATTTGGATATACTGAAAGTTGAATCTGATGAAAAGGTACTTGAATTTAATCAGACACAGGAAGAGTATTTCCAAGGTTATGAGTGTACGCCTTATAGAGGAATGTAAATAAGAAAGCTAGTATGTTGAACAGAATACATGGCTCTTGGAAAAATTACGAGAAATTTCCTGCTTGCGTGGAACAATTCAAACATGAGAAGAGCCAAGAATTCAGAATCAAGTTATACTGGAGGAAAACATTGCTTTTCTAGGCCTTCTACAGAACATTTCAGTATCAAGTTATAACAGCAAGAGTTAGAACCAGAGGAAAAAAGTTACAGGAGCTAATGAAAAAGTTAAGAGTTATCACCCCTGCCAAACAAAAAGATGTACCTTCTTAAGGGGAGAAAGAGCTAAAGGCAATGATGTGTGACCTACAAATAAGGTGCAGCAAGATACAGCAAAGGTTGAACTTGTGAGATATAAATCAGGATCTTCAAGAAGAAAACTCTACCTCAAGAAATGAAATGACCATCTTAAATGAAAAAAGACAGCCTTTCTAACCTGAATCTAGGGGAAATTAAACGGATCTCAGAAGGAAATATGGCAGAAATTTAAACTGTGGTTTAGAAGATGGCTGATTTTAGAATTAAAAATTAAAACCTCTTTCAATTTTATTAAGACCAGATCCTTAAAAAGAACCTTGTTCTAACATTGGGGACCAAATTTTGTGTGTGTGTGTGTGTGTGTGTGTGTGTGTGTGTGTGTGTGTGTATAGTGCATGTATAGCATTTACACTATCGTGTATATACAAATATATAGCATATGTATAGAATATACTGTATTATTGTACATATACATATGTACAAGTATATATGTAAGCTCAATGTCTTATGATTTCATTCTGACCTATTGCCAACTTCATTACACACAACTCCTTTCATAAATGTATCCTTCATGAACATTTCATGATCTGCACAGACCTTCAGTGACATGCTTAAACTTTCTGCTTTGTTTTATACTTCCCCTTAAACAACTGGTCATCCTGCTTTAGGATAAAAAGTTACTATGCAAGACTCATACAGAATTATTCTGTTAATTTTGTAACCTTCCTTACCAAAGGTACATTCTCACACCCATTAACTTCCTTCATATTTCTCTCCTCCTCCTACTTAGTGGTTCCTTTCTGTCTTGTTTCCATATTTGAAACAACCTCTAATAAACTCTGAATTTAAACAACTTTTTTCCCAATAAAAAGCAATTTTTATGCCTTATAACTTTTCTCATCAAAACATCTTTTTTTGGGTACACTTTGTATATGGAATTGTGTATTTTCAAATTTTAACTTATTAACCTTAATTTTTAGTGAAAACCTAGGAAGCAAAATTTTGAAGTGTTATATCAGCATTTTATAAATGAGAACCATATTATAATTTTTAGAAACATGTTTCCTTATAACTTTGTATATTAATAGGCCCAAATATATTTAGTCTTTCTATAATTTAGGAAGCCAAGAACAAACTAATATTTTCAGCAGTTTATTGTTTTTTTTTGGAAATGATCCAGACATTTACTGAAGATTAATTTATAAGATTTCAAATTACATGAAAAGTTCATTAACATCCTATTTTTAAAAACATTCTTTTGGTTTATTTTTTAGAGACAATGTCTTGCTGTGTTACCCAGGCTGGAGTTCAGTGGCTGTTCACAGGCACAATTGTAGCACACTGCAGCCTCAAACTCCAACTCACACAATCCTCCTGCCTCCGTTTCCTGAGTAGCTGGAACTATAGATGCATACCTGCATACCACCATGTCTCACCCTTGCTTATCCCGTTTATAATCCATCCAATTCTTTTTTTTTTTTTTTTTTTTGAGACGGAGTCTCGCTCTGTCACCCAGGCTGGAGTGCAGTGGCGTGATCTCGGCTCACTGCAAGCTCCGCCTTCTGGGTTCATGCCATTCTCCTGCCTCAGCCTCCCGAGTAGCTGGGACTACAGGCGCCCGCCACCGCGCCCAGCCAATTTTTTGTATTTTTAGTAGAGACGAGGTTTCACCGTGATCTCGATCTCCTGACCTCGTGATCTGCCCGCCTTGGCCTCCCAAAGTGCTAGGATTACAGGCGTGAGCCACTGCACCTGGCCCCCAATTCATTTTTAACAATTATTCCTAGATTACTTATAAAAACTGAGATATTAGACATAGCTAGTCATTTCAAGTTATTTTCCTGTTAACCATTTTTATTACCTGTGAGTATCATGTGTTCAATTAAGAACCATAAAAATGAAATATGTAGGTATTTTGCCAGTAACTCAGAGGACACAGCTGAAGTCAATAATACAAAATTAGTTCAACTTACAGTTATACAAAGATCATTCTGTTTTTAAGTTGAGTTTATAGTTTTATGACCTTAAAAAGTCTAACAGAGACAAATATAAAACTGAGTAGTAAATTCAGGCAAAAATTTTAAAGACACTTATTTTTGATTTACCAATTATTTTAAAACCAGCTTATCAGATGTTTAAGTTATATTAACTAAAAGGCACTTGTGTTAATTACTATATATTTTGTATTAGCACTCATTTATTTGATGAATAGAATTCCTTAAGGGATTTGTGGCCAACTGCCAGATTTTACCACGTAGACACAACATACAACATATATATACATATGTGTAAACACACCTAAACATACACATACACAAACATAGCTTTCATTTTAGAATTTTAGTCATACGATAGTAATACAGGCTTGCTGGTTTATAAAAGACAGTTATTGGATTCAAATTATATTTCTGAGAAAGTGGGACCTGCTCAGCTGGGTAAACATGCAGAATAGGTAATCTTATGAAAGCTGTGAACCAAAAGTTTTGGTAAATAGCAGTTTGGATTTTTAAAAAACCTCTTACCCCACCTCCCCAACCCCTTTTTTCCCTTTTTTCAGTTTCAAATGAGTTTAATGTTAATATTTAAATGCTTACATTTTTAGCTAGGACTGGCTGAATTGTATAAGAAAAAACAATCTCCAGGTGGCCTTGAATTTTTAGTAACAAATCTTTTGTTTGCCATTCTGGTTTTTTTGACTAGTCAGTGCAGGCAGGGAAGCATTTTAGCAGTTGTGGATGAGGGGTTTTTGTTTTGTTCTTTTAGCCTTTGCATAGCAGGCAAGCAATTTTTATGCTATACCAGAGATACCTTATATTATTGCCCTGAGCTCAAGATTTTGACCTGTTTGAGAGCCTAATTTTTATACGTATTTATCTAGTTCTTTTAGGCTATTAATCCTTTAATTAACTGTTCCATCACCCTAAGCAGTTATTAGGCAAACCTAAATTTACATTAAAAGGGATACTTCTTAATTCTAGGTGTTGGTTGCCAGGGAACTATTATAATTTATAAAGCCATTAATTTAAGGCCCTTTAAGACCTTTTTTTTTCTTTTTGTTCTTGGCTGGAATGCCGTAAGGAGTGAGTTTCATCTCAACACTGGCAGAAACAGCAGATTTAAAGTAGGCAGAAAAAAAATTAGAGAGCTTAGAAGACTCTACATATCAACTCTATAGCTGCAGTCTCTTGGTACTAAGAATAAAAAAGCTTGGGGAGTTTAGACAAAGCATAGACAATCTCTATGATGGTCATTGATCCAAAAACATGCATGAGGAAAAGCCACATAGCTGACCTGAAGTCCCAGAAAAGCAGGCATGCCTTAATGTTTGAGAATTTCCATTTTGTTTCTTCTCAATCTCTTAAGAGCAAAGAAAATTCTGTAAATCCTGACAGATAAGTCAGGTGTTTGGACCAGTGTTTTAACTGGTGGCGATTGCCCTAGTGGCTTTAAAAGAGCCATCCTGTGCCCAAAATTTAGAATGTTTATTTTTGCTCTTGGGAGATGTTCAGAAACAGGGGAAAAGAGCCAAATCATTTACAGATGCATGTAACCATATCGAAACGAAACCAAAATCAGTGTTCCCAAAAGTGTTAACCCAGTCATGCAGATTAAAAAATAATATAAACACAGAAGAACCCAAAGTAAATTTACCAGAAAAGGCATGCCTCAGAATCCAGAGTACTCAGCCAGGCGCAGTGGCCCATGCCTGTAATCCCAGCACTTTGGGAGGCCAAGGCAGGAGGATCGCTTGAGCCCATGAGTTCAAGACCAGCCTCAGCAGTATAGTGAGACACTGTCTCTAAAAAAAAATTGTTTTTAAATCCAGAGTACTCAAACCAGAGGGACACTTGTCTTTATATCAAAAAGGACTTGCCAGGAAAGACAAAAAGTCTTTTGTCATCCCAGGAGGGATGTAAAGTCCTTTATTAAAGTGGTCTTAGAACCAAGACAAATCCAAAGTCAAGTCAAAAAGCCTCTGCCAAAAGTGGGAGGCTCTGCCTGAGAAAAGACTCACTGGGGCAGAACAGACAAGCTATGTAAGCGGAGAGCCCAAAGGGCTCCTGTGAGTACTGCATACTGATTCTGAGATCACCACTTCTCTCTGAAATGTGTCCTACTTCAGGTTCTACTGCTGAACACCATTTATGTCAACACAGAGAGAGGCTCTCTAAAAGAAAACTCTATTTGGGAATACAGCATTGCTGTAGAAATACGCATGTCATGGGCCGTGCGCGGTGGCTTATGCCTGTAATCCCAGCACTTTGGGAGGCTGAGGTGGGCCGATCACGAGGTCAGGAGTTTGAGACCAGCCTGGCCAACATAGTGAAACCCCCTCTCTACTAAAAATACAAAAAATTAGATGGGTGTATTGGTGGGTGCCTATGATCCCGCTACTTGGGAGGCTGAGGCAGAAGATTGGCTTGAACCTGAGAAGTGGAGGTTGCAGTGAGCCTAGATGTGCCACTGCACTCCAGCCTGGGCGACAGTGCAAAACTACGTCTCCAAAAAAAAAAAAAAAAGACCCATGTCATGGTAAACTACGTGTGTATTCAGGGAAGTAAAGGAAGACAAAGATTTTAAAGAAAAATGAGGGTTGTATAATTGTTTTGAAATAATTGTCGTTGGTTACAAAGATCAATAGCAAGGGTGGTGCCACTCTGAAGTTGGACAGGCAGTGGCTAGGCAAAAGTATTTTGTGGGTAACCTTTGTGAAAGGTTGCAGTTTTTGTAACACAAGCTGCTTTATTTTCCCAAAAGCTTTCACAGTACATAGAAAATATATTGGACGTGTATTAAATGTGCCAAATTAGTCAGCAATATTACATTAAAATATGTGTTATTACTTGTTAATGTTCTTAATAAGTTGTTCAGGCAGTTATACCAGACTATCTTTTCTCATTTTCCAATTTATAAGTGTATTATCCAAAAATGTTAGTTTTAGGGTGACCACTGTATATTTTGGTATTTTTTAAAGCTACCCAATTGTGTATAATTTATAAAAATCTTTTTTTCATAAGACCTAAAACTTCTGAACAATACATAGGTGCAAATAAATAAATTCCTTTTTATCTCAAACTCACTTCCACTGCCCTCCCTGAAGAAAGCCTTTTGTTATTGTTGTCTTGACTAAATGTGGCATGGGAGCTAACATTTTCAAGGGAAGCTGATCTTATCTCCGGGCTCTAGAAGCCAAGACATGAGGTATGTGTTTACCGTCTCTTAGGTGACTCTCCAGAACTTTCATTCTCAACCTCCTCCCTCACTGCCAGTTCCTCCTCAGCTTCTTAGCCAAGTGGTAGAGGAAAAATGGTATTTTATGTCAGGACTAAGCCATGTGCTCTGAGCCCTGGGTAAGTCTGCAAGGCTTCTCTAGAACTCATACATAGGTCAATTATTCCTCCTCTGAAAACTTAAACTCTGGCACCACTAGCTTTTTCCTACAGCATACATGGGCTCAGTAAATCCTCTGTTAAGACAACAGGAAAATTAAGACAATGTCCTTGCAAGCCCCATAACTACTTTCTATCCCTGCTATTCACAGCCAAGTGTGTCGAGACCAGTTCACACAAACCTTGTTGATTTTCGGTTTCACCCCCTCCTTACTAAATCACCCCTCCATTTGCTGCAGTTGCCCTTGCGTGCTGTACTCAGACTTGGAGGAAGTGATGTCTTATTCAAGGCCAGTTTTTGTACTAGTGGTTAAATAAATGGTTTCCAAATTGGAGTCAGAAGGAGAGCTTCTAAAATGTAGGTTCCCTGGCCTCAATTGTGAGATTCTGCTTTAGCAGGTCTGGAATTGGAGCACTGGGATCTGCATTTTCAGAAAACCCAAAATGATTATCAGCCAGGACTTAAACCTCTGCTTTAGACCACATTCCCTGTGGGCTTTCAGATTTTCTATCAATGTTCTTCCCTCTTCCCAGCTCCCACACATTAAAACTCAGATCATGCAGAAAAGAAGTTACAGTTCCTTCATTTCACATCAATTTCTCATGCATCCCATCTGGTTTTGGGAAGGTGTGGGACGAGGTGGATGGCCTTAAACTTGCCAATCAAAGATAACGTTCTCTTTCGATTCAAATAGCCTATCTCAGGCTTAAAACCATCTCTTTGGATAAATGCTCAGCTTTTCAAAGGTTCTTCCTAGCTTCTTCCTCATGATGGCATCTAGTGGGTGAGAACAGTCATCTCCAGGTGACAC
The DNA here is from genome assembly GCF_000001405.40 of Homo sapiens. NCBI lineage: Eukaryota > Metazoa > Chordata > Mammalia > Primates > Hominidae > Homo > Homo sapiens. The sequence goes on along the minus strand of NC_000018.10, from coordinate 47,815,082 downwards.
AGGAAAGAGTTTCTCTAATGTATGTGCTGAGGTCCTTGACGGTCCTGCTGCTGGTGCTCATCCTGCCATCTTTGCTGGATGTCACTGAGTCTACTGGGTAATGTAAGTGGGTCCCTGGCTTTTGTTCACTGCTGTCATGCCCTGCTCCTGACCACAACTCTGTCATTGCCTTTGGTCTCAAGGTCTCTACCTTAATAGCTTCCATGTCCCAACTATGGGACTGTTAATCTGCTGGGCTTTGGAGTGGGTGGGAAGGGATGATGTTGGAACTTTGGGATGTACTGAACATCTTGCTCAAGCTTTGGGAAGCCAACATTTTCTCAGACTGACTAGACACCTCCTTCCACCAATGCTGAGCTAGTGCTCCTGTGCCATACTGGGTAAGCCTCTAAGTCATGAGTAGGACTTTTTTGAGTGGCTTGCAGTCTTCCCCAGGCTATGCCAGGAAAGTAGTTGACTAACCCTGCTGCTCCAAGACTCGCATACCCATCCTGAAGTTTCCGTTTATTTCCCAACAGGGCAATTGCAATCTCAATCAATCTCTCCCTGCCCTGGGAGTCATTCCACTCCTGCCTAATGAAGAGACTCTTCTCACATCGTATTCTCAGTTTCTCTTATCCATGGTTAGGAGTAAAACTCATGTTCAGTTGTCCAAGCTTTGCTTTTAGTATGTGAATGGAGCTCTTAGCATGTAGAACTCCCTTCTCATTCTCAGTAAAGTCTGACTTTGAAGACTACTTATCATCTTCCTAGAGATGCCAAAGAATAATCAAGATAATAAAGGCAGGCTCTGAGATTCACAGCTGAGTAGCAACTGTGCTGTTACTCTAGTACACACCCTCTCCTTTCCTGTGACTGTCAGGCTTCAGGGCTTACCTTTATTGGAAAGACAGCAGGGGGGCATATATGAAGAAAATGGAATCTTTAATATTGTCAAAGTCTTGACCCAATAGAGACATTCTTGCCCCAGACTCTCTTGCTTCAGTGCCTTTGCCTGTTCTGGTCCTAAGTACCTTGAATATCCTTCTCTTGATGCCCTGATATAAAACTCTTTATTCCTCAAAGCCAAGTTCAGGTTATCACCTCCACCACAGACTTTTCTTTCCCTCCCCAAACTTCATTGCCTCTTCTCATCACTCCCTTTGTAATTTGTTTATACTGGTAAGAGAGCATTCATCATAATTAGGCCTATCTATGCCTACCTTTCTTGTTAAATTATGAGCTTTGTTCTGCCTTGGATATCTCTCTGGCTTGGATATCTCTCTGGCCTTTGCTCTGCACTTCCAAATGTATCCATTATTCAAGACCCAGGTTTCCAGCCTGATCAACATAGCAAGATCCCATCTCTCCAAAAAAAAAAAAAAAAAAAAATTGTGGGGCCGGGTACAGTGGCTCATGCCTGTAATCCCAGCACTTTGGGAGGCCGAGGCAGGTGGATCATGAGGTCACGAGTTTGAGACCAGTCTGGCCAACATAGTGAAACCCCATCTGTACTAAAAATGCAGAAAATTAGCCGGGTGTGGTGGTGTGTGCCTGTAATCCCAGCTACTCGGGAGGCTGAGGCAGGAGAATCGCATGAACCCGGGAGGCAGAGGTTGCAGTGAGCCGAGATTGCGCCACTGCACTCCAGCCTGGGTGACATTGCAAGACTCCATCTCAAAAAAAAAAAAAAAAAAAATTAGCTGGGCATGGTGGCAGGCACCTGTAGTCCCAGCTACTTGAGAGGCTGAGGTGGGAGGATTGCTTGAGCCCAGGAAGTCGAGGCTTCATGAGCCATGTTTGTGCTACTGCACTCTAGCCTGGATGACAAAGTGAGATCCTTTTCTAAAAATAAGGACCCAGTTTATTTTATTTAGTTATTTAGTTATTTTTGAGACCAAGTTTCATCACTCAGGCTGGAGTGCAATGGCACAGTCTTGACTCACTGCAACCTCTGCCTCCTGGATTCAAGCAATTCTTCTGCCTCAGCCTCTTGAGTAGCTGGGATTGCAGGTGCCCGCCACCACACCTGGCTAATTTTTGTATTTTTGGTAGAGACAGGGTTTCACTATGTTGGCCAGGCTGGTCTCAAACTCCTGACCTCAGGTGATCCACCTGCCTTGGTCTCCCAAACTGCTGGGATTACAGGTGTGAGTCACCCTGCCTGGCCAGAACCCAGTTTAAATTCCATCCTCTCTGCAGAGTCTTCCTTAACCACCCCTATTGAAAGTTACCCCTGCTTCCTACAAGAAGTGGTACTTGGATGTTCATGAGATACCTGTGCAAGGCTCCTGTGGGGGTCCTGGGGAGACAGTGACATGGACACTCATGAAAGGAACCTTGGAATAGCGAGTGTGTGTGCTATAAAATGTGCTTTAGATTTGATTACCACCACTTAAGTTATGAGCTCTGATATGGTTTGGGTCTCCATCCCCACCCAAATCTCATCTTGAATTGTAATCCCTACATGTTGAGGGAAGGAAGTAATTGTATTATGGGGGTGGTTCTCCCATGCTGTTCTCATGATAGTGAATTCTCACAGGATCTGATGGTTTTATAAATGGTAGTTTTTCCTGTACTTTCACACACTCACACTCTCTTCTGCCACCTTGTGAAGAAGGTGCCTGCTTCCCCTTCTGCCATAATTGTAAGTTTCCTGAGGCCTCCCCAGCTGTATTAGTCTGATCTCACGCGGCTAATAAAGAGATACCGGAGACTGGGTAATTTATAAAAGAGGTTTAATTGACTCACAGTTTTACATGGCTGGGGAGGCCTCACAATTATGGCAGAAGGTGAAGGGGGAGCAAGACACATCTTACATGGCATCAGGCGAGAGAGCTTGTGTAGGGGAACTCCCCTTTATAAAACCATCAGATCTCGTGAGACTTATTCACTATTACAAGAGCAGCACGGGAAAGACCCACCCCCATGATTCAGTTACCTCTCACTGGGTCCCTCACATAATATGGGGAATTATGGGAGCTCCAATTCAAGATGAGATTTGGGTGGGGACACAGCCAAACTATATCACCAGCCATGTGGAACTGTTGAGTCAATTAAACCTCTTTCCTTTATAAATTACCCAGTCTCAGGTATTTCTTTATAGCAGTGTGAGAACAGACTAATACAAGCACCTTGAGGTCAGAGGCTAAAATCACTTTTTCCCAAACATTTCCTTTTTATATATGCTACATCTTTGTGTCTGCTTCAACATTTCCAGCAGTGCTTTATATATGGTAGGCATGCAATAAATGCTTCTTGATCGACTGACAGGTGCTCAGAAGATCTAGGTTGGTTGATTCTCTTGTGATGCCATCTTTTCCTGAGAGCTCATTAATTTTTAAGTTGTTTTCCTTGAAATGCATGGTATGTTTCCTCCACCCTGCTCTTTGCCTTTCATAGGGTTCCATTTTGATCAGCTGCTCTCATTGTCTGTTTTGTGATCAAAGGTTCTGATGAACTTTGGAATATGTGTATGTTTGGAGTGAGGATGGGGTCTGGAGGAGATGCATGGTTGAGGACCAATTCACCCAACCCAGCTTACAGAAGTAAAGCGGCCCCTTAGGAGCACTGAAGCATTGCTGTGGATTTCAGAATTACCTTATTTCTTTTTCTTTTTTTTTTTTTTTTTTTTGAGACGAGGTCTCGCTCTGTCGCCCAGGCTGGAGTGCAGTGGCACAATCTCAGCTCACTGCAAGCTCCGCCTCCTGGGTTCACACCATTCTCCTCCCTCAGCCTCCCCAGCAGCTGGGACTATAGGTGCACGCCGCCACGCCTGGCTAATTTTTGTATTTTTAGTGGAGACAGGGTTTCACCGTGTTAGCCAGGATGGTCTCAATCTCCTGACCTTGTGATCCACCCGCCTCAGCCTCCCAAAGTGCTGGGATTACAGGCGTGAGCCACCGTGCCCAGCCAGCTTCTTTCAAATCAGAGTAGGCCTTCCAGTGTGGCAGGCCATAAGATCTGAAGTTTTCACCCTGTTCCTGGAAGCCAAGTGGACAGCAACTAATTTTTACTTTCTTTATTGCACATTTGGGGCTTGGGGGATAGAGTCAGATGTGTGTCAGTTGAAACTGTAGCTACTGCATTCCACTCCTTGGGGGATCGTAGTGCTCATGCCAACAGAAAACTTCGAGGCTAATAATTACTGTCTTCAGAGTACAAGACAGGCACGGAAGTTGTTTTGGCATAAGAAAACCACGATTTGCATCCCACAGTCTAAGGAAGACGATGCTGAATTCAGAAGATGGTGCAAAAGTGTGACAGTTCAGCTGTGGCGGCTGTTGCTGATGCATGGGACTATTTTATTTACATTTCCTTTCTTCTTTTTTAACAGAGACAGGATCTTGCTGTGTTGCCCAGCCTGGTCTTAAACTCCTGGGCCCAAGTGATCCTCCCACCTCAGCCTCCCAACGTGTTGGGATTACAGGCATGAGCCACCATGCCTGGGCTTTATTTATATTTCCAAGTCAAATGTTAGTTGGTCAATCAGTCTTTTTAAGCACCAATTTTGTGCCTAGCCTTGTGGAAACTGTAGGAAAAAGATACTTTTTATTTGGGAGGACCTTGATTTGCTGTCACAGGTGCCACTAATGCCAATTATAAGGCAGTGTGGAATCAGGTGATTGAAAGCCCAGTCTGTAGCATAAACTGCTGCAGGGTTCCAGTGGGGGCAATTAAGGTGGGCAGGGAGGGTGGATAGCATTTGACTTTGACAGCATAACCTGAGCAGAGGCACAGTGGGGATGGTGAGTGTGCAGTGGGAGGAGGGAGAGAGGTAAGTGGTAGGGAAGAGGTGGGAAGGGGGCAAGGAGAAGGCTCAGGAGGTTTGGGGACAGGGAAATGACTTGGTTGGCGACCTCTTACTTTCTTCTCGTGTGTGCAATTTGGAATTCACTTGGTTCTTAGTATTTCTGGGTCAGATGACTTCTTTGCAGTATGAGAAACCATTTCCCAGGCTGGCTACCTGGGCTGTGGTATCTTCCAGTGCTCCTCTGTGATTGTACTCAGATCAGCTCGTCTAGGCAGGCAGGATGGCAGAAGCCCTCTGACTTCATGTCTGAAAGAGTATGTGTTTCAACTCTGTAATTACAGCATTTAACAGACGATATCAGCCCTCTTTGGGATGGCTTTTGGCAAATGGGCTAGAAGTCTATTGTGCATTTAAATGATACTGCATCTTCTCTTTAAAAGGTTTCTCAGTGAGTCCACCCCACTCTGTATCCAAGTATGTCTCAGGCCATGAGGCAAAAGGAAATGAGTAGTTCTTTTTGGTTGGAGAATTAAAAAGAAATCTCCACCCAAGTAACAGGTACATAGTGGGAAAAAATAACATCTGCCTGAAAGCTTCATCTTCAGGCAAAGAGAGGGTCAGGGGGCGGGAGCTTAGTAATGGGGAAACCTCAGAAGATTTAAAGAGAATTACAGACAGACAAGGCTGAACATTGGCTGTCATCCAACAAAGCTCTTATAAGATGGGAATCACTGCCCGGTTCTTGAGCTCCGACCTGGAGGGAAGAGGAGTCTGGAAGACTTGGCACAGGCCTGAGTGCTTCATTGTCTTTCTGGTTCCAAGTCCTCCTCAGCTCACTAGGAAGGAGGTGGGGTGGGGGCAGGTAGGCCACTCTGCATAAGTGCACACATCTACACTGGCTAGTCTACTTCACAATTCCCCCACAGGTTATCCTTATCTCTACCTGGTTCCAGTTCCAGATTGGAGGGATATAGAATACCATCCCCACCCCTCACCTTGCTTGCTCTGGCCTGGAAAACTGTCATTCCTTTACCACCAGCTGGCATCTGCCATATGCTTCAAGGAACTGAATAAAGAGGAAGGGGAAAGAAGAAACTAGAGAAACTGGAATGCTTCCTATCTGACCCCCAAGTACAGGGACTGCCTCTTTCCGTAACGGCACAGAACGTCTCCATCCCTTTGACCTCCACCTCCCCAGAGATGCCCGAGGAGGACAGCCTTGTTTCTGTGATCTGTTGTTGAGAACTGCTGCTGAGAATTCTTCCTTCAGCACCGCCTTAGGCACCATTGGTTTTTCACTAGGTCCGCTGTAGAAAACAGCCAGGAATTACTTAGTTGACTACCACCTGAGGTGCTGTTTGGTGTTGGTAATAAAGAATAAAGGTGGAAATGAAGCAACGAGACTGCTTTTCTTTGTGGTTCATAAATTAATTCTGATAACAGTTTTTAAAAGAGAAGTCAAATATTTTGAGCAGAGCCAAGCTCACTGACATACCTAGGTGGTCTTAGATGTAGCCAATGCGCCAGGTACCACAGGACGCCTAAATTTGTATCAGTGTATACCATCACTAGTTATGAATAAGAATGCCTTCTTGCCACATATCCTCATTAACTCAGTGTATTATCAAACTTATTTAACTCTTTCAGGCCAGGCATTGTGGCCCATGCCTGTAATCCTAGCACTTTGGGAGGCCAAGGCTGGTGGATTTCTTGGGCCCAGGTGTTTGAGACCTGCCAGGGCAACACAGGAGTTTGAGATCAGTCTGAGCAACATGGTGAAACCCCACCTCTACAAAAAATACAAAAATTAGCTAGGCATGGTGGCGTGTACCTGTGGTCCCAGCTACTCAGGAGGCTAGATGGAAGGATCACTTGAGCCTGAAAGACAGAGGTTGCAGTGAGCTGAGATCACACCACTGCACTCCAGCCTGGGGGGAAAAATATTTCAGTCTGAGAGGTGAAAAATGGTAAGAGAATTTGATCTTTTCAAAAGGTAATCATGTTTCTCCCATGCTCAAGACCTTCACTGCTTTCTTATTGTGCTTACAATGAAGCCAAAGTCCTTTAGCATGGTCCAGAAGGTGCTCATGGTCTGGACTCACTATCTCTCTGACTTTATCTCATGACACTAACCTCAACCCTTAGAATAGTTCCTACCTGGTGAGAAGAGAGCATGTCCTTACAGATAATACCAACCAGTAAATGTGGGAAAAAGTCACCATAATGTAGCTACCATAGTAATAACTGATTCAGTCAAGGATCACAAGGATCACCGGACACTAAAACTCTTGGGTGAAAGTTATTTGGTGATTGGGATATTTGCACAGATTAGTCATCAATTGCAAATATAAATGTCACTTTCTCAAAGTGACATCTATACAGTGGAGAGACATGGTGGAAGCTCCTTAACGAAGTGATCAAGTTTAACAACACCGGTAATGGGACAAGTAGATAGCATATGCCTCCTGATGCGAAGTACTGGGAAGGTACACATCAATCACTTAGGTGAGTTTTCTGTCAAAATACAGAACCTGGTTCTAATCATGACAAAACATCAGAAAAACCAAATCTGGGGACATTCTACAAAATAATTATGAACAAGAGGGCAGGGAAGTAAGTAAAATAAAGACAGAAAGATAACTGTGAGCCTTGTAGACTATTAGAAGGTCTTTGCTTTCCTAATAAGCTGGAAAGCCATTAGTGAGTTTTGAGCTGAGCGTGACATAATATGGCTTTATTTTATTTTATTTTATTTATTTTCGAGGCGGAGTCTCGCTCTGTCGCCCAGGCTGGAGTGCAGTGGCATTGATCTCAGTTCACTGCAATGTCTGCCTCCCAGGTTCAAGCTATTCTTGTGCCTCAGCCTCCCATGTAGCTGGGATTACAGGCATGCACCACCATGCCCAACTGATTTTTGTATTTTTAGTAAAGACGGGGTTTTACCATGTTGGCCAGGCTGGTCACGAACTCCTGGCCTCAAATGATCTATCTGCCTTGGCCTCCCAAAATGCTGGGATTACAGGCATGAGCCACCACACCCAGCCAATATGACTTAATTTTAAAATGACTGCTTTGTTCTAGCTGCTGGATTGAGAATAACCTATATAGGGGCAAGGAGAGAAGCTGTGTGCCCTGTTATGAGGCTAGTGCAACAATCCAGGCAAGATGGTAGTGATGTAGACCAGGATGAGAAGTGGTTTGAGATATACATAACTTGAAACATAAAAATACAGAATAGAATCACAACCATATACCCATCACCCAGCTGCAACAATTTTCATCTCATGGCTGATCTTTACACTCCACCTGTTTTATTTATACACCACCTATTTCCCCCTGCCATTTTATTTGTATGCAAATCTCGGTTGTATCAATTCATTCTGGATGTTCATTTAAGAATTTGCTGATGGGTTGAATGTAAAGAAAAGGAGGAGTCAAGGATGTCTTCAAGTTTGCTGTGAAGGATGGAGGTTCAAGTTATTGGGATGACAAAGGCTGTAGGTGGAGTAATGTGAAAGAAATAATTGAGAAATTCCTTCTGTGTATATATGGTTTGAAATGCCTATTTGACATTCCAGAAGTTGTTGAATATACAACTCTAGATATCAGGGAGACAATGGGGCTGTAGATATAAATTTGGGAGTTGTTAGATTATAGATAATCTCTAAAACTGAAAGATTGAACCTCCAGCTTCTGGTAATCACATAGTAGCTTGAGTCAGACTAACTCTTCTGCTGATAATAATTATCGTATAAACTCTGGAGGCATGGGAGAGTGACCCAAAGCAGACATATGCTGGAGGAGATTCAAATCTTGAGAAAAAGGAACCACGGTGGGTGTTTTTTTACCTTTTGTTCCTGAGGGTACTCACTAGCCCCTACAATACACTGTGAATAGAACTCAAGTAGAAAGTGGCAGTCCTACTGTTCTGAGGCTTCTAGAGAAGCTGGAAACTGAGGAGGAGAGGAGAAGTCATAGAGCAGGGAATCCCATAATCTCTGTATAAACTCCTTTTAAATCCTTGCCTGACTCCTTAAGTCTGTAGATGGGGGTCAAAACTCCAAGATTCCCAGGGGAAAAGCAACAGCTACCAGGCTGGAAGCGCTGAGCAGAGATATTTCAGCTTCCCAGGGCAATTTAAGTCCTTCCAAATTAGAGGAGCTTAGTAAGGATCTCAGACTTCCATTGAAGCTTCAGAGAGCCCACACCTTAAGAGTAAGGACACATCTCAGGACTCAGCGATTCACCCTAGGACTAAGGACCAAGCTGAAATAGACCACAATAGAGCTAAAATCAAGACATCTCAGATTCAAGATGATCTGCTAGTAATTTAAAAGGTTGTTAGAACCATCCTCTTCAGAAGAAGATAAGAGAACCTAGAGTCTCTACAGTAAATCCTCCATAATGGCCAATGTACCATCTAAAATTACAAGAAATGAAAAACAAAAACAAAAGTAGAAGATGTGACTCACAGTAAAAAACAAAACACACATCAGTCAACAGAAGCAGACACACAGATATTGCATATGTTGGGATTATCAGACAAGAACTTTAAAACAAATTTGATAATTATTTTGAAGAATCAATAGGAATCAGCCAGGCACAGTGGCTCACCCCTGTAATCCCAGTACTTTGGGAGGCCAAGGCGGGCTGATCACACAAGGCTAGGAGTTCGAAACCAGCCTGGTCAACATGGCGAAACCCCGTCTCTACTAAAAATACAAAAATTAGCCAAGTGTGGTGGTGCACATCTGTAATCCCAGCTGTTTGAGAGGCTGAGGCACAAGAATTGCTTAAGCCTGGGAGGCAGAGGTTGCAGTGAGCCAAGATCATACCACTGCACTCCAGCCTGGGCAACAGAGCAAGACTCTGTCACAACAACAACAACAACAACAACAAAATGGGAATAATTAATTGATAAAGATATAGAAAATTTTAGGAGAAATATGGAAACTAAAAAAAACTGTTACAATAGCCTAAATAGTGAGGAATAATAATGTCTCACAAATAGAAGCACCAAAGTAGCCCAGGCCCCATATTGCCAAGGAGTGAGTTACTTCCTATCTCTGTGTTCCACTATCCTCCATTCATTTGTTCATTCAATGAATATTTATCAGGTGAATACTTCATGTCAGGCACTGCTCTAGGGGCTGGAGTCATATCAATGAACAATCAAAATCACTTATCTTGGCATTAACTTTCTATTTTGGAGAGACAGACAAAACAAGTGCACGTGGTGATAAATTATGTAAAAATAAGCTGGGCAAGGACTAGAAAGTGACAGAAACTAAGGAGTCTCTTTTACATAGAATGGTCAGAGAGGACCTCTCTGATAAAATGGCATTCGTGCAGGGACCAGTGGAAGCAAGCCAAGTGAGTGTCTGGGAGAAGAACCTTCCAGGCTGAAGGAAGAGCAAGCACCGCGGCTGATGGCAGAGTGGCTTGGTGAGTTTGGGACGTCAGCATGGCCAGGGTGCGGCAGGTGAGGTGTGCTGGGAGCTGAAGATGGGGAGGTGGAAGCAGTGGGCCAGCTCACACAGGCTGTGGAGGCCATAGTAAGGATGCTGGATGTACTGAAGCCCTTTCAGGATTTTGAGAAGAGGAGTGCCTGGATTGACTTCGTCTTAAAGAATCACTCCCTCCTGGAGAAGGGCAAGTGCAACAGCAGGAAGCTTAGTTGAATGGTGGTTGCAATAGTCCAAGCCAGGCGTGGTAGCGTGTACCTGTAATCCCAGCTACTTGGGAGGCTGAGGCTGGAGGATTGCTTGAGCCCAGGAGTTTGAATCCGACATGGGGAACACAGCAAGACACCATCTCTAAAAAATAAAGAAATAAAAAATAAAAGGCCAACAGGGGAAAATAATAGCCCAGGTCAAAGATGATGGACCAGGGTAGTAGCAGAAGTGGTCAGATTTGGGATATATTTTGAAGGTGGGACAAACAGTTTGCTGATGAATTGGATTAATTGAAAACTCAAGGTTTTGGACCTGAATGACTTGAAGAATGGAGCTTCTAATAACTGAGGCAGAAGACTGGGGGGCAATAGGGGAGTAGTAGATTTATGGGTTAAAATAAAGAGTTTAGTTTTGGATGTTTTTAAACCTTTGTCCAAGAGGAGCTGTTGATTAGGCAACTGAAGATGCAAATCTGAACTCTGGGGAGATGATGGGGCTTGAAACCTAAGTTTGATGTCTATAGGATGCAGGGGTGCTCAATGTTGTGTGACTGATGTGCCACACACCCAGGACCTGAGCATGGGAGAAAAGAAGGTAGATTCCTGGATTCTCCCAAGTTTAAGGATTGGAAAGATGAGTCGAAACTAGTAAGGAGACTGAACAGAATGACCAGGAAAATACGAGGGGACCAAAGGGTCTCAGTGCCATCCCTGTGACCAAGTTTCAGGAAGATGGGATTTGTCTGTGTCTAAATGCTGCTGGTGGGTGAGAAAGGTAAGAACTGACTATTAGATTAACAATGTGGAGGTAATTGGTGACTAGACAAGACCAGTTTCTATGGGTGGTGGACAAAACCCCCAAATGGAATAAGCCAAGAGAGAATGGAAATTGAGGAATTTGGGATGGAGCACAGAGATTTTTGAAGGGCATTTTCTGCAAACAGGAGCACAGAAATGGGTGGCAGCTGGAGAAGGAGGTTGGTCAAGCAAGTGTTTTTTTAAAAATAAGGGATAAGGCAGCATGCTCAATCCTAAGGAGAAGGGAAAACGGAGGATGTCAGGATATTGGGGTGATGACTGCGAGCAGGTGATAGGAGATGACTTGAGTGCACACATGGAAGGGCCTTTGAGAGCAGTGTGGAGACTTCAAGCACAGTGAAAGGAAAGCAGGCCGAGGGCATGCACTCAGGCACAGCTGAGTGAGTAGACTTGGTGGCCAAGGTGAGTGAAAGCTGTCTTGTGGTTGCTTCTACCTCCTCAGGGACATAAGAAGGCAAGTCATTAGTTAGTTAGAGTGAAAATGAGGAAGGATGTGCTGGGCATTTCGGATAAGTGGAGAAGGCATAAAGTAGGGGTCAAGGAGTTGGGGAATTGAGTGGACTGGGCAAATGGAGGAGAGTTCCTGAAGGCATCAACAGCCCATTTGGCGTGAGTGGTCACGCCTTTTAGGCGAGACAGTATGCTTGTTTGCTAGACTGTTATTATTCTGCAAAAAAATTCACCAGCTCTCTCTGGAGGAGAACTATATTTTCCTTCTCTGATGACATCAGGCTTGAGCATAAGATTTGCATTGATCAACAAAACATGGATGGAAGTGATATGTATCATGTCTAAGTGGAAGCTTTATGAAACAGCATGTCGTCACCATGTTCTTTACCCCTTGGCCAACTGGCCATATCCCAGGGGAGCTGCTCCATCATCCTGGAGACCGGAGTGAAGACAATGAGCAGCAGAGCCACAGCCAGTCTGCAGTGAGCACATTCTACAAGTGAAAGCACATTCTACCTCTGAAGCAGCCGGGCCCTGAGGCTGGGGTTGGTTGTTACAGTGGCATGGTCCGTGCTGACCGATACAGCCCACTGTGCGCCTTTCTCCAACTGTCTTCCCTCTGCCTCTGTGCAGGTGCAAAGAGGATTGACTCAGTTTAATCAGCACTGGGGCTTTGAGAGGGGCAGAGCAGGGAAAGCGAGGGCCCAGGAAACTGAGGGTGTATTTAAAGGAGTCTGAGTTGGGGAGGAAGGGAAGCAAGGGACATGCTAGAGTCATCTTTGGGTTCATTTCTTATAGTGACAAGACGGCTGCCAGGGGCAGTCAGGACTACACGTGTCCTTGCTCATGTCCCTGAGGAGAATGTGTCCCTGTGTCCAGTTGGAACTTCTGGTGACAAAGAGTCACCAGAATTTCTTTTTGAAAGGACTTATTTTAATTTGTCTTGCCAGCAGAGCCTCTGCCCCTGATATTTCAGGTATCTGCTTTTGTTTGTCCTTTTGACCTTTTCAGATTGAATTAAACTGGAGACACAGAGAGAGAGAGAGAGAGAGACAGAGACAGAGACAGAGAGAGGTAGGTTGTTCCTGGGCCAGTAGGAGTTTCTGATGCTTGGGTAAGGATGGTCCTGTGTGGTCTGCTCACACCCTCCAAGTCCTGATCGCTGCCTATCCATTCCTGATGGGGATAAGGTCCAAATCACCTATTTTGGAAGCTGGGCAAGCTGGAACCTGGTCTGTCTGACTGGAACCCATTAATTCCCTGTACCTTCCTGCCCAGAGGCTAGAAGGCTTCCATACTCATGACCCCCCTTCCCCTTATTAGAGAAGCCAGACAGACGTGCACAGCCATGGGCCCTGCCCCTAGAGACTGTCTGCTAGTTCTGGCCCCAGCCTTCAGGCCTGTTGCCCAGCCAAGCACAGGAGAACCTCGGCAGTCCTGCCTGGATGCCTCTCCCAGCTGCCTGCCCCTCCGGCCATAGACACTGGACAGGAGCCCACATGCTCCTTACTCCCCCTCATTTGGGCATCAGCACTTAAAAGAGGCTTTATGATGAAGAGTGGGAGGTCCAGACAGGCCCCATTTCCCAAGATTGCAGGGTACAGGCCTTGGTGGGGCTGAGCCGTCCCCTTGATCTGGGTGCTTCTTCCACAGGAGTCTAGCCTTGCTTCAGGCTGGCTCTGTGAGCCCACCTGGCCCCTCGCTCGTCCTCAGCAAGCCTCCCACTGAAGTCAGGGCATGTGTGAGGTGACCACATAGCAGGGGGTGCTGAAGATGTCATGGTGCGATGTTGGGATTTCTGCAGTGTTTATGTTCAGTGACCCTCAAAAAGGCCCAATGGGGCGGGAAAGGCCAGGACAAGTTTACAGATGGGAAGCTGGCCCTCTGAGAGGGGAGCACCCATTCAAGGTCACATGGCTTGTTGGTGGCTAACCAACCTGTGGCCTCATGACACCAAGTCCCATGCTCTTTTCACTGCCCCTCACTCCCAAGGAGAGCCACTGTCATTCAGTGTGGTGTTAACCTAGACTGCAGCAGACCCTCAGGCCTTGGCTAACTGGTAAACCTCAACCACAGCTCCAGGCTGGGCTTGCTCAGGGACTGCTGGAACACACCGGTGGTCAGGCCAGGGGAGGGTGGAAGATGGGGAGTCCCTGCCAGACTTCTGTGGGAGTTCCCAGGTACCCCTGCAGTGGGGGGGTTGGAGGGAACCTGCTTTTTGTGTTTTATGGAAGATTAGTTTGTTATTTGCTCAGTGACCCAAAATTGAAACTCAGGTCCCTTGGAGGAAGCTCTAGGCTCTGAAATTACTTCTCTCGGCCTCAGTTTCTCCATGGGTTTTGGATTCAGGGGTTGACCACAGTGATTCGGAGAGGATAGTTTGCATGATGCCTGGCCTGGCTCGTGGGCCTCATTCTGCCACAGTGGAGGAGGGCATGCAGGCCATCTGGCCGGGTGGGGAGTGCCAGCTGGCAACAGGGTCCACCGAGGCACTGACTCCCTGCCCTGGGGCTCTCAGCAAGTCCAGCCAGCCAGCCTCTGTTTTCCCAAGTGTAAAATGGGTGTCAGGCCATTTGCTTCTGTGGGAGGGCCTGGAGGGCTGTAATTATGGGAGGGTGTGTGAAGTCCTGGGAGCCCTCGATGGGGTTTTGCAAGGAAGCTGCAGACAGCCATGGGTCATGACTGGTTGGGAGAGTTATGAAATTCCTTTAGTAAAAAGAACTATGTGGGGAGTGGGCGGGAGGGGTTGATGGCGACTCAGGAAGAAAGTGTCTGGCGCCCTTGGGAAGACATCTTAGCACACCCCAAAGCCCTCTCTCACAATTCAATCAAGTTGTTCCTTCTGTTCATACCAAAAGGGCCTTTTTAAAATACAATTAGGCTCTGTTTTATTATGTGTGACAGACGAGGCCATTAACCATTCCGACTATTAAATCAGACTTCATTAAAAAAAATGGAAGTAACTGTAAATTGCCTTGGGTCACGATCGTTTAGAGCCGAGACATTTCAAAGAAAAACATTAGGGAGCTCACGACCATGATGAAGTTAATCAATTTGACATCCCACGGAGGGCCGGGTGTGCCTGCACCAGAAGAGCGGCTTCACAGCCTCTCCCCAGAGCCTGCTCCTGGGGAGCAGGGGTGTCTCTGCCTCTCCTCTCTCCAAAGGAGAGCTGGGAAGGCTGTGAAAATAACTTGGAAATTTGGGGGAAAGGGAATTTCTTGTCTCTCAGTGAGGTGTTATTGGTTTGCTTTTCTGAAAAACTATCTAAATTTATCAAATGTGATACCAAGTCATACATAATACATTTTCATGTTTTTGCACCAAAAAGTGACTTTAGAGCTGTAAGGAGCAGTGCTATATAAGTATAATGTATCTTCCCTAGCCCTCTAAGTGGGGTGGGGTGGGGTGGGGTGGCTTCCACGGACTTCCTCATTTCTGGACAGGTTGTGCCCTTACCAGGCATCTACTTCTTGGCAGGAGTCCTGAGGGAGAGAACCCTGCGCTGGGGTGAATCTTGCCCTCCTCTACTTTGTGGGGGTAGAAAAGGGGGGATGGACAGGGCAGTACAGCCCAGAGGGCTACAAAAAGATGGGAGGAAACCCAGCCCCTGCACCTTCTTCTCCCCTAGGCAGTGCTGAGCCCGGAGAGAGCAAACGCCAGTGTTCCTCCAAGGCTAACGAGAGGTGGGGGCTGAGTTGTGTCTGGGACGCATCCTGGCCTTGAGATGGCAACAGGCATGGCAGGGGTGGGGATGGGCGGAGACCACTCAAGGCCAATTCAGGAGGGGTGGGAGCCAGGGTCGGGGATAGGTAATGAGAGGAAGGTCTGGTTGTAAAGCCCTGGAAGGTGGGTTCCTGTCTAAGCGGGAATTTCCTGGCTGGATTATTAGCGTAAGTCCATGGTGGGGGTGGAAGGGGAGCATGTTTATCTGGAAAGCAGAGATGGGAGGAGCGGGCGCCGTCAGCCTCAGAGAGCTTGCCTCTGGGACCTTACGCGCTCTCTCTCTTTTCCCACTGTCCTGCTGATTGAGATGCACCAAGGGCCCACCTGAATGCCACACTTGCTTTCCTTCTGGTATGGCCTGCACAGGGCTCACCTACCTCCTCCACGAAGCCCCCCAGACACTACCCCAGCTGGACCCTCTGCTTGGGGACTCTTTTGCCTCCCCGCTCTGCTGGCACCATCTGAAAGCTGCTAGATCAAGTAGGCCCTTGCCAGCAAGCCTCTGTTCAGTCTCCATCTCTCTCTGTTCCAGCACGCCTTCTTCCCGGTCCTTTGCTGTACTGCTCTAGATCCTTCCTACAGCCCAAGGACTTTGCTGGCCTCAAGCCCCTTCAGAAGATGTCCCCACCCACCTCTCTGGCCTTACCTCCTGCCTCTCTGCTCCAAACTCTTAGCACTTTGCACTGTGGTTTCTTCCGGCCTCCTTGACTTTGCAGGTTCCTTTTGCCTGAACTGCTTGTTCCTGTCTTCTCAGCCCAGGGAAACTCTTTTCAGATTGCTCAGGGTTGGTGACTCACAGTATCTTCCTTCCTTTCTTAACTCTCTTTCCCTTTCCTCCCTCCCTCCCTCTCTCCCTTCCTTCTTTCCTTCCTTCCTTCCTTCCTTCCAACCATCTGTGCCAAGCACAAGATCTCTGCTTCACAGAATTGCAAAGACAATAAAGAAATGTACTGTCAGGTGGTAATGGCGCTGTGGAGAAACACAGGGCAGGGTAAGGGGAGAGGGAGCGAAGGGGAGTGGTCAGGGAAGGCCTCCATGGCAAAGGGGCGTTGGAGCAGAGACCTGAAGGAAGTGAGGGAGTGGTCACTGCCACAGTGTCCCAGGGCCAGGGGCGGGGACATGCCCGTGTGTGTCCCACAACACAGCTCCATGACTGGGACAGCTCTGGGGCCAGTTGTGCATAGTATTGTCACAATAGTAGTTACGCCAATCTGTTTCCCCTGGCCCCTTGAGCCACGCGGGGGCAAGGATGTGTCCTGTTACTCTCGGAATCTGCGCTCTGGAGCCAAGCGCAGCATCAGGCACCTGCAGGCAATTGGCACGTGCCTGTGGATTAAGAGAATGAATGAATGTCTGAACATGGGGAAAAAATGAGCAGATTTCTGGACTTGTGCAAGGCTGTGGGGAGGAGAGAAAGAAGGAAAGATGCATCTGGTTTTCGTATTCAAGGAATTTTCAGTTAATTAGAGAGAAAAGACATGTACACACCTGAAATTAAGACAACTTAAACCTAGTTTAGATATAAAGTTAAATAACTTTAGGTGATACCTTAGAATCCATTAATTCCACATTTTATCCAGGATGAGTGTCAAACACTTCCAAGTCCCTTAGATGCCCCTACATTTACTCCAAGAATACTCCAGAACGTTTATTTGGGGTTGGCTTCCCAGGCTGCTTCAGACTCATGAATTGTTCCCTGGACTCTGAGATCCTTACTTATCTGTTTTTAAACCCAAACTCTCTCCCCGGAGTGATGTTACTCCCTCACTCAGCAATGGTTGTACATCACTGATTCTTCCTATTGTCTTCCTAGAAAGCATCATGAGAAACTGCTTCTGTATGTTTTTCTCCATTTGCTTACCTGGAGCAAATAAGCCGATTGTGGTAAGCTTGTGTTGTATCATCTGTCTCCACACCACCAGCATGTAAGCTACTTGAGGGCAGGGACCATGTCTGTTGTGTCCGCTTTGTATTCCCATGCTTACAGCAGTGCTGGTTCTCAAGAAATACATAATGAATGAATGAATGAATGAAGGTCAAGAAAACCTGTACTATTTCCAAAATCTCAGCCTATTCTGGAAGGATGGAGATTGTTAGCCCACTACAGGCAGCTCCTTGATGATGAAGCCATGTGTCCCTTGTCTCTGGATTCTTCATCCTGGCATGGTGCTCAGCATGTAGGTATGTCTGACACATACCTGCAGGGGGTACTGGGCAAAGGAGGACCCTTTGGAGCCTGCAGCAGTGACTGGCAACTCTCTGTGGCCAGCAGTGTCAGGCTCCCGGGGGCAATTGGCATGTGCCTGTAGAATGGCAAAATGAGCAAATGTAGGGACAAAGGGAGAGATGAATGCATTTCTGGACTTGTGCAAATACCTGTCGTCAGGTGTCTACTAATGCTATCTTGCCCCAGTAAAGCAGGACAGAGCCTTACATTCTGACCACAGTGCTCTGTGACCCCAACTCGTGACTCTCTTCTCCAGCCAGAAGCAGGCCACAGGGGTGGCTTCTCGGGGACTCCACACTGCCAATGTTCATTCTTCTTTCCTAACGGTGCCAGTGCTGAGAGAGTAAAATGTGTGTTTATTTTAATTTTTTCTTTCTTTTTTCAAAATTATTTATTTATTTATTTATTTATTTTGAGATGGAGTCTCGCTCTGTCACCCAGGCTGGAGTGCGGTGGTGCGATCTCGGCTCACTGCAAGCTCCACCTCCTGGGTTCATGCCATTCTCCTGCCTCAGCCTCCCGAGTAGCTGGGACTACAGGCGCCTGCCACCATGCCTGGCTAATTTTTTTGTATTTTTAGTAGAGATGGGGTTTCACCGTGTTAGCCAGGATGGTCTTGATCTCCTGACCTCATGATCTGCCCACCTCAGCCTCCCAAAGTGCTGGGATTACAGGCATGAGCCACTGAGCCTGGCTTTTTTTTTTTTTTTTTTTTTTTTTTTGAGACAGAGTCTCACTCTGTTGCCCAGACTGGAGTGCAAGTGGCACGATCTCAGCTCACTGTAACCTCTGCCTCCAGGACGCAAAGGATCCTCCCACCTCAGCCTCCCGAGTAGCTGGGACCACAAGCACATGCCAACATGCCCAGCTAATTTTTGTATGTCTTGTAGAGACAGAGTTTTGCCATGTTGTCCAGGCTGGTCTTGAACTCCTGGACTCAAGCAATCCACTCCCTTTGGCCTCCCAACGTGCTGGGACTATAGGTATGAGCCACCATGCCTGGCCTATTTTAATTTTAATTAGTTATTTTTAGACAGAGGCTCTTGCTCTGTCACCCAGGCTGGAGTGCAGCAGTGCAATCACAGCTTTCTGTAGCCTCAGTCTCCTGGACTCAAGTGATCCTCCCTCCTCAGCCTCCCGAGTACCTGGGACTACAAGGCACACACCTCCATACCCAGCTATTAAAAAAAAAAATTTTTTTTTAGAGATGGAGTCTTGCTATGTTGCCCAGGCTAGTCTCAAACTCCTGGCCTCCAGTGATCCTCCTGCCTCAGCATCCCAGAATGCAGGGATTACAGGCATGAACCATCACACGTGGGCCCAAAATGTGGTTTGGATAAAACCTTTGAGGGTTTGGGATGAGGTTTGGTGGGCCCTGGCAATGAGACTATATGAGTGAATGTCTGTATTTTTTTCCATTTGTGTCATTCCCTTATGTGTGACTTTCTGCAAAGATGGGGTTTAATAGAGAAGAGAACCAGGTCTCAATCTTTTCTTTGAATGAGAAGTCTAAAATATAAGTCCTTAAAAATTTTAGCCTGGGGCAAGCAAAATCTGAATTATCTTATCCGTGGGTACTCACACCTAGGGATGTGATGAGTTCATCACTCCCGGCCAGTTGGTTGCATGATCTTGTTCTTGGGTTGCAGGCAGGCCCCTGGGCCTTGTCCCTGCCACAGGCCAGAGGAAAAACGGGCTCCTGCATCCCAGCCAAGCAAACACCATCTTCCCCCTCATCGTACTTCCTGCACATCCCTCACCAGACACCCACGTGCCCTGGAGATTGTTGCTGTTGCCAACCGTTGTGATTTTAATCCTTGCTCTGTTTTTCCTTCCTGGAGACCAGGGACCTTCCTGAGGTTTGTCCCTGCAAAGCTCCTCCGGGGCACTCCGTGGCCATTTCCTCCAAAGACCACTCCCTGGGGAGGAGTGAGTCACTAGAACGGGTCTAGGGGTAGGGGACTGGCTTCTGGGGAGTGGGGGGTCCCACTGTTCTTTTCTTTGGCTCTTTGCCTGGAGCACGTCTAAGTGATGACCTGAGTTTGGCGGGCCCCTGGTTCTCCTGGCAGCCACGGTGCTTTTCGCAGCTTTCCGTTCTGAGAGGGGCCACTGTCTCTGGAGGTGGGGGAGGCTTTCTGCTCCTACCCAGCCATGGCCGCTTAGCAACACCTGGTGCCAGGAGAGCGTCCAAGGAGCCGCTGGTGTGTCCTGGAGCAAGCTCGCTCCCTGGGGTCCTGCCTGCACCGCCCAACCCCGAGTGCCCCAGCTTCCTGCCCTCAGATCCTAACCTTGACTCTCTGAGCCCTGACCTAGGAGCCAGCGATGATGAATTCCAGCTGAAACTGCCTTTCCCTAGCTGGGTAGTCTTTGCAAATCACTTCTCCCCAGCCCCTAGCTTCTTCACCTGTTAAAGGAGGGTTAAAAAGAAAAAAATTTAAAAATACCACTCTGTCTTGCCAACCTCATGGAGCAGGAGCCTGTTGTGAAGCTCACATTAGCTGAGGCCGGAGACATGGCTTAGAAAGTGCAGGGCACTGTGCAGATACAAGGCTGCAGCTATTTTTATTTTTAACATTGTAATCCTGTGTGTCTCTGGGCAATCCCAGCCTCGAGAAGAGACAGCCATTAGGGGATACATGAGCCTTTAAAGGGGAGGTAATGAAAAATATTGAGGCCAAGATTAATTTTCTTAAGCAATCATGAAAAAGCAGAGATTTGTGCTAATAGTTAATAAAAATGTCACTTCTCTTTTTTCATTCTGCCATATTATTATATAAATACATAGTCTGTGGAAAAATAGACTATGATAAAATGTTTATTTATAAAATAAACAGAAAATAAATCACTGAAGGAGCAAGCCAAGCCCATCACCATTGGCTACGTTATTCTCTGACTTCTCCACCCTGGAATTACGGTGTTTTCACAGAGCCTTTGCCACGCTCAGAAACACCCCCCTCGCTCCAGGGGCACTGTCCCCACTGTCCCTTGCTCAGAGGTGGCTTCTGGTCTGAGGGAGATGAGTCTTCCCTCTTCACTGTCACTGGGATTTCCAGCTGATTCCAATGATCCTTTACTTCAGGGCATCCTCACTGGGGGACCTCCCTGCCCCATCAATGAACAGTCATGATTTCAGGGTTTGGAAAAGGGATTTAAAAAGGCATTCAGAAACCGGTGCCTGAGGACGGGGCCTGGCAGTCTTATTGGGTTTCTTGAACAACTCTTTCCCCATTCCCACCTCACTCTCCATGACTATTTCAAGCCTTCCTCATTTTTCTCAACTCTCCTGTGTGCCTTCCCCTCACGGGCACCTGAGGACCAAGCGCCGTGCTCTGAGAACAGCCTCCCAGCTGGCCTCCTCTCACTGCCTTTCCTTCTCCCTTCCTGCTGTGACACCCCAAGCCTTGCTCCCGTGGTCAGCTGCCCCCTCTCCCGTGTCTTGACTCCCCCCTCGCTCCTCGATCAAGACGCTCTGTCTCCCCCATGGCGAAAGAAAACCTCCCTCAACTCCTTGTCCTTCTACTCTCCTGCCCAGTCAGGCTTGTCAGAAAAGGCACCTACACATCCTTCTGCTCTCCTTCACCTCGCTTTGTTCCCCAACCCACTCTGGGTGGATTTCTGACACTGAACCTGCTTCCTTAGTGCTGTGTGGGACTCCAGTCGGTGGGTGGATGGGTGGGGTGGAACTGGCCCCTTCTCCCTTGTTACTCTCTTCATCCTCCACAAGATCAACTCCCCCAGGCTATTCAGGCCACTGAATTTCTTACCCAGGGCTTAGGAGAGTTTCAGGAACTATGGAGGGCTGGGACAAAGATTCGACTTCTGGCTATTTTGCACTTCCCCTTGGATCTCATGCAGGGAGATACCTAAGACATAAGCCATTCAAATGAAGCCATGGAAAGGTGCTCAACCTTACTGCTAATTAGGCAAAGTGCAAATTAAAATCCCAGAAACATACCGTTTCATACCCATTAGCATGGTAAAAAAAATTTTATTTTTTAAGACAGAGTCTCATTCTGTTGCCCAGGCTGGAGTGCAGTGGTGTGATCTCAGCTCACTGCAACCTCCACCTCCCAGGTTCCAGTGATTCTCCTGCCTTAGCCTCCCGAGTAGCTGGGATTACAGGTGCGTACCACCAACCCTGGCTAATTTTTGTGTTTTTAGTAGAGACAGGGTTTCACCATGTTGGCCAGTCTGGTCTCGAACTCCTGACCTCAGGTGATCCTCCCGCCTCAGCCTCCCAAAGTGCTAGGATTACAGGAATGAGCCACCGCGCCGGCCAGTAAACATTTTTTAAAAGCCTGATAATACCAAGTGTAATCAAGGATGTGCTGAGATCAAATGTACCCAGCTGGGAGTGTCATTGGAAGAACCACTTTTGAGAGAAGTTTGGCAATAGCCAGAGAGTTGAAGATGTTCCTGCCCCATGACCTGGGCATCACAGTTCTAGGTCTGTGTTGCAGAGGAGTATGAGGAGCCTGGTTGGTGCAAAAATATTCTTGCAGGATCATTTGTAACATAAAAAATTGGAAACAACCAGAAAATAAATGTAAAAGTTGTGCTCTATCCATATAGCAGTTAAAATGAATGAACTACAGTCACAGGCATCAACATAGATACATCTCAAAGACATCATGTTGAGTGGAAAAGACAAGTTGCAGAAGGAATGTCTAGTATGAGACTATTTGTATAATGTTTTAAGACATGCAAATTAGTACTATAAAATGTGTGTGGATACATAAATATGTATTAAAACTATAAAAATCTGCACAGGAATGATAAACACCAAATTCTTAAGAGGTTCTTCTTTATTTTCCTGGGGAGAAGGGGAATGATGGCAGGAACGATATGCAGGGATCAACTCGATCTGTTGTTCCATTTCTTAAAAGTGAAAATCTGAAGCAAATGTGGCTTAGTGTTCAATTTGATAAAGCCGGGTTGTGGGTAGATGTTTATCTTTGATGTTTATCTATATGTTTGATATGTTTTCTAATAAAGCCAATCCATTCATGAAAAATGCTACTTGGGCCTCCTCAACATTGGGGAGCATGAAGGATTTCTCCCATTCCAAATGGCTCTCCTGTCCCGGGTGGCGTCTTTTCTACTCAGCACTGGTGCCCCTTCTTCAAGGCACTGAGTTGGAAAACTCTGAAGCACAACAGTGAAAAATTCTGCCCTTCCTCCAGGCTGAGCCTCTCTCCCGGAGTCCTGCCCTTCACATCACATCATACAGCTGATCCTTTTTGTCTGGGTAGTGGCCCAGCTTCAGCCTGATGCAAGAAAACATGGTGTTTAGGAGCCAGATTGGCTGGGTCCAGATGCTGGCTCTGCCACTTGACTGCATGACCTTGGGCAAGTTACTCCGACTCTCTCTGCCATAGAATGGAGGGTGCATGGGAAGGGGAAAGGTGGCCCATGAGTCCAGGAAGGTGAGCAGGGGCAGCTCAGGGGGCTTGAGATCCTCATCCTATCCAGAGCTGGGTTACTTGGCACAGAGTGACCAGGTTATATTGATACTGGGCAGCAGGAAATGGCAGCCTGCTGTCCACCTATCCCAAACCACATGGGAGTTGAAATGGACAGGATTGATGCTAAAACAATTTACTTGGACTGGTTTCCCTACCCAGATAACCAAGCAAGTGTCATTGAAAGCAAATCTGCTGTTGATTGCAGCAAACACTTAGATAGGACAGGAAAGAAACCCAAGCCCCTCCAGCTGTTGCAGAGCAGCTCAGAGGCCCTGCCTCTGTGAAAACTCTTTCCGGGGTTTATCTTCTTACATCAAGCATTTCAAGGAAACCTAGATAATCCTGCTGCATGGGATCTCCGCAGAGCTCTCCAGGAGAGTCGTGAGCCCCTCACACCTCCATGCTCTTGCCTCTTGGGGGTGTTACAGCCACATCTCAGTGGTCCAGATCCTGGGGAGCTCACACCTGCCCTTCCATCCTGTCCTCTTATCTTCCCCTAAGAGCGTTCATATGCATGGCCTTCTGTGACACTCGAGATGCAGGCCGTGCTGGGATGAATACAGGGAATTGCTGTGGGTTAAATTGTGTCCTCCCAAAATTCATGTGTTGAAATCCTTACCTTCAGTACCTCAGAATGGGATCTTACTTGGAAATGGGGTCATTGCAGATGGAATTAGGTTAAGATGAGGTCACTAAGGTGAGCCCTAAGCCAATATGACTGGTGTTCTTATAAAAAAGGAAGAATGTGGACCCATAAACACACACACACACACAGAGAGAGAGAGAGAGAGAGAGAGAGACAGACAGACAGACAGAGAGAAAGGCCATGTGAATATGAAGGCAGAGATTGGGGTGATGCCTCTATCAGCCAAGGAACTCCAAAGATGACCAGCAAACCTCCAGAGGCTGGGAAGGAGGCCTGGAACAGATTCTGCCTCACCACCCTCAGAAGGAACCAACTCTGCCAACACCTTGATCTTAAGACTTCCAGCCTCCAGAACCATGAGAAAATACATTTCTATTGCCTAAGCCCCCAGTTTGTGGTATTTTGTTACGGCAGCTCTTAGCAAGCCAATACAGGGACTATGTGACCACCTTTCACCTGAGGACCTGAGGACCCCCGCGAGCAGTGGTGTGCTCAAGGTCACTCAGCTACTGAGGAAATCTAGCCAACACCTGGTTTCTCTGACGGTGTCTCCTTGGACACTTATACGAGGGGGTCAGTGATTTCAATAGGGACTGGGAATAAAAACGTATTGCAGTTTATGCTTCTATGAAGTGTGATATGTCACGACGGCTTCTGGGTGGGCTGTTCCTGAGCTTGATTGAGATGGTGTTTGGGGAAAGCAATACTTTACTTATCACCTGTAGGAGATCACACAACATGCCAGATTCAAGTGATGGGCCCCATCGTAAAGACCACAGCCTTCAGACACACCATCAGTGTGGCAGCTCATTATACAGCTAGTCTGGCATGTCTGGCTGCCTAATTTATGGGACCTATGACATTTTGGCATGGCCTTGGCCTTCTGATCCTGGCATCCTTTCTGCCTTATATCCATGGGTGTGGATGATTCTAAGCATCTTTCTTTGGGAGTTATTCTTTTCCTCCCCACAATGGTGCCAAGCTGGCTCCCACACTGTGGGTTGGAGGGCTGGAGTTGAGCAGTGGGGAGTGTGTAGGAGGAGGCAGGACAGAGGCTACCCATCAGGAGACTCGTGACACAGTCTTGCCTCCATCTCTCCACCCACAGCTGTGTGGCCTTGGTCAAGCCACTTCCCCTTCTGAGTCCCAGTTTTCTTACCAGTAAAGGGGAGATTGGGGAGTTGGGAAGATGAGTGCTTTTCAAATTGGGAGGAGGCTGGAGACCAACAAAGATGGTAAGAGACACCAAGAGTGGGGCTGGCTCACCAGCTATTTTTGCTGTTTTAAAAACCCCACCTAAGTGCCGGGTTTTTCTGCAGCATGAGCCTGAGCAGGACAGTCAAGGTTGAGCATCTGTCAGTGTACCTGCTTTGCTCATGAGAGCCTGTGGCCAGGAGATACATGTTTTTAGATGAAAAATACAGGACACATGCATGAATTCTTAATTTGTACAATTTAGTTGGCAAGCAGCTCTTAAAACAAGTCTCCTGAGATGGCGCATACTAAAAGTTGTCTCTGGTTTTGAAAAGATGGAACCACTGAGTTTTGGGCCCCAGGTTACCTCCTGCTCTACACCTATGATAATAGTCCCACACTGGGGTGGCACCCCTCCTCTCGGTGATCCAGGTGGATGGCAACCCCACCTGGATGGCTGGTCGATGGCTGTGCCCCATAACTCCCTCCCTCCCCTGGTCATGTTACATCCTGCCTCTTCAGATTAGAATTCAAGGTCACCTGATATAGGATAGTTTCCATCTCCAATTTGCAGGCAGTTGCCAACACCATCCTTGGCAATTTTTGTCTGTACCTCTGTGCTGAGCGTGGTTTTTGTATATGTCTTTGTATTGAATGTGGCATACCTTCCTTTAAGATGTGAAGCTCCTTGAGCATTGGAACAGAGTTATTCCAGCTAGAACTGGATCTGGGGCTATGGATTCTTCCAGCTTGTGGCCAGGACCTGCGTGTCTGGTGCTGCAGCGTCAGGCTCAATGAACAAGAGGCTCAGAGCTTGGGTTGACGATGGTCAGCACATCTGGTGAGGGGCAAAGCCGGAAAGCCAAGCTGAGTCTCACTGATTCCCTGCACAGTGCTCTTCTCTCCTCAGCAATGCAGAGCCATGCCACAGCCCATCTGGCTCAAGGAGGCCTCTGGACTCAGAAGGCAGGAGAGCCCTTAAGGGGCCTAATAACAAAACCTGTAATAGCAACCGTGGTGGGAGAGAGAAGTGTTTTCCCAAGCTTGGAAGAAACACTGTGCAAAGGAGACATGGGCTCAAGGCTGACTTCAGAGGCAGGCAGAGGTGTCTGTTGAAAGTCTGGGCTTGTCTTGACTTACATGGACCCCCTAAGGTGACTCCTGTAGGCACACAAGCGCAGTGGAGAATCATGAAGCCACAGAGATTGCTATTGTTCATCCACCTCCCCCTTCTTCTCTAGTAGTATAATTTTGCTTGCTATTTTTTTTTAAGTGAGGCACTTGGCTGCCCAACATAAAGGTTACATTTCCTAGTCTCCCTGGCTGTGACTAAGTTCTAGCCTGTGGGGATGTAAGCAAAAGTGAGGAAGTGTTCTTAGAAAGAAGGGATGTTCCTTTTTCTTCTCCTTTTCTTTTTGCTGCTCTCTGAAAAGCAGATGAGATGGCTGGTGCTGGAGGAGCAATCTTGGGCCTTGAAATGACCTTGTGAACCACACACGATGGAACTCCAAGATAAAAGCCACCTCGTCATGACACTATGGGGTGTCTCAGCAGCCCTGGTCCACCTACTTTTCATCTTGGGTGTGAGATAGAAGTAAGTTTCTATTTTATTTACGCCAGTGTTTCTTTGAGGTTTCTGTCCCTTAATCCTAAGCTCCAGAGAACACCTTATTCCTTTTTCCAGTTTTCTTGTAGTTCTTCTGATTACCTTTTGATGCTGGTTTATCACGAACACTCTCTACAACTTGTTAAAACTCCCCTGTCTTGGTAAAAAGAGAACAGAACTTATTCAGGCTCTTAGCCTTTGGTAGGCAGTAGATCTAAGTGTAATTTATTGACATTGTTTTGTTTTGTTTCTATGGTATTTATTTTTAGGTTACCATTTACTTAAAGTAAATGATATTACTTTTCCATTTACAATAGTGACATGAGGTCATTTTCCTTTTTAAATAATTTACTTAAGCAAAAACAATTGAGTCGATTCAAAAGATATTAAGTGACTAAGAGTGCAGGTTATGTCAGCCATGGCCGAAATCAAAGAGGTGGCTGGAGGATGACAGTGTTTGGGAAGCAAGGCTCTAGGTTGTGCTGCTTCAGAAAAAATTGTCTAAATATTCTTCCTCTAATATTTTATGGCTTTCATTTTTGATAATTCAAAATATTCTTGTAATGGGGCTCCCCCAGACCAAGCATAGTAATTAAGAGTGTGGGCTCTGAAGCTAGACTCCCTGGGTTCAATTTCTTGCTCCTCCAATTGCTAGCTGTGTAACCTTGGGCAAATTACTGTACCTCTCTGTGCTCAACATCTCATCTGTAAAATGGAGCTGATGATGTGTTTGGGAGGACTAAGTGACTAATTGCTCGTAAAGTACTGAACGGAGTGTCTGGTGTGTATTAAATGTGCAATAAATGGCAGCTGTTATTGTTCTTGGTTTGTGTGACTTGAACACACCAACATGTCGATGTTGAGAGCTTTATATTAAGCTTTTTGGAGTAGAATAACTCTGATTTGATGCTTGAAGAGTTTCATATTGTAAAGGGAAGGTACACCACATTCAACCCGGAGAAATATACAAAAGCCATTCTCAACATGGAGCTACAAACAAAAATCACCGAGGATGGTCTTGGCAACTGCCAGCAAATTGGAGATGGAAATTCTCCAAATCAGGTGACCTTGAATTCTAATCTTTAGAAGGAAGGTGTCCTTTTAGAAGTCCTTTTCTGATATTTTGTAGAACGTCCCTCAATTTGGATTTGTCTGATGCTTTCTGATGGTTAGAGTGAGGTTATAGAATTTTGGGAGGAAGACCACAGAGGTGATGTGTCCTTCTCAGTGCATAGTATCAGGGCGTGTGTGGTATCACTAGGTCTTATTATGGTGATGTTAACTTTGATCACTCGATTTAGGTGGTGTCTGTCAGCTTTATCCATGACAAAGTTAATATTTTCCTCTTCTTACACTCTGTTAGAAGAGATTCACTATGTCCCAGCCCACACTCAAGGAGAGGGAAATTAAGGTCCACCTCAAAGGGAGGGGTATCAAAGAATTTGTTAACATTTCTCACTACAGTAACTAATAAGTATTTTGAGGAAGATATTTTGAACATACGTCATGTTTTTTCTTAAACTTCTACCTGTTAATGTTAGCATTCATTCAGAGATGGAGCCTGCCTCTGCTTACAGTAATTGTAATTGAGATGTTCTAATGGTGATCTTCTATTTCTGTCATTTGTTCTACATTTATTAGTTGGAATTATTATTAT
Organism: Homo sapiens; assembly: GCF_000001405.40. Taxonomy (NCBI): domain Eukaryota; kingdom Metazoa; phylum Chordata; class Mammalia; order Primates; family Hominidae; genus Homo; species Homo sapiens. The sequence goes on along the minus strand of NC_000018.10, from coordinate 47,786,886 downwards.
TTTTTTTACAGGCAGGGTCTCGTTCTGTCACCCAGGCTGGAGTGTAGTGACATGATCACAGCTTACTGCAGCTTCAACCTCCTGGGTTCAAGTGATCCTCCCACCTCAGCTTCCTGAGTAGCTGGGACTACAGTCATATGCCACCATGCCCAGCTATTAGTTGGAGTTTATTTGCTTATCCAATCGTTTATTTATTTTGTTCTTTAGGATTTAATTCAATAACATCGTATTGGGAGCCTTTTCAGAGTGGCTTGTGTCCTTTGACATGACCCCATTTTTTTTTTGAACACTTTCTTTCTTTCTGGTACCACAGGATACTCTTAGTTCATCTTGTATTTTTCTTACTCCCACTCTGGATCAACCATTTCTCCAAGAAGCCCTGATTCCTTTTACTGGGAAATGGTATTTAGAAACCAAAATCTTGGTATTAGATGTGCACATTGCTATTGGGATGTCACTGTTTCTAAGTCCTTTCAGTAGACAGGGATAGAAATATGAATCTATCTATCTATCTATCTATCTATCTATCTATCTATCTATCTATCTATCTAATCTCTATTGTGATGATCATAAATGAGTTTGTGCTGATGTCTCTAACACTAATTCAATGCAACAGATTTCATTACAGTTTTCTGCCTTTGCTTATTTGTAACTTCTTTGTCCAATAGTGAGAAACTTGATTTTCATTTCTGTAATATATTTACTTATTTGTTCAACCCTAGTGTATATATAAAATAGTTTCAAAATCTAACAGTATCCCTATAGGAAACAAATTTACTAATGAAGACACAATGTTTGTGTAGTTCTCTTTGTCTTTTACCTTACAGCATTTAGGCAAAACACTGCTTTTGAAAGTCAGAATGCGTTAGGTCAAAAGCATTATTTTAGAAGTTGAAACCTAAATTTAAAATATACTTATTCTATGTGCAGGCAATGTCATTTTTAGGATTTTATATACTCTTTCAAATGTGTAAAAATATATGTGCAAGAATGTTTGCGGCAGCATGATTCGTAACAGTGAAAAATGGAGAAATACTAAAATGTCAGTTAGAAGGGATCACATTAAATACATTGTGGCACATAAATATTATGACACATGCATGCAATAAAATGCTATATAGCCAATGAAAATAAATAAAATCATTTTATTTGTAATGCTTTGGAAATTAACAAAAAATAAAAAACACATTTATTATAGTATGATTTATTTGGTGTAGAAGAATGCAATATACATATACTTACTGATGAGGAGTGGAGCTGGAGTTGGGGGAGGTGTCTGAGGAGGACTGAAAGACTAATTTTTATTCTCTGTTCTACTCTGTGCTATATGATTTTTTCTTATCTGAATATACATTACTTTTATAAAAGAAAACATTTAAAAGTGAAAAAAAAAAACTTGAAGAGAGAGGCATAAATGGGTACATGGAGGAGGTTTAATAAATAGTAGCTGGTTCCATTTCTGATCTGGTGGAATGAGCTCCTGATAAACTTGTAATCCTACAAATAATAATAAATTCTGGAAAAAATACAAAAAAGCAATGGCTTGAAGCCTCTGCAGAGTGAGAAAAATCAGGGAGAATTTGGAAGGGAGTTGAGACTTGGAAAAAAGGACTGGCACATGGTGAATTTTCTATTCTAATGGCTTCAGGCTGAAAACTGCTTGCTATGGCATTGTATGGAGTGACTAAAACCCTGATAGAAAATCTATCACCTTTCTGGCCTGAAATGTTCGAGGACAGAGCCTGGGGTGGCCACAGCCACTGGAACATGTAAGGATAATCCCAAAAAGAGGAGAGCCAGAAAGAGCAACTCTTAAGTTCTGTGCATGCACTCAGATATCCAAACTGAGGGACATTGGTTAACCCTTGTACCGTACATGTGCTTGCAGGTAAGGCTAACAGAACTGAACTGAGATTTGAATTGCTATCTACTTAAGGCAATTCAACTGAACTTTGAGTCTATCAAGTTAATTGTCTTCTAAAACAATAACATTAGCATTCTTTGGAAGAATATAATAGAGTTTAGAATCTCCATGATATAAAATTCACAGTCTATGGTGCAGTCCAAAATAACCTGACATTCAAAGAACCAGAAAAATATGACTTTTCCTAAGTGAAAAGACAATCAATGGAGGTCAATTGTAAGACACCCTGCTAGAATGATCACATAAGAACTTTGAAGCCACTATTATATGCATGCTCAATGAGGTAATGGAAAATGTATTCATGTGATTGAAAAGATAGGAAAACTCAACAGAGAAATATAAACAAGAGCCATATGAATTTTCTAGAGCTGAAAAGTAGCATATTTGAACTAAAAAATTTGTAGAGTTCATAGCAGTGTGGACCTAATAGCAGAATGGAGATGTCCCCCACCCCCCACCCCCCAAAAAGAATCAGGGAAGGTACATCAATGAAAATTATCTAATCTGAAGAAGAAAGAGAAAAAAATGTTAAAAAAATGAACAAAGCTTCCAGGAGCTGTGGAACATATGTATGTGTACTTAGAGTCTCAGATGGGGAGGAGAGAAAGAATGGGGTAGAAAAAATATTTGAAGAAATAGTGGATGAAAATTTTCCAAATCTGGTGAAAGGTATAAATGTATAGATTCAAAAAATGTGGTAAACCTCAAGTAGGATAAATGCTAAGAAAACCACATCTAGGTACATTAGAGTGAAACCATTGAAAATCAAAGATAAAGAGAAAATTTGGAAGCATCCAGAGAAAACAACACATGACATTCTGGGGAACAATAATTTTAACATCCACAGATTTCTCATGAGAAAACATGGAGGCCAGAAAATAGTGGAACACCATCTTTAAAGTTCTGAAAGAAGAAGAGAAAAAAACCTGTCAACCCAAAATTCTGTACCCAGCAAACATATTCTTCAAAAAAAAAAAAAAAGAAAACAAATAGACATTTATTTATTTACTTTTTACATTTCCAACAGACCTGCACTGGAAGAAAAGCAAAGGACATTCTTTAAGCTGAAAAGAAATTATATAAGAGAGAAACTTGGACCTCTAGGAAAGAATAAGGAACATCAGTAATGGTAAATATCTGGGTAAATATATACGATTATTATTATTATTATTATTTTTATTTGAGACAGGGTTTCTCTTCTGTGCCCAGGCTGGAGTGCAGTGGGACACTCTTGGCTCACTACAACCTCCACTTCCCAGGCTTAAGTGGTCCTCCTGCTTCAGCTTCCTGAGTAGCTTGGACTACAGGTGTGTGCCACCACACCTGGCAAATTGTTGTATTTTTAGTAGAGGCGGGGTTTTGCCATGTTGGTCAGGCTGCTCTCAAACTGCTGACCTCAAGTGATCTGCCTGTCTCAGCCTCCCAAAGTGCTGGGATTACAGGCGTGAGCCACTGTACCTGGCCATAAGATTATTTTTTAATTTCAATTTCCTTAAAATACATATGACTATTTTGGCTAGGCACAGTGGCTCACACCTGTAATCCCAGCACTTTGGGAGGCTGAGGCAGGTGGATTGCTTGAGCCCAGGAGTTTGAGACCAGCCTGGGCAACATGGTGAAACCTCATCTCTACAAAAAATACAAATATTAACCAGTTGTGGTGGCACATGCCTGTGGACCCAGCAACTCAGGAGGCCGAGGTGGGAGGATCACCTGAGCCTGGGAGGTTGAGGCTGCAGTGAGCTTTGATCATGCCACTGCATTCCAGCCTGGGTGACAGAATGAGACCCTGTCACAAATACATACGTACATATATACATACATAAGACTATTTTAAAAAGAAAGCATAGTGTTTCTTGCAGGCTACAGTATATGTGGATGTAATATAAATGGCAGTTACAGCATAGGGAGTGCTGTGAGTGGGGTGGGGTGGGTGAGGGATAAATGTAACTGTACAGTTGTAAAGCATCCAAATTTTATGGGAAGGGACACAATATCAACTCTGTGAGATATTAAGGATGCACACTGTAATCCCTAGTGTAACCTCTAAAAAATAATGCAAATAGTTCTAGCTAAGAAGCCAATAGCTATATTAAAACGTAATTCTAGAATATACTGCAATAGTCCAAAGATGGAAGGAAAGGAGGAACAGGGGAACAAAAACTGAGAAGGCATAAACAGAAGATAGGTAATGAAATGATAGACTTAGCTCCAATCCTATCAACAATTAAATTAAATATTAATGGACTAAGCACCCTAATTAATAAATAGTAATTCACATTATTATTATCATCACTACCACTATAGACTGTAGAAGAGTGTGGTCATCTTCTGTTCTGGTCCATCTTTTAGAATATCACTCAGCCCATGAGCATCTAAGGTTTGGCTTTGAGTTATCCGTTGCTTTTGGAATAACCTTACTTGTCTCCCCAGCAAGCAGGCAGGGTGCCCCTGAAAAGGCCATCTCTCTGCCCTTTCTGTCCCTGCTGAGTGCCTAGGCTAAGCTCATCTTGGATGCTTAGAGCAGCACAGATGCAGAGCAGCACAGAATCAGCACCAGAGAAGATACTAGGACTATTGAATCTATCTTGAAAAATGCCTGAGTTTCTCTTGATAGAAATCTGTCAACCAAGATTAGTCTCTAAGCAGAACTTTTTTTTTTTGAGATGGAATTTTGCTCTTGATGCCCAGGCTGGAGGGCAGTGGCGTGATCTCAGCTCACTGCAACCTCTGCCTCCCAGGTTCAAGTGATTCTCCTGCCTCAGCCTCCCGAATAGCTGGGATTACAGGCACCTGCCACCATGCCTGACTAATTGTTTTTTTTTTTGTATTTTTAGTAGAAATGGGGTTTCACCATTTTAGCCAGGCTAGTCTCGAACTCCTGACCTCAGGTGATCTGCCTTGCCTTAGCCTCCCAAAGCGTTGGGATTACAGGCATGAGCCAATGCACCTGGCTCTAAGCAGAATTTTAAAGATAATTAGCATGCACATAATATGTTTTGAAATTCTGTACAAAAAGATTTGCAGTAAAAAATCTGCCTCCCTCCTATCCTGTATCCTTGAATCAATTTGAAATAAGTTTTTAATGTGTTTAGCCTGAACTACCTCTTGCAGGGGTGGGGCTGGGGGGCCTAGAGACACTAGCAGCAGGAGCAGTTGGGTTTTACATTTTCTACTCAAGCAGATGTCTGCCTCATGTTCTTTTTTTAGCATTTGAAACCGACTTCCTGGAATCTATGTCCTCACTATGGCAAGCGATAGTATTCCAGAAAGCTTGTTTTTATGGAAAAAAATGTAGCTAAGCATGGTGGACTGGTCTTGCCAGCTTCATAAAATACAGAATTTGCATGAAGGTGAAAGTCCTTTGTAACTAGGAGTTGAAGAGGTGTGGGTGGGGAGCGTACCCAGAAATAGTCTCTGCCGGTTAAATTTGAGGATTAAAAAAAGGTCATTGGTAAAACACCATTTAATATTGAAATGGTTTGGGATTTTGTTTTTCTGCAAAGGACAGAAGTAGAGTGGAAATGTGAGAAGGTCATGGACTATGAAATCTAACAGGATTGGTTTTCATCCTCATTCTACCACTAATAGCTTTGGCAAGTCACCTCTCTAAGCCTTAGTTCTGCCATCTGTGAAATGATCCTGGAATAAAGTAAATATTCAACAAGTACAGTTTTCTTACCCAACTCTTCCTCTCTGTGTTTTGGTGTTTTCCCATTATCTTACACTGCATAACAAACCATCCCAAAACTTAGTGGATTAAAATAAGCAAAACATTCATTTTTCTCAGTGCAGAGGCAGTTTCTGATATGGCTCCTGGGATTCTCACCCTTGGATAATCCCTTCCTCTGGAGCATGAGATAGATGTCGTGACTTGATTCCAATGAATAGAACATGGCAACAGAGATGGGATGTTGCTTCCGTGATTAGGTTATAAAAGACTGAAACTTTAGTGTTGCTACCATTTTCACTCTACTGCCTTCTTGGCTTGTGTGAAGTAAGCCATTGCGTTGGGGAGACCCATGTGACAAAGAGCTGCAAGCCATAATTCCGCAGGCCTCAAGGAAATGAACCCTGCCAGCAACCACCTGAGTGAGCTTGGAAGCATTGCCTTCCCACCTTGAGGCAATGAAAGCTCCAGCTGACATCTTGATTACCACCTGTGAAGGACGCTGACACAGAGGACCCAGCTGAGCCGTGCCCACAGTCCTGAAACACTAGGTTAGCAAAGAGGCTGTGAGAAAAATGTCTCGAGCCAGTTGGTTATGGGGTAACTTGTTATGCAGCAATATGTAACTAACTCATCAGGAATCCACAGTTGGGGAAGGGCCTGGCAGGGATAACGCGGCTCTGTTCCACTTGTCAGCTGGGGTGGGCATAGAGGCTGGGGACTGAAGTCACATGAAGGCTCTTGCACTCTCTCAGTCACATGCCTGGAATTAATGTCAGCCGTGGCATGAGACTTTAGCTGGGGAACTTGTTGGAACACACGTGCATGGCCTCTCCATGAGGCCTGGGCTTCCTCATAGCAAGGAGGCTGGGTCCCAAGAGGAGGGAGGGAGAGAGAGAGAGAGAGAGAGAGAGAAAACCAGATAGAAGCTGTATCACTTTTTCTAACCTCACATCAGAAACCATGGCATCAGGTCCACTAGATTTTATTCCTTAGAAGAAATCCCCGAGGAGGCTGAGCAGGATACTCAAGGGGAAGGGAATTAGACTCCACCTTTCGTAAGAGGGTTGTCCGATAATCAGGAAATCCATGTGGGATCAGAAACGTTGCTGCGGTGGTTTTTGGAAAATGGCATCTGCCGCTCTTGGGAAATGCAGTCCCTCTGCTTCCATCAGGTGTCTTCTTCTTGTTATTTTTTGCCTTAACTTTAGTTGACCCTCTTTAGGGGATAGGGTACTTAGGTAAGACAATATTTCAGAAAAGTCTTCTTCCTAAACCATTCCACTTCCCAGGGAATCAATATGGCCATAGGCTCTAAATGCCTTAGGAATAAGACTTTCCCCCTTTTATTTTCTTTGAAGACAAAATCTAAGTGTTGTGCACAATATACTTGGGTAACTCATAGTTTTAATTTTTTATTTTATTTTTTGAGACAGGGTCTTGCTCGTCACTCAGGTTGGGAGTGCAGTGATGCAAGCCCTCCTGGGCTCAAGTGATCCTCCCAAATAGCCGGGACCACAGGCATGTGCCACCATGCCTGGCTAATTTTTTGATTTTTTGTAGAGAGGGGGTCTTGCTATGTTGCCCAGGCTGGCCTTGAACTCTTGGGCTCAAGTGTTCCTCCCACCTTGGCCACTGCACCTGGCCTAACTCAGTTTTGACCAGGAGGAAGCCCTGAAGCTCAATTGTTGCTCACTGACTCACTGGAAAGCCACTTGCTTGGTGACGTATCAGTTCTCTGCTTGAGCAAATCTGCAAAGACAATGCTTCTGAGAATATCCTGCAATTCTTTTCTTGAGGAGGGAGGGAGAGAGGGAGAAAGAAGAGAGAGAGAGGGAGGAGAGGGAGGCAGAGCAGAGAAGAAATATAAATCCAGATAGACGAGTGGGATTGAAACGTGAAAAGAAGGAAAAGAACGGAAACCGTAAAACACAAGAGACCAATGGCCCAATTCCATCCGAATAAGGAAGTAAGAGATAACACTGTTTTTGTTTTGTTTTGTTAGAGACAGCATCTTGCTGTGTTACCCGGGCTGGAGTGCAGTGGCACAATCATAGCTCACTGCAGTCTTGACCTCTTGGGCTCAAGTAATCCCCCTGCCTCAGCCTCCTGAGTAGCTAGGACTACAGGAGCACACCACCACACCCAGCTGATTTAAAACATTTTTTTTTTTGTAGAGATGAGCTCTTATTGTGTTGCCCAGGCTGATCTCAAAACCCTGGCCTCAAGTGATCCTCCTGTCTTGGCCTCCCAAAGCTCTGCGATTATAGGTGTGCGCCGCTACGTCTGGCTAATACTGTTTTTTAAAAACATCTTTATTGGGATACAATTCACATACCATACAATTCACTCATTTAGATTGTACAATTCCATGGTTTTTAGTGTGTTCACAAGAGTTGTACAATTTTCAGCACAATTAATTTTAGAACATTTTCATCATCCTAAAAAGAAACCCTGTATCCATTAGCGTGGGCACTAGTGTAGTGACCACTCCCCAACTCCCTCCACCCTCCCAGCCCTAGGCAACTGCTAATCTACTTTCTGTCTCTATAGATTTGCCTTTTCTGGACATTTCATATAAATGAAATCATTCTATATGTGGTCTTTAGGCTTCTTTCACTTAGCATAATGTTTTCAAGATTCATTTATGTTGTAGTATATATCAAGACTTCCTTTTTATGGCTGAATGATATTCCATTGCACACATATGCTACATTTTGTTTATCCATTTATCAGTTTATGAACATTTGGGTAGTTTATTTTTTGGCTGTTATGAATGCTGTTGATAGGAACATTAATGTACAGCAGGGGTCCCCAACATTCATCTATAGCAGGGATAGCTGTCCATGGCCTGTTAGGAACCAGGCTGCCCAGCAGGAGGTGAGTGGTGGGTATTGAGTGAAGTTTCATGTGTATTGACAGATGCTCTCCATTGCTTGCATTACCTCCCGAGCTTCACCTCCTGTTAGATCAGCAGAGGCATTAGACTCTCATAGGAGCACAAACCCTATTGTGAACTGCACATGTGAAGGATCTAGGTTACACACTCCTTATAAGAATCTATTGCCTGATGATCTATCATTGTCTCCCATCACCCCCAGATAGGACTGTCTAGTTGCAGGAAAACAGGCTCAGGGCTCCCACTAATTCTACATTATGGTGACTTGTATAATTATTTCACTGTATATTACAATGTAATAATAGTAGAAATAAAGTACACAATAAATGTAATGTGCTTGAATCATCTTGAAATCCCCCTCCCCAGTCTGCGGAAAAATTGTCTTCTATGAAACTGGTCCCTGGTGCTAGAAAGGTTGGGGACCGCTGGTGTACAGGATTTTATGTAAGCATATGTACTTGGGTATATGCTTAAGAGTGGAATGGCTGGGTCATATGGTAACTCTATATTTAACATTTTGAGGAACTGACACATTGTTTTCCAAAGTGGCTACACTCTCACCAACATATACAAAGGTTCCAATTTCCCTACAACCTCACCACATTCTCTGTCTTTTCTATTATAGCCACCCTAGTGGGTGTGAAGTGGTATGTCACTGTGGTTTTGATTTCCATTTCCTTAATAGCTAGTGATGTTGGGCATCCTTTCCTGTGCTCACTGGCCATTTATAGATCTTTTTTGAAGAAATGGCTATTCAGATTCTTTGCCCATTTTTAAATTAGCTTATTTGTCTTTTCATTATGGAGTTGAAAGAGTGCTTTGCATATTCTGGATACAAGCTCCTTATCAGATAATATGATTTGCAAATATTTTAGCTTATTCTGTGGGTATTTTCACTTTCTTGATGGTATTGTTTGTAACACAGAACTTTGTAATTTTAATGCAGTGCATTTCATCTATTTTTTTATTTTGTTGTTTGGGCTTTTGATGTGGTATCTAAAAAGGTTGTGCTTAACTTAAGGTCATGAAAATTTACTCCTATGTATTCTTCTAAGAGTTGGGATTTAAAAAAATGGGCTTACATTTAAGTCTTTGATCCATTATGAGTTAATTTTTGTGTATGGTGTAAAGGAGGGGGTCCAACTTTATTCTCTTGCATGTGGCTATCCGTAATACTGTTTTCTTCATATGATAAAACTTATAAATCAAACTTTTTAACACTGCTTTTTTGAATGAAGCAAGAGGGAGTGGGATCCACTTTCCCGTTAGTACTACCATATTTTAAACATGAGATTTCTATGACTTCTATTCCTTCTTCACTCTCTATTGTGTATAATGTGGACATGGGTGCATTTCTAAAATTAATAATTGTGTAGAGGGGCTTCAGTTCTTTAATTTGTGAAAAAAAAGAGGATTGCACTAGAATAGTGATTCTCAACCATATCTACTTATTAGAATCACCTAGGAGCTTTACAAAACACCCACACCATAATCCCTTGTCTGCATATTTAATTGATCTGGGGTACGGTCTGAGTATAGGTATTTTTCTAAGCATCCCAAGTGATCCTATGGTGCAATCAGGATCATAACTCCTGCTCTGGAAGGTTTCTCTGGGAGCTTTCCACATCTATCATCCTATAGTTGTGTGGTAGTTCTGAATAGCAGGAACCTGACAGAATATGGCACTCAACCCAGGTGAGCCATCTCTAAGCACCCACACTGCAGAGCACTCTATGAGTAGCTGGCATCTATCTTGGGTTTGACAGGGCAGATCTTCGCATCGGTGCCTGACCCCTGCAGTAGCCTTGAGGGGACCTCTGCAATCAGTCCAAACCAATGGCCACTGTTCATGGGGCCCTGTTCCAGCCATACTGGCTTCCCTCAGCCACATCTCTTCTCGCCTACCTCCCAGCCATTGTGAAATGGCTGTTCCCTCTGCCTGAAGCTCTGTTCCTTTCCTTCTTCTCCACTGACTTCCTCCTACCCTCCTCTAGTCTTAACCTAACATCGCTTCCTCAAATAAACCTTTCTTGTCTCCTTTTCTGTTCTTCAGATCCCCTCTTATATACCTCCAGAATGTCATAATGTTATATTCCTTCTTGCCTGTGTCCCAACTGTGAAGAATTATGGGTATATTTATTAGATTGATTTTCCTCACTCACTTGTAAGCCAGTGACCATGTCTGTCTTGGCCACTGTCGTTATTCCTAGTGCTAGAACAGGGCCTGCCATCTAGCGAACAACCAAGGAATACATGAACGACCCTGAAATGTTGAGAAAAGCCTGTTGAGCTCTGTTGAGCGCCTGCTCTTAAAGAAGACAGAGCTGTGTACAACCCATTTAGAAAGAGGTTCAGTCAGGAGAAGTTTAAATGGCAACCATTTAGATGTTTCATGGGAATCTTGGCTTATCCCGAGAATGTCTTCACCAATAACTCCTCATTCTCTGGCTGTGCAAGATTGAGGCAGCATCAGGCTGTGGCTTTGGGAAAAGGAAAGTCACCCTCGTGTATGTTAGGTCATCCCATGTAAGTGTACCACATGGATGGTTTGCCATTTATGAGTGTGAGTTGAGCATGCATCCACTCAATTCACTGGAAATCTGATTGATGGATGATCCTGCAAAGCACTCCAGAATTCCTTGAGTTTAATCATTAATTCACTGGACAAGGCGTCATCCCTATTTGTACCTCCATTTCCTCTGAAAATGGAGACGTTGGACTAGATCGCCAAGTGCCCATATTGGACATCATCTGCACAGAATTACTTCTCCTCAACTCCATCCATCAGGCTGTGTTAGGAACTGTTGTCTCATCCTTATCTCAGCTGACAACTGATAGACCCAGGGGTGAGCACCTTGGCCCAGGTTGGACCCATCTGTCTCTTTCCTGGACTTCAGGGTGGGGACTAAGAGAGAAGTCCACCTTATTCACATTTTTTCCCACATGTCCTGGAGAAGGCAGTCTAAAGACAGAGAAAGACTGAAGGAATGGAGCCGTGTAGAGTATGAATGATGCAGGGAGAGTGGACCCCAATTCCAGTTGTTTCTGAACCCCAGCTCATCCTTGCACTTAGATTGTTTTTGTTTTGTTTGTTTGTTTGTTTTTTGTTTTGAGATAGAGTCTTTCTCTGTCTTGCCCAGGCTGGATGCAGTGGTGGGATCTCAGCTCACTGTGCAACCTCCACCTCCTGGGTTGAAGTGATTATCCTGCCTCAGTCTCCCAAGTAGCTGGGATTACAGGCGCCTGCCACTGTGCCTGGCTAATTTTTTGTATTTTTAGTAGAGACAGGGCCAGGCTGGTCTCTACTAAAGACCATTGTCCAGGCTGGTCTTGAACTCCCGACCTCAGGTGATCCACCACCTTGGCCTCCCAAAGTGACTGCACTTAGTTTCTTATAAACAATTTTCACTTGTGGTGAAGCTAGTTTGAGTTGGGGTTCTGTTACTTACAGTGAAAATATGAGCCTTTGTGCCTTCATATTTGGAGACCGGAGTATTTATGATCAATATTTAAAACAAGACCTAGTTCCTACCTTTATCAGCAGCATTAACCAAACGGTTAGAGACCTAGACAGGCTGACAGCCCCATCGTCCTCTGTATTGGCAGAACCACTCTTGGGTCTTTGGGTCCATTTCCAAGAGATACAGTGCAAGATAATAAAATGAGGAGGGTGGGAGCCTGGGAGGGGTTTGGGAACAGAGATCTAACTCTAAGAAGCTCTTTGCCAGGACAAATGAGGGCAAGACATTGTTTTCCTTTTCACTGCTGTGTCTCTTAAGCCTCAGACAGGGCCTTGAATAGTGCCTGGCACATGGGAGATGCACATAAAGCATTTATGGAATGAGTGTAATGTGGGAGTGCTCACTTCTCCGGTGTTCTAGAATAGAGGGCTTCCACGTTTGTGAGAAGTATTGGTGGCTAGGGGGAGTGGGGAGAATGGAAGATGTGGATCGCAATGAAACTGAGGTTTGATGGCAGGAAGATACCCTAGGGCGGGGGTGGTGTGGAAGTGGCCCATGTTCTGTGTTGCTGCCTCCAGCTCGTGCCTGCTGGCCTCTGTGCCATTGTTTATGTCATCTCACCTACCAACCTTGGGGACCCCATTTCCTCAAGTCCCATCCCTCTGTGATGACTTTACTGACCACCCCAGCTGGAAGAGCTCCTTTCCTCAGTGCAGCTCACCTGGCAGTTATTTACATAGTGTCTGGCTTGACAGCTCAGTTGGGAGCTCTTGAAGGACAAGGACGTGATCGTCATCAGCACACCCCTAACCCTCCTAGAACCTGCCCCACAGCAGCATTCAGGGCACAACAGCTGATGAGCCCAGGCCTGGACCAGGCTGGCTGACATGGAAGGTTCAGGGAGAATGTGGGCAAGGTGACTGAGACCTCTGTTTCTACTGGTCCTCCTTCACTTCTGTCAGTCCATGATTCTCTCAGCATTTCATTTGTGCCCTTTTATTTCTTCTCCTGGACTGTTAGTTTACAGTCTTGTTAGGGGTAATTCCGCTACCCCAGAAATCAATGCCTTGTGACCTGTTGTGCAAAGTGCATGGGCTCCCCGAGACCTTCAGAGCAGCCCACAGGGCGCAGAGAAGGGGGCAGTCTCTCCTGCGTCCTAAGTCCTGCCTCCCCCTGCTCCCTCCCTCTCCAATGCCACCCTCTCTCCCTGATTCCTTTTGGGTAAAAGAGCATTAGTTATTGATTTTTTTTTTTTTTTTTTTTTTTAATGACAGGGTCTCACCCTGTCGCCCAGGCTGGAGTGCAGTGGTGCAATCTTGGCTCATTGCAGCCTCTGCCTCCTGGGTTCAAGCAATTCTCCTGCCTCAGCCTCCCGAGGTGCTGGAAGTACAAGCACACGCCACCATGCCTATCTAATGTTTGTATTTTTAGTAGAGATGTGGTTGGCCAGGCTGGTTTCGAACTCCTGACCTTAAGTGATCCTCCTGCCTTGGCCTAACCAAAGTGATGGGATTACAGGCATGAGCCACTGCCCCCGGCATGATTTTTTTTTTTTTAATTCCAGGTTTGAGGCTCCTAGACAATCAGTCAGTTCATAATCCTCCAAGTCGCGAAGTACCCACTCCCACCAACTTTTATAAACCCCTGTCTTCGAACAAGATGACCTTGGCTTTCTTTCAGCCTCCTTTGCTGAAGCCGTTGACTGGTATCACCAGGATAAACACAGGCGTGGGCTGACCACAGGGAGCAGAGGTGCTGGGCCTGATTTAGCCTCTAGGCCTTGAGGGGGTAGCTGATGGGGCAAGCTTCCTGGGCGGGATTACAAGAAATCCTAGGGCATCCTTGGGCGGTGTGTCTGGGGGGTCCAAGGGTGTTCTGAATCTGTGTGACCATAGTGAGCGGCTGTGCCGAGGCATTCTTCCAGGGAGAGGGTCAGTAGTTTTCATCGGTTTCTCAAAGGAGCCTGTGACTTTCAAAACTTTAAGGAGGCTGGCGTGGATGATCTCCCTCGAGGTCCTTCCTGCTTCAGCCTCTGCACTTAGGAGTTAAGAGCTTTGTTAGGAGCCACGGAGTGGAGACACAGGCAGTGGCTGATTCCTGGGCGCCGCCTTCTGGTGGTGGGGTGCATAGCACCTTTGGGCAATTGGAAAACCCCTGGGCCGACTTCCTGTCTGGACAAGCCCTAGGAAAGGCTCTGGGAGGAGTTTTTGGAATCTGGGTGCAGCTGCCTTCCCTCCCAAGAGATGGAGAATGGTTCTGGTCCAAATATGGAAGGGAAACCCTGGCAGGTCACATTCCTTCTCCTCGTTCACTCTGCACTTGGCTTCTGAGCCCCCTCAGGAGGCTGCATGGGAGTTGAGAGTCAGGAACCATGTTAGCCCTGGTCTGGTCTGGGTAGAGGGTGTGGCAAGAGTGGCCTTGGTTTGGGAGGGAGGAAGTTTTGCCTTAACTAGGGGTAGAAGACCTAAGGAACCCTGGCCAGAATAAAGGCAGAGCTTTGTACATCTCAGAAGGCTTCCCTCAAATCAACGCCTTCACCCTACTTCCATCGGGAGAGGCAGGTCCTGTCTGAGTCCAATTCACAGATAAGGACAGTGAGGCCCATGTAGGTGATGTGATTTGCCTAAGCCTACACAGCTAGACGGATTTGGATCCAGTCTTTCCACTGGAAGTCCCACTGAAGATAAACACTCCCACCTTCCCCAGCCTCCTTGCCTCCTCCCCTGACACCCCCGCTTGGGCTGCCTGGGGTCAAGAACCTGCATTTAGCTCAGCATGCTTCTGGTGGGTGGAGTCCAGGGGGAAGGGTGAGAGTCCTGCTTTCTAGTTCCTTCCACCCTCCATGTGCAGTGGACCCATAGGACCAGACCAACTGCCTTGGGCCTGGGGCAGAGCAGGGCAGGAAGCTGAGGCCGCCTCCTCAACAGGGGTGCTCCCTGTACCATCCTCCCTGAGGTTGGAAGGCAGCTGCTTTGGGATAACAAAAAGGAAGGCCCCAGTTCCCACATCAGAGTGTAAAGCAATGGGGCTCAGCATCCCACTGGGTGTTGGAGGCTGAATATGCAATAGAAGCCACGGAAGGTTTGACCATCAAGTGATGGGTCCATGACATGTTACTGAATGTAAGTCAGGTTGAAGCTGGGAGGATGGTATTACAGAGCCCTTTGTCTTCCCAGCTTAGTTGCCACTTCCTCTGGCAAGCATCCCTAATGGCCACTCTGAGTTTGGGAACCTTCCCCCGTCTTCCTCCCTGGTACGTGGAACTCACATGCTCATTGCATTTGACACTCTCCATTGTATTTTCCCATTTGCTTGTCGGTAGCCCTCTTAGGCTCTGGGCATCTAAAGGTAAGACCCCGTTTGTCACATTTCACTATGGTAACATCACATTTCACTATGGTAACCCAAGCATTTAGCCCACAGCCTGGCACATGATAGGTGCTTACAAAAATGTGTTGAATGAGAAACAGATCCTATCACATAGTATCCTGGTCAGAAATAGAATTGTTGGGAAATTTCTTACCTGGACAAGAATTCTGAGATGTTCAGAGGAGGACAGACAGCTACCAGGTTCCCCAGAAAGACACAAAGGAGCAAGGATTCCTTGGTTCTGCCTCGAGTCCCAGCATGAGTGGGTCTCCTGGCTGCAGTGTTCATGAGTTCTGTGTCTTGGTCGAGCTGTCTCAGTGGAGACTTGACTGTGCAGGATGCTGTGAGTTTGTGTGAAGTTCATGGCAATCCTGGGGGGAAAGGCCTTTCTTTTCGTGGCTCCATTCATTGTACTTTTTCTCTGGGTCAAAAAAGGGATATACTATCAGGCTTTCAGTAAATTTTAAAGAGTTATTGAATTTTGAATACATTTTAAAGAACATTATACACATGCGCATATAAAAGATATAAAGAAAAAATAAAATGAATATACATCTACTGTGCATCAAGCTTAAGAAATTGTTTTTATATATATTGTATGTTATTATTATTTAGTTCAAAATAATTACTAAATTTCCATTGTAATAACCTTGAAAACTCCCATGTTATCTCTTCCAAATCCCTTTGCCACCTCCGGAGGCTCCAGCCTCCTACATTTTATGTTTATTGTGTCCTTTTATTAAATAACCTATGACATGTGTATCTGTCAAAAACAATATGTTATTTAGTTTTGAATGTTTTTGAAATGTATTTAGGTCGCATCATATTGTATACATTCTTCTGTGACTGATTTGATCCATTCTGGTAAGTGTAGCTATGTTTCAGTTGTTTTCACTGCTGGTCAATATTCTATTTTATGACCAAATCACAGTATATTTATCTATACTTCTTTCTTTAGAATAATATTTTGATGGTATATGTATTTTCCATTCTTTTGCTTTCAGACTTTCTGTGTTTCTGTGTTTTAGGAATGCCTCTTGTAGGTAGCTTGTAGCTGGATTATTAAGAATTCAGTTGTACAAACTTTATCTTTTAACTGGAAAGTTAATCCATTTTGTTTACGGTTTTAATGATAAATTTGGATTTACTAATATTATCTTATTTTGCATTTTCTACTTGTCCAAGTTTCTTCATTTCCTTTTTTTTTCTTTTTGAAACAGGTTCTTGCCCAGGCTGGAGTGTAGTGGCATGATCATGGCTTACCACAGCCTCGACCTCCTGGGCGCAAGCGATCCTTCCACTTCAGCTTCTCAAGTAGCTAGGACTACAGGAGTGTGTCACCATGCCTGGCTAATTTTTGCATTTTTTGTAGAGATGGGGTTTCGTCATGTTGCCCAGGCAGGTTTGGAACTCCTGAGCTCAAGTGATCCTCTTGCCTTGACCTCCCAAAGTGCTGAGATTACAGATGTGAGCCAATGCACCTGGCCCTTCACTTCATTTTTTTTCCCCTTTCTTATTTTCATTTGTACTGCAGACTCTCATTCTTACTGGCCCCCACTGGGGTTATACATCTTAGTTCTGTCGTTTTAGTGGTTACCCTAGAAACTTTAACAAGCATAGTTAATCTAATAAAGTAAAAAGCTAATCAGCATTTTACACTGTGCAGTTTCTGTAGATTTAACCTTGGTTACCCGCTGTTTGACTTGGTGTGTCAGGCAAACCCCAGTGATCCACATTTTTGTACCATCCCCTTCCCTTGAGTATGAGTGGAAACTGTGACTTGCCTCTAAGCAATAGGATATGGCAAAGATGGTGGCATGTCACTCCCATGGTTGTGTTTCTTTATATAGCACTCTGTCTTAGACTGAAGAGAAAGATTTTCCCCCTAGTCTTTGTTTTTTTAAATAAATTTTATTGTGTACATTTGAGGTTTAAGACATGTTATGGGATACACATAGATAGTAAAGTGGTTACTATAGTGAAGCAGACTAATTTATCTATCATCTCACGTAGTTACTTTTGGAGGGAGGGCCTGCTAGTCTTAAAGAACCAAAAAATTATGTATGAATGTCTATGGAGAGGGCCATGTGGCAGGGAATGGAAGGCAATCTGTAAATGATGAGAAAAAATGGGGACCTCAGCCCTATAGATGTAAGAAGATCAATTCTGTCGACAATTGTGTGGGAACCTGGAAGCAGAGTTTCCCCAGTCAAGCAGCTGATGACACTGTAGTCCTGCCGGCACCTGATTGCATGCAGCCTTATGAGACCTGAGCAGAGGACCTGGTTAAGCTGTGCCCAGATTCCTGATCCATGAAAACTGTGAGATAATAAATGTGTGTAAGTTAACCATTCTTATGAAGAACATTTAGGTTGTTTCTAGTTTTTGGCTAATTTAAATAAACCTGCTGTGAACATTCACGTACATGCTTTTGTATAACCATAAGTCTTCATTTCTCTGTAAAAAAGCCCAGGAGTGGAATTAATGGGTTGTATAGTAGTTGCATGTTTAGTTTTTTTGTTTTGTTTTGTTTTGTTTGAGATGGAGACTTGCTCTGTTGCCCAGTCTGGAGTGCAGTGGTGCAATCTCGGCTCACTGCAACCTCTGCCTCCTGGGTTCAAGCGATTCTCCTGCCTCAGCCTCCTGAGTAGCTGGGATTACAGGCACGTGTCACCATGCCTGGCTAATTTTTTGTATTTTTAATAGAGACAGGGTTTCACCATGTTGGCCAGGATGGTCTCGAACTCGTGACCTCAGGTGATCCGCCCAACTTGGCCTCCAAAAGTGCTAGGATTACAGGTGTGAGCCACTGTGCTCTGCCACATGTTTAGGTTTTTTTTTTTTTTTTTTTTTTTTTTGAGACGGAGTCTTGCTCTGTCGCCCAGGCTGGAGTGCAGTGGTGTGATCTTGGCTCGCTGCAACCTCTGCCTCCTGGGTTCATGCCATTCTCCTGCCTCAGTCTCCCAAGTAGCTGGGACTACAGGCGCCCACCACCACACCCGGCTAATTTTTTGTATTTTTAGTAGAGATGGGGTTTCACTGTGTTAGCCAGGATGGTCTCTATCTCCTGACCTTGTGATCTGCCCGCCTCGGCCTCCCAGAGTGCTGGGATTACAGGTGTGAGCCACCGCGCCCGGCCCGCATGTTTAGTTTTTAAGGAAACCACAAGCTGTCTTCCAGAGTGCCTGTGCCGTTATGTATTTCCACTAGCAATGTATGAGTGATTCAGTTTCTTTGCAGCCATCAGCATTTCGTGTTGTCACTATTCTTTAGCCATTCTGATAGGTATGTGTTGATAACTCATTGTAGTTTTAATTTGCATTTCCCTTATGGCTAATGATGTTGAACATCTTTTTGTGTGTTTATTTGCCATCATATATCCTCTTCAGTGAAATTTCCTTCATGTCTTTTGCCCATTTCTAATAAGATTGTTTTTGTTTTTAATGTTGAGTTTTGAGTTTTTTGCATGTCTTGTTGGATATATGGTTTGCAAATTTTTTTTTCAGCCTGTGGCTTGTCTTTTCAGCATCTTAACAGTCTTGCACATAGCGAAAGTTTTAGTTTTGTTGAGGCTGATGCTATGGTTTGAGCTTGTCGCCACCAAAACTCATGTTGAAATTTGATCTTCAGTGAGGTGGTGTTGGGAGGTGGGGCCTAGTGGGAGGTGTTTGGGTCATGGGGGCAGATCACTCATGCATGGCTTGGTGCAGTTCTTGCTGTAGTGAGTGGAGTCTTTGCTCTGGCCAGACTGTATTGGTTTTCACAGGAATGGGTTAGTTCCCATGACAGTGTGTTGTTAAAAGCCAGGGTGCCTCTGTGGATTTTGCCTCTTTGCATGCATCTGCTTTCCCTTTTATGTTCTCAACCATGTTATGACAGTGAGAAAGTCCTCACCAGAAGCCAGGGACATGCCCTAGAACTTCCCAGCCTACAGAACTGAGCTAAATAAGCCTTTTCTTTATAAATTACTCAGTCTCAGGTATTCTGTTATGGTAATACAAAATGAACTAAGACAGTCAATGTATCAATGTCCTTCTTTTCTTAATTGTGCTTTTGATGTCATGTCTAGGAACTCTTCTCCTAGTTCTAGGTCCTGAAGATTTTCTCCAGTCTTTTCTCTTCTTTTCTTTTCCTTTTCTTTCTTTCCTCCTTCCTTCCTTCCTTCCTTCCTTCCTTCCTTTCTTTCTTTCTTTCTCCTTCCTTCCTTCCTTCCTTCCTTCCTTCCTTCCTTCCTTCCTTCCTTCCTTCCTTCCCCTGTTCCCTTCCTTCCCTTCCTTCCTTTTATTTTATTTTTTTTCATTTTTGAGACGGAGTCTCACTCTGTCACCCAGGCTAGAGTGCGGTGGTACGATCTTGGCTCACTGCAACCTCTGCCTCCTGGGTTGAAGTGATTCTCCTGCCTCAGCCTCCTGAGCAGCTGATATTACAGGTGCCTGCCACCACACCCAGCTGATTTTTGTATTTTTAGTAGAGATGGAGTTTTGCCATGTTGGCCATGCTGGTCTTGAACCCCCGATCTCAAGTGATCTGCTTGACTCGGCCTCCCAAATCCAATGTTCTCTTATAAAAGTTTTAAGTTTTATATTTTACACGTAAGTCCATGATCCATTTTGGGTTAATTTTTGTATAAAGTTTAAGGTTTAGATTGAGGTTCTTTTGTTTTGTTTTTTCACTGCCTATCAATGTCCAGTTAGTTGTTCCAGCACTATTTGCTGAAAGATCACCCTTCTTCTGTTGAATTGCTTTGGTACGCTTGTTAAAAATCAGTTGAGCTGGGCTTGGTTGCAGGTGCTTATAGTCCCAGGTACTCAGGAGGCTGAGTCCTAGGCTATAGTGCATTATGCCAACCAGGTGTCTGCACTAAGTTTGGTATCCAAATGGTGACCTCCCAGGAGTGGGGGACTACCTCAGAAATGGAGCAGGTCAAAACTTCTGTGCTGATCAGTAGTGGGATCTTGCCTGTGGATAGCCACTACACTCCAGCTGGGGCAACACAGCAAGACCCTATTTCTTAAAAAACTCAATTGGGCATATTTGTAAGGGGCTATTTCTGGGTTATCTATGCATTCCATTCATCTGTGTATCCATCTCTCTACAAATACCACAGTCTTAATTACTGTAGGAATATAATAAGTCTTACATTGATGTCTTAGTCAATTCAGGTTGCTATAACAAAATGCCTTAGACTGGGTAATTTTTAAACAACAGAAATCTATTTCTTATAGTTCTGGAGTTTGGGAAAGTCAAGATCAAGGCACAAGCAGATTCAGTGTCTGCTGAGGGCCTGTTCCTCACAGATGTTGTCTTCTTGCTGTATTTTACATGGTGGAAGTGGTGAATGAGCTCCCTCAGGCCTCTTGTAAGGGCACTAATTCCATTCATGAGGGCTCTGCCCTCATGACCCAATTACCTCCCAATGACTTAACTACCTCTTAGTACCATCACCTTGGGGGTTAAGATTGCAATGAATCAATTTTGAGGGGACATACAAATTCACATCATAGCAACTGGATAGAGTGATTTCTCTCACTTTATTCTTCTTTTAAAACATTGATTTAGCAGGAGGTTGAGACCAGCCTGACTAACATGGTGAAACTCTGTCTCTACTAAAAATACAAAATTTGCTGGGCGTGATGGCGCACGCCTGTAATCCAGTTACTCAGGAGGCTGAGGCAGGAGAATCGCTTGAACCTAGGAGGCAGAGGTTGCAGTGAGCCAAGATTGCACCATTGCACTCCAGTCTGGGCAACAAGAACAAAACTCTGTCTCAAAAAAGAAAAATTGATTTACTATTTTAGGGATTTGCTTTTTCATTTAAAACTTAGAATATATGGAATAAGCTGGCCTAAGTACCAAAAACAAAGAAAAACACCTAACGGTTTTAAAAACCTCTATCTGAGATTGTGATAGAAATTGCAGTAAACTGCTAGATGAATTTGGGAAGAACTGAGATTTTCCTATGTTGCATCTTCTAGTTTATGAATACTTTATGTCTATTTATGTAGATTTCCTTTGATTATTAGATCTCCTTTCATTAGCATTTTGTAATTTTCAGCACACTAATCCTATATTATGTTTTGTTATATTTATACCTAAATATTTTATTTCCTTTGGAGCAATTGTGAGTATGTGATTATTATATGTTAGTATTGTGATTGATTTTAGTGTGTTGATCTTATATCCAGCAACCATGCTGAACTCTCTTATTGATCTTAAAAGCATTTTAAAAGATATTCTATTTAGACAGTCATGATATCTGTAACGAGGTACATAGGTACAATATTATTTCTTCTTTTCCAATCTCCTCTCCTCTCCCCTCCCCTCCCCTCCCTCTCCCTCCTTTCCTTCCTTCCTTCCTTCCTTCCTTCCATCTTTCTCTCTCTCCCCCCTCCCTCTTTCTCTCTCTCTTTCCCTCTCCTGCTCCCTCTTTCTCTCTGTCTTTCTTCTTCTGCCATATTGCATGGGCTAGGACTTCCAGTATCAGGTTGAATGTGAGTGGTGGGAGCAGACATCTTTGCCTTGTTCCTAATTTTTAATGAGCAAACCATTTATTCTTTCATCGTTAAGTATGATTTTAGTAGTAACTTTTTAAAAAATAATTTCAACTTTTATTGTAGATTCAGGGGGTACATGTGCAGGTTTGTCACACGGGTACACTGTGTGATGGTGAGGTTTGGGGAATTAATGATCCCATCACCCAGCTAGTGAGCATAGTACCTAATAGGTAGTTTTTCAACCCTTGCTGCCTCCCTTCCTCCTTCCTCTGGTAGTCCGTGGTGTCTATCGTTGCCATCTTTATGTCCATGTATACCCAATATTTAGCTTCCACTTATAAGTGAGAACAGCAGTATTTCTGTTCTTGCATTAATTCACTTAGAATAATGGCCTCCAGCTGCATCCATGTTGCTGCAAAGGACATGATTTCGTTCTTTTTTTTTATGGCTGCATAGTAGCCATGGTGTATTTATACCACATTTTCTTCATCCAATCCACCATTGATGGGCACTTATGTGGATTCCATGTCTTTGCTGTTGTGAATAGTGCTGTAGTAAACATCCGAGTGTGGGTGTCTTTTTGGAAGAAGGATTTCTTTTCCTTTGGAGGTGTACCCAGTAATAGGATTGCTGGGTTGAATGGTAGTACTATTTTCACTTCCTTGAGAAATCTCCAAACTACTTTCCACAGCGGCTGAACTAATTTACATTCTCACCAACAGCATTCTGTTTTCTCTGCAGCCTCATCAGCATCTGTTGTTTGTTGACTTTTTAATAATAGCCATTTGGCCTGGTGTGGGATGGTATCTCATTGTGGTTTTGATTTGCATTTCTCTGATGATTCGTGATGTTGGGAATTTTTTCATGTTCATTGGCCCCTTGTATGTCTTCTTTTGAGAAGCGTCTGCTCATGTCTTTTGCCCACTTTTTAATGGGGTTATTTGGTTTTTGCCTGTTGAATTAAGTGCCTGATAGATTCTGGCTATTAGACCTTTGTTGGATGCATAGGGTTTGCGAATATTATCTCTTATTCTGTAGGTTGTCTGTTTACTCCGTTGATAGTTTCTTGTTTTCTTTTTCCTGTTTTTTTTTGTTTGTTTGGTTTTTGTTTTTTGAGACGGAATCTTGCTCTGTCGCCCAGGCTGGAGTGCAGTGGCGCAATCTTGGCTCACTGCAACCTCCATCTCCAAGGTTCAAGTGATTCTCCCACCTCAGCCTCTTGAGTAGCTGGGATTACAGGCACCCACAATCACATCCGGCTAATGTTTTATATTTTTAGCAGAGACGGGGTTTTACCATGTTGGCCAGGCGGGTCTCGAACTCCTGACCTCAAGTGATCTGCCTGTCTTGGCCTCCGAAAGTGCTGTTGATAGTTTCTTTTGCTGTGCAGAAGTTCTTTAGTTTAATTAGGTTCCACTTAATTTTTGTTTTTGTTGAAATTGCTTTTGAGGACTTAGTTATAAATTCTTTCCCAAGGCTGATGTCCAGAATGGTGTTTCCTAGGTTTTCTTTTAGGATTCTTATAGTTTGAGATTTTACATTTAAATCTTTAATCCATCTTGAGTTAATTTTTGTATATGGTGAAAGGTAGGGGTCTAGTTTTGTTTTTCTGCATATGGCTAGCCAGCTATCCCAGCACCATTTATTGAATAGGGAGCCCTTTTCACATTGCTTATTGTTGTTGACTTCGTTGAAGATCAGATGGCTATAGGTGTGTGGCTTTATTTCTGGATTTCTATTCTGTTTCATTGGTCTATATGTCTGTTTCTGCACCAGTACCATGCTGTTTTGGTTACTGAAGCCTTATTGTATAGTTTGAAGTTGGGTAATGTGATGCCTCCAGCTTTGTTCTTTTTGCTTAGGATTACTTTGGCTATTTGGGCTCTTTTTCAGTTCCATATTAATTTTAAAATAGTTTTTTCTAATTATGTGAAAAATGATGTTGGTAGTTTGGTAGGAATAATGTTGAATATGTAGATTGCTTTGTGTAGTATAGCCATTTTAATGATATTAATTATTCCAATCCATGAGCGTAGAATGTTTTTTTATTTGTTGGTGTCATCTATTATTTCTTTCATCAGTGTTTTGTAGTTCTCTTGTAGAGATCTTTGACTTCCTTGGTTAGAGGTATTTCTAGGGTTTTTTTTTTTTTTTTTGCAGCTATTGAAAATGGGACTGCCTTCTTGATTTGGCTCTCAGCTGGAACATTAATGATATACAGAAATGCTACTGATTTTTGCACATTGGTTTTGTATCCCAAAACTTTACTGAAGTTGTTTATCCGTTCTAGGAGGCTTTTGGTGGAGTCTTCAGGGTTTTCTAGGTATAGAATTATATTGCCAGTGAAGAGACATAGTTTGACTTCTTTTCCTGTTTGGATGCCTTTTATTTCTTTCTCTTGCCTGATTGCTCTGGCTAGGACTTCCAGCGTTAAGTTTTTGTAGATGCTTTTTATTGAAGAAGTTTCATTAATTTCCTAGTTTTCTGAAGTTCTTTTTTTTAAAGTAGGAATGGATGTTGAGTTTTGTCAAATGCTTTTCCTGTGACTATTGAGATGATTAAATGATTTTTCTTTTTCAGTTTGGTGAGTTACATTGATTATTGAATGCTAAGCCAAACTTGCTTTCCTTGTGTAAACCCCACTTGGTTATTATCTTTTAAAATATATATTGCTTGATTTGATTTGCTATTTTTTTGTTTAGAATTTTTATATGTTTCCCTATCTCTGTAGTTTTGTTTTGTTTTCTTGTCTGGTTTTGGTATCAGGGAAATGACTTCATAGAAGAAGTTCAGAAGTATTCTTTCTTCTTTAACTTTCAATTGCCTATAATTAATACTATTTTTTTCTTAAATAAAAATTATTGGTAGAATTCACCAGTGAAATTCTCTGGGTTTGGAGGTTGTTTTTTGGGGGAGAGGGGAGAGTTAAACATATTTAATTCTTTAGTAGATATTCAGGCTATCTATTTATTTTTTAGTGAGCTTTGGGAATTATATCTTTCAAGGAATTTATACATTTCATCTAAGTTGTCAAATTTATTGGCATAAAGTTGCTAATAACATTTCTTTGTTATCCTTTTAATATCTGTAGAATCTATAGTGATGTCACCTCTCTTATTTCTGATAATGTTAATGTATGTCTTCCTTCTTTTTTTCTTGATCAGCTTAGCTAGGCATTTATTAATTTTATTGTTTTTCTCATAGAACCTGCTTTTTGTTTAACTTTCTCTATTTTTTTCTATTTCTGCTCTGATCTCTGTTTTTTATTCTGCTCACTTTGGGCTTACTTTCATCTTCTTTTTCTAGTTTCTTAATGTGAAAGCTGAGATCATTTACTTGAGAGTGCTCTTGTCTTAAATAGGCAGTTAGTGTTATAAATTTCCTTCTAGGTACTGCTTTAGCTGTGTATTCAAACTTTTGATATATATTATTTTCACTTTGATTCAGTTCAAAATACTTTCTAATTTCCTTTTAGATTTCTTCTTTGAACCACATTTATTTAGAAATGGGCTTCTTGTGGATATTTCATAGATAATTCTGTCATTGATTTCTAAATTCTATTGTGGTCAGAGGACATACAACCTATGACTTATATCCTTTGAAATTTATTACGCATGTTTTATGGCCCAGAATATGGTCATGGGCACTTGAAAAAAATGCTTATTCTGCTGTTGTTGGGTGGAATGTTCTATAAATGTCATTTAGGTCAATTTTTTGTGAGGTATTTTTGCTGGGTATAGAATTATAGGTTAACACATTTAAAAAGTATTTTTAAAGTATTGTTGGTACTAGCTTCTCATTTCCGTTGTTTCCAATGAGAAATCTGTTATCCTTTGTTTGTTTATTTATTTTTATTTATTTTATTCTTTTTGAGACAGGGTCTTACTCTGTTTTTCAGGCTGGAATGCAGTGGTGTAATCATGGTTCACTGCAGCTTCAACCTCCCCAGGCTCAGGTTATCCTCCAACCTCAGCCTCCCAAGTAGCTGGAACTATAGGCATGTGCCACCATGCACAGGTAATCTTTGTATTTCTTACAGAGACAGAGCTTCACTGTGTTGCCCAGGCTGGTCTTGAACTCCTGAGTTCAATTGATCCACCCACCTCAGCCTCCCCAAATGCTGGGATAACAGGCATGAGCCGCTGTGCCCAGCTGTTATCCTTTATTTGTTCCTTTGTTCATTTTTCCCCCTTGTCTGCTTTTAAGATTTTCTTTGGCATTAGTTTTAAATAATACTATTATGATGTGCCTTGGTGTGATTTTATTTATATTTCTTGTGCTGCAGCTTTGTGAGATTATTGTTCTGTATGTTTGTGGTTTTCATTAAATTTGAAACAGTTTGGCCATTATGTCTGCAACAATTTTTTTTTCTGCCTTCCTCCCTACTTTGGAAATCCAATTTCATATATATTAGGTTGCTTGAAATTGTCTCATATCTCACTGATTCTCTTATAACTTCTTTTGGATCCTTTTTTTCTGTATATTTCATTTCAGATATTGTCATATTTTCAAGTTTACTCATCCTTTCTTCTGCAAAGTCCAATCTGCCATTAATCCCATTCAGTGCATTTTTCATCTCAGATATTGTATTAAGTTCTAGAAAACCAGATATTGTTTTAATCTCTGGAAATTCAATTTAGCCCTTTTAAAATGTCTTCCATGTCTCTATTAAAGTTTTTGAACATCTGTAATACAGTTGTAATAACTGTTTTAGTGTCCTTGTTTGCTAGTCTTAACATCTGTGGCATTTTGGGGTTAGTTTTAATGTATTGGTTTTTCTTATCTTCAGAGGTTGCATTTTTCTGCTTCTTTGCATGCCTGGTAATCTTTGATTGGATACCACACATGTGAATTTTACATGTTATGTGATGGATAGTTTGCATAAATATTCTTTATTTTGTGATGCAGGTGAACTAGTTGGAAGCAGATTGATTCTTTGGGTCTTGCTTTTAAGATTTGTCAGGCAGGACCAGAACATTTTTTAGTTTAGGTCTAATTATTCCCCACTACTGAGGCAAGGTCCTTCTAAGTGCTCTACCCAAATGTCCCATAAAATATATTTTTCAGTCTAGCTGGTGGAGTCAGGCACTCTTCATCTTAATCCTCTCAGACGTTTCCCCCCAAAACTTGGGTAGTTTCCTCAGATGTATGTATTTATTTGTACTATACTGAATAATCAAAAAGAAACCCTCTACAAACCCTTGGAATTCTTTTTTTCCTTTTTTAGATGGAGTTTTGCTCTGTCGCTCAGGCTGGATTTCAGTGGCATGATCTTGGCTCACTGTAACCTCTGCCTCCTATGTTGAAGCGATTCTCCTGCCTCAGCCTCCCGAGTAGCTGGGATTACAGGTGCCCGCCACCATGCCCGGCTGATTTTTGTATTTTTAGTAGATGGGGTTTTGCCATGTTGGCCAGGCTGGTCTCGAACTCCTGACCTCAGGTAATCCACCTGCTTTGGCCTCCCAAAGTACTGGGATTACAGGCGTGAGCCACTGTGCCCGGCCCGGCATTTTTATATAAGAACCTTTGAACACTTAATGTAGTCTCCTTCTGACATATGTTATCTATTTCATTTCTATTAAGTATAAACATTATTTTTGTTTCATATAATTAATGTTTATGTATGCTATTTTTCATTGCTCTTCATTCCTTCCTGCATTTCTGAGTTTCCACCTGGAATAATTTTTTTTCTGCCTAAAGAACACTTTTCAGTGTTGTCCTTAGTGTTGGTCTGCTTTGATGAGTTTCTCTAGTTTTTATACATTTGAATATATTTTTATTTCACTTTCATTCTTGAAGAATATTTTTGCTGGGTATAGAATTCCAGATCAGCAGTTATTTTCTTTCAGTACTTAGAAATATTTTCCAGTAGTCTCTGGCTTCCAATTTTATTGTTAGGAGGTTTTTAAATGATAGTTTTTCTTTTCCTTTTAGCTGTTTCTTAAATATTTTATTTATTTATTTATTTTACCAATTAACTATGTGGTTTTAATTCTTGCATTGAGTTTGAACAAGTCTCAACCATTTTCCCTTCAGAGATTGCTTCTGTTTCATTCTTTTTTCTCTGGGATTAGAATTGCATGTATGTTCGACTTTCTTATTGTATTCCTTATTTCTCTTACATCCTTATGTGTTTTTCATCTCCTTTGTCTCTCCATAATTCATTTTATTTTTTGACCATTGTTACCTTTTACTAATTATTTTTGTCACCTTTTTCTAATCAGTTGTTAAACTCATTCATTAAATTCCTAATTTGGGTATTTTATCTTTCAGTTCTTGAATTTATAATTTTTCAAATTTTAAATATTACTTTGGTCCTTTTCTGAAATTCTACATTTGTGTCTTCAGTTTATTGGACAATAAAACATGCTGATCTTTTCCCCATGAAAAGTAATGTCTTCTCTACCACATTGCACCTGTACTGTTGATGTTCTGAACATAAAGTTTATTGAACATAAATTCAGTCTTTTACTTTATGTTGTTAATTTCTGCTTATCAGTCTAAAATTTCGAGGTCTTTTGCGGTCTTAACTTGGCCGATGATTTTATGAGGAGGCCAGGAAATCAGCAGAAAGGACTCTAATTCAAAGAACAATCAACTTTATTCTCTTCTGATACAAGATTTTCATGCCTGAAGGCATCTGAAAAATAAGTTTAGCATGGAATCTAGGAATGCCACATCCATGATGGCAAATCTATTAACTGTAAATTCTGCAAATAAAGGAAAGTTTCTGCTATTAAGAAACTTATCATTTAACTTGGAAGACAAAAAGAACACAGATTAAATAATTAGTGGGACATATTAAAAATATGCAGTTAGCAGAACTAATGATGAAGTACAGATCCTGAGCGTAGTTCACTTTCTAGTCTCTAGATGGAGACTCTGAGGACCAGAATAGTTTTGAAAGGCCCCATGTGTGCTGTTACTAGGCATAAGAAGAAGGGTCCCACGATGAATTACTTTCTTAAAACTTTAATTCATTCATTCATCCATTCAGCAAACATTTTTGGACATTATTATATTCCAGGCACTGAATGCTGTACTGGCCCCATTGGAGAACAAGATGGGCTGGACCCCTGCTCTCACGAACCTTACATTCTGGACACTCCTGATTGTGGACCAGAGCGGGAAGCAGAGGAGCATGGCTGGAGGAGGCCTTGCAGAGGAGCAGCCTGAGAGGAGTGATTGGGCCCATGACCCTGATCATTATCTGCCATCTCATCTCCCCAGAACAGCTGGCCCTGTTTTAGGGGTTGAGATCCTGGAGGTTCTGCCGGCCGAGGACACAGTACTCACAGATGGCCTCGCCCTTGCCTTCTGGGTTTCGTGCAGGGATTGGGGTGGGGATCAGAAGCCCACCAGCTCTTTTCTCTGTGATATGAGCCAGATTGTAATGTTGAGATCAGCAACTGTATCTTTTCATCTCTGAATCTCCAAAGCCTGACACATTGTAGGTGCTCAGTAAATGTTTATCACTAAAAGATGTTACCTCGAGAATTACCTGAGGTCCCTACCTTTAAGCACTTTGTGTTATCTCCATTTACAGATGAGGACTTGGTCGTGGTCACAGAGCCTACATTTTCCGCAGAGCCCTACTTCAGTTCTTACCTCTTCCATTACTCTCTCTGTCATAATTCCAATTCATAGTTGGGTTAACCTTTTCCTGAATTCTTTTTTTTTTTTTTTTGAGACAGAGTATCGCTCTGTCACCAGGTTGGAGTGCAGTGGCACGATCTCGGCTCACTGCAGCGTCTGCCTCCCAGGTTCAAGCGATTCTCCTGCCTCAGCCTCCCAAGTAGCTGGGATTACAGGTGCCTGCCACCACGCCTGGCTAATTTTTGTATTTTTAGTAGAGATGGGGTTTCACCATGTTGGCCAGGATGGTCTCTATCTCCTGACCTCGTGATCCGCCCCTCTCGGCCTCCCAAAGTGCTGGGATTACAGGCGTGAGCCACTGCACGTGGCCACCCTTTTCCTGAATTCTTACAAGACTAAGCCTGAATTAATCATTTTATCATTTCAATAATAGCATCCATCTTAATGTCACTTGCCCTCTGCCAAGCACTGTGCTGAATGTTTTAATACTTCAACTCAGTTCTTTACAATATCCCTTTGAGAGAGGCATCTTTATTAATCCATGTTACAAAGAGAAATCTAGGGCTTACAGAAGTTAAATAATGTACCTGGAATAGCACAGCTAGTAAGTGCCACAGCTAGGATTTGAACCCTGGACGGTCTGACTCAGAAGTCTGTACCCACAAGCATCATGCTATACTGCTTCTGTTGCACCGTGTTCGGCTCAGTTCCCCACTGGAAGGCAAGTGCTTTCCGGTGCAGGGAGCACATCTCAAGGTTTTGTTTGTTTGTCTTTGTGATTTTCTGCCCACCTGTAAAGGCCTGGCATAATGCCTTGTGTATGGTTGATAATCAGTAAAGACTTGCTGTGCTGAAATTTCACTTGCGGCGCTGTCAGGCTGCAGGCTGCCACTAGGTGGTGCTACATTCCAGGGAGTGGACAGTGGCGGGCCATTTGATTGGCAAGAGGCAGGGTTCTGATAGCTCTGGACAAGGGGAGAGGAGTGTGGTCTATTCAGAAACGGGAAGGCTGGGGCCGTGGAGGAGGGGGACTTCATACCTCCTGAGAGGATATGGGGGGAGAGAGAATCTACTACCCAACTGGTGCCTAATGTTGCATCCCAGGAAGCACCGCAGTTAGAAAAGTGGGCTGGCCAGAAAACAGAGGGGCCAGAGTGCGTCTGCAGCCCACAGAGGTGGGATGGAAACAAGTCAAGGTCATAGGGCATCAGAAAACCTACCAGGCTGTTGGTAGAGAGGCCCTGGCCTGCCTTTCTGCCCAGGACCATAGGAGGCAAATGGCCAAATCAACATTTTAATTCCACTCCCATTCAGATGTGTGGCTCCCCATCTTCTAGTTGGGCCCTCAGGCCACTATTGTTTTAGGTGCCCAGGGGAGAAATGTGCAGTGACTGATTCTAGACCCTGGCCCTCTGGCCCCTGCTACCTGTCTGTTCTCCTCTTCCACACTCCCCTCTGGCACATTGTAGGTGGAGCCACACTTTGGTGGAGAAAGGAGTTTAGTGCTGTGTACCAGATTGAGATGGAAAGTGTTGAAGGCAGAGTTCAGATATGGATGGGTCTCTGCAGGCTGTCCTAGTCAGGGAGGGCTTCCTGGAGAGGGAGATCCCAGTGGACAGGTGGGGTCTGATCCTGTACCTTTGAGTGTCAGGCCTTGGTGTTTGGCAGTGGTTTAGCTCAGCAGGAAGAGCAGAGGATGTCAGGAGACTTGGGCATTGGCCACAGGCTAGCTGTGGGCAGTGACTGCATCTCAGCCTCAGTTTCCTCTTCTGAAGGGTGACCATATTTATTGTCCACACCAGGATGATATTGTGAGTGAAAGGAATATTAATTGCCCTGGGTCAAAGGCAGAAACTGGGATGCTGTCTGGGAAAACCAGAATATAAGGTCACCCAATTTCTATGTAAAATGAGTTGCCTTCTAAGGACCATCAACTCGAGGTCCTCTGATTTCTGACTCTAAGGGAAGCACACAGTAGGGACACAGAAATGAGGCCAGAAAGTCCTGGTTCTGTCACATTCTAGATGCATGGAAGATTTGAGTGATGCTCACTCATGAATCCATGGATCTATTCATCCAATCCAGCTATCCATCCATGAGTCACACAGGACCAACAACTCTGCGGGAAGCCCCTGGGTCCCAGGCTCTGGAGGGCTGCACAGACACACTGCTGTTCTCAGGGAAGAGCTGAGGCGCCCTTTCACCTGGCAAGGCTCTCTTGTGCTGGAGTTGGGTCCTTCCCTCCCTTCCTTGTCCTACCCTAGCTCTGCCCCTGAGGAATTCTTGATGCTATCCACGCTCCTTTCCTTGGGCCCCTGGTGCACAGAGTATGCTGCACCCCCCGACCCCAGGAGGTTTGCTAGGAAGCACTTGGGATGGCCCCCGGTTCTGTCTGGCCCTGCCTTACCCACCCATCCTCATCCCACCCCAGCCTCTGCAGCCTAACAACCCCATGACAAATTATCCCATGGCGAAGTTAAATTGGCTGCTGCATCCAATACCGTGGATTATAGAGAAAGGAAAATACATAGCTCATTAACTCAAATCCCAGCCCCTCCCCCAGGCCTTGTTTTTTCTTCATCCCTCCTCTACTTATCTCTGGAGAAGAGACCTGGCCACAGGACTGCCTCCTCTTCCTTCTAACGACTTCTTGGGAGAGGGAGGAACTTGAAGGTAGGGGACATGGGCTTTCAGGACGCCAGGACCAGGTGAGCACTCTCGCACTGCATGGGACCCACCAGCAGAGGGCGCCACAGCACAGCGGAACCCGCGGGAAAGATGGAGACCTGCGGAGAGGGACTCCTGGAGGCTGGAGTGGACGCTGGCAGGGGAGAGCTTCCTCCCCAGGACTTTCCCTTATATTAATACAAGGGAAAGCAGGGCAGATCTCGCCCTGGAGACCCTTTCTGGAGCAGGGAAGGGGACCGCCCCGCTGAGAGCCAGGGCCATGCCACAGCAGCAGGGCTGTGTCGTGGAAGGAGGGGAGTTGCGCCGGGTGCGGGGCGCCCTTGTCTTGAACTGGCCCGGGGCTTCCGGTTTCAGCGGACTGCGGGGGCGGCGGCGCCAGGGCAGGAGGCTGGGGACGGAGGCTGGGATCCGTGTTGGGTGGGACACTTGCTGCTTGAGAAGATGTCCTTCTCCCCCATTCAAGGGCTCACCTGTGGCCAGATAGGGAAGAGCCACGCTTTCAGAGGGTCATGAAGAATTCATCCAGCCTTTGTGCCCGCCTGACCGTGAACTCGAGCCGAGACAATGGCAGGGCTGGGGGCCTTTGTCTCCCTCCCAGCAGAGGCAGTGTCAAGTGTTGGCCACCTGTGGGCGGGGAGCCCCCTCTCTTGGGAGAAGGGCAGTCCTGTAACTTGACGAGGGGCACCAAATTCAGGGCTAATTAATTGGAAATTAAATTTTCCATTTGGCTGGGCCAGAAACAATTGGGGTTGGGGACCTAAAGTCAGGAGAGGCCATTGGAAAGAGGGAAGGTGTATATGGTGTGTGTCTCCGCTAACGTTATACTGTGGAGGAAGCAGGGTGTGCCCCCAAGACGCACAGTCAGAAAATCAACCAACCAACAAACAATTCAACACCAGAAATGGTGGCTGTACTCAGCATGCTTTCCTAGCAAGGAGGCAGGCCAACGAAGGCGCTTGCAAAAGCAAGAAGGCCCCTCATTCCACAGAGTTTCAGGCACCCACCATGTGCTTGACACTGTGCCATGTCCATCAGCAATGCATGTGCTGCCTGAAATTCCACCATTAGAAATTCATTTCTTTGTGACTTTACAGCTGTTTAATTAAGTTAGCATTTATTGAACTCACATTATATGCTGGGTACAATTTCACATGTGGGGCTGCGTCAGTGAACAAAAGGCAAACTGCCTGCTCTTGTGGAGCCGCTAGTCCAGTAGGGAAGACAAAGATAAAGAAATAGATATATTATTTGTAAGGTGAAGGCATTCTGTGTGGGGCAACACGGGCTGTTCTTTTAGATAGGGTGGTCAGGGTAGGCCTCATGGAGGGGAACTTGGGCAGCCATCTGAAAACTGTGATGGAGTTAGCCGTGTGGCTGTCTGCGGGAGGGCATTGCAGGCAGAAGGAAGGGCAGTGGTGCAAGATGGGACTGTGCTTGGTATCTGTTGAGTGGGCCAGCCTGGCTGGAACAAAATGAGCAGGGAGGAGAAATGTAGAAGCTGTGGTTGGATTCGAGCATGTGGGGCCTTGGAGGCCATTGAGAGGACTTTGGCTTTAATGGTGAATAAGATGGGCTGTGGGGGTTTTGAGCAGGGAGGGACCTGATTCTACCCATGTTTCACCAGGTCATTCTGGCTGGCATGTGGCAGGTGGAGGGATAGAGGCGGGGACATGGGGCAAGTGTGGAGGACAGTTAGAAGCTACTGCAATGGTCCAGGTGTGAGATGGCATCCCCAGACCCCATCGGCGATGCTACTGCCTCTGTGTTTGGTGGTGGGGCTGGTCCCTCATCTAAGTCCTTCTCAGCCCTAATAGAGATGCCCGCACCTGCCCCACCTGGCTGTGCCAAAGCCTGCCCTGGAATTGAGATGGTGACACCCTCCCTGCCCTGACCCTTGCCCTTGAGAGAAGCCTCAGATCCTGTCTAGTGGTCCAGAGGCCTGGTTCTTCCTCCCAGCTCTGACTCTGAGTGTTTCCAGCCATTTTTTTCATACCTCTGTGCTTCAGTTTCCTCACTATAAAACTGATAAGTGGCCAGGCGCGGTGGCTTATGCTTGTAATCCCAGCACTTTGGGAGGCCGAGGCTGGTGGATCACGAGGTCAGGAGATGGAGACCATCCTGGCTAACATGTGAAACCCCGTCTCTACTAAAAATACAAAAAATTAGCTGGGCGTGGTGGTGCGCACCTGTATTCCCAGCTACTTGGGAGGCTGAGGCAGGAGAATTGCTTGAATCTGGGAGGCGGAGGTTGCAGTGAGCCAAGATCATGCCATTGCACTCCAGCCTGGGTGACAGAGCAAGACTCCATCTCAAAGAAAACAACAAAAAACAAAAAACAAAAAACTGATGAGTACATTGCCTGTTCTAGGCAATTGCCTGTTCTAGGCCAGGCATGGGGGCTATAGACATGAGTAGGCTCTCCAGGAGTCTGTGGGTCCTGCAAGAGGGCAAAAAGGAAACAGAAGCATGGGACAGCATAGGTATCAGGGACTCTGTATTATTTTAAAAGTGTGCAAGGAACATGTGGGAAGGAAAGACTGGACCGATTCTGCCTGGAGCAGGGAGAGAATGCTTCCTGGAGGAGGCAGCTATTAAACTGAGGCAGGAAGGAGAAGTCAGCGTTCACTAGGCAGACAGTAGGAAATGGTGTATCTGGCAGAGAACAGCAGGTGCTAGGGCTTGGAGATGCAAAAGTGACAGTTAAAAGATATCACCTTAAAATTATTGAATTTTAGAGCCAGAAGGGACCTTGGAGATCATGAAATCTAGTGGGTTTTCAAACATGTTTTGGTCTTATTTCAAGCATATGTAGAATTCCATTGTATACACCAGTTAATATTAATAGCTAACATTCATTGAGCGTTTACCGTATGCCAGACACTTTACCTGTGTTAATTCAATTACTTTTCCCAACAATCCTTTGAGTTAGGTTACTACTAACATCTTAATTTATAGATGAGGAAAATGAGGCATAGAGGAGTTAAGAAACTTGCTCATGGTCACACAGTGTCAGTGAAAAGGCTAGGAATTGAACCCAGGTAGCCTGGTTCCTAGCCTAGGCATGTGGTTACCAGGCTGTATGGCCTCTGTAGATGTGAAGGTGGAGCTGCTTGTTTAAGGAGGGGTGGTACCCAAAAGGCCTTGTCCCCTCCTCATCCACACATTTCCCGCTGAGACCCATGGATATAACCTGCCAGCAAGAGGCTCCCTCTGAAACCACTGATTTAGATCAATCATATGATGGAGAAGCCATATCTGTCAGGTTATGCCATAGATTCCAAGGTTGTCCTGTAATGATGAGTAAGCCAGGGAAGGCTTTCTGGGGAGGGAGTGCCCATTTCATGTCATTAACACCCATTCTCTAACCATGTGGGGTGTTTTCTAGCAAAAGCTTCAGCCTTGTGGGGAGGATGCATGGGGGTTGGCAGGACAGCACATGGCTTGGTTTCCAGCCAGGACTCCTTGGTCGGTTTTCTTCAGCACTGAAGTACTCAGGTCCCAGGCCTGAGGGCAGAGGCAGGAGGAGCAAGACTCTCAGCGGACTCCATGTGGTTGATGATTGGCAGGTGGAGATGAGGAGCATGTGGGAAGTCTGCAGGTCCCAGGCAGAAAGTGCACTGCCAGGGCATCAGTGCAGGTCCCGGACATCAGTGCAGCGCCAGAGCATCAGTGCAGGTTCCGGGCAGGGCATCAGTGCAGTGCCAAGGCATCAGTGCAGTGGGTAGGAGGGACAACCCCCTTCACACTGACCGCCCCCCTCAGCTTGCTTTAAAACAGAAGAGGGTGGGATTTTGCCTTGGTGTCGGGAAAGGGCACGGTTATGTGAGGGCTGGTGGACAGGGGAGCAGTAGTTTGATTCTTGTTGGAGGCCACCCCTCCCAGTTCCCCTTACTGAGGGATTGGGGGGTACTAGAAACCCTCTGAGCTTCCAGGTCCTCATTCTAAGCTTCTAGTGTCAGCTTCCAGGGGCCAGTGGAGACCCTGCCTCCTCCAGGGTTCTTTCCTGACCTCCCAGCCCGTAGGGTCCTCGGTCCCTTGGGGCATCACTAGATCCCTCTCTGGTTCTTGCTGGTACTTTTGGCCACAGCTTTACACCCTGCTTTCCCATCCCTAGGTGCTGTTTCCCCCAGGTGGGCATCCAGCCTGTTCCAGGTATTGATTCATCCAGCATTTAGTGAGTGGCTACTCCAGGCGTCAGGCACCAAGAGGGGCCTGCCCCTCAGCAGCTCCCAGTGTGGTGTGTGTGTGTGTGTGTATGTACATGTGTGTATGTCTATATGTATGTGTACATGTATATGTATGCATATATATGAGATGTGTGCATGTGTATACGTGTGCATGTGTGTATGTATATGTGTATATGTGTGTATGTGTATATGGGTGTATGTGTGTGCATATCTTTGTATACATGTGTATATGTGTTTATATCTGTGTGTATGTGTGTATATGTATGTGTATGCATGTATATGCATGTGTGTATAAGTGTATGAATATGTGTGTATAAATGTATGTATATGCATATGTGTATAAATGTGTGTATGTATATGCATATGTGTATATAAATGTGTGTATGTATATGGGTTTATAAGTGTATGTATATATGTGTATGTGTGTATAAACGTGTGTATGTATGTATAAGTGTGTGTATGTATATGTGTATGTGTGTATGTATGTGTATGTGTGTGTATGTATATTTGTATAAATGTGTGTATGTATATGTGTGTGTATGTATATTTGTATAAATGTGTGTATGTATATGTATGTATAAGCATGTATATGTATGTTTATGTATATGTGTGTATATGTGTGTATGTGTGTATATGTGTGTGTGCATGTGTGTGTATATGTGTGTATCTGTGTCAGACTGACAACTGAGCAGGGAGACCAAGTCAATGACTGTGGTTTGGTCTGAGGAGGGCTGAGACACACACAGGCTGAGGGCCCAAACTTACCCTGAAAACTGCGGCCGAGCCCAGTAGCGGCCATCCCAGTAGCAGGTATGGGAGGCTCTTGTTAACGACCCTATCAGTGGTCCGCAAATCCACCAGAAAGGCGTAGCGTCCTTGTTAATTTCAGGCCTCTCAAAAGCAGCCCTGCCCAGCCTGTCCTGGCCCTCTCCCCTGAACATGTCATCCCTAAAATCTTGACCTCCTACACTTAAGGAGGGCCCTCCTTCCCTCCATCAACCCCATGCCCAAAGCAATCCCCTAAATCCACAGCATCCCGAATTCCAGTAACCCTTTAGAGGTTCGCGCATCCCATTACTGTTTTGGCCCTGTCCTGTCCTGCGTGGGCCAGCCAGTGTGATGTTGGTTCCTTAGCAGCCCTGGGGAGAAGCAGAGGGCGGGGGGCGTGGGGAGAGTCGAAGGAGCCATCCTGGATCCGTAGGCCTCCCGTCCGTCCGCGGGTCAGTGCGGCATCGCGGACACCAGGGGGCGCCAGAGCGTCGGGTTTCGCGCGGCTGCCCTTCGCAGTCCAGACGGCGCGGCGCGCGGCGGCCGCCAGGGGTCAGCAGAGCTCAGGGCCGCGGGCGCGAAGCGCGGGGCTCAGGGCTGGGCGGCGGCAGCTGCGTTCCCGGCTCCGAGCGCCGTTCTCTGTTAGGAGGGTAATTTAGAGCAATTACACCGATTATTATTGCTTTTCTAATTAGTGCTTTTCCTACAGAATTAGCCGAGTGTTTATTAGGAGCTGCTTGTTGCCAGCCGCTTAACTGCTTCGCTGCCGGGCGCGGGCGAGGGGAGGGGCGCCGCGTGGGGCTGCCTGGTTATGTGGTTTCGCATAAAAGCACGGATTAAATATTCATTCTCCTTTGTTACATATAGCATTAAATTTTTATCAGCTGTATGTTTTCCCTGAAGTTTTCCCTGCGTGTTAACGTTCAGGCGGACTGCAGAGGAACTCCTGGGCCTTGGCTCGTGGGGAGGACAGATCTGTGATCCTGGAGGCCAGAGGGTTCCCTCTGACATCTGTGACACCGTTAGACTTTTCCCAAGCGTGTGTCCCCGGATCCTTCTAATACCGCTGCGACGGAAGCAGGATGGATGGGGAAACTGAGACCCGCGGTGAGGGGTCTTGCATGACACTCCCAGGGCTGACACAAACCAGATTGTGGGGTCCGGCACGGAGTCTCTACCACTGTCATCTTTGGGACCTTCTAAGTCTTCAGGCCCCTCGGGAACCTCCAGCGTCACCCTGGCCATGCAGTGCCATGTGGGTGGGCCCAAGCCTCCCCTCTCACAGGAACACAGGCTTCAAACTTTTCCCAGCTCTATCCATCTAAGCCCTGCCAGGAGGGGGTCGGATACCTACGGTGCTCCTGGATTCTGCCACCTCCCGTGCGGGTGAACCTTCTGGAGCGCTTGACCCAGAGAAGTGGCTACACTTGGGGCGGGAGGCAGAGGGGAGAGATTTGGGGTTTATTCAGTGCACTCCCCTTTATGGCGAGTTAATTGTTACTTGCTTTGCCTCCAGGAGGCGGGGGACTCTTCTCACTTCACCAGTCCTGGGGAACCCATGTGAGAAAAACTAGAGGCACAAATGCGCCCACAGCAAACCAGAGGGTGTGGTTTGTACTGCCCGGCCTTGGTTCACGGTTCAAAAGGCTTCTTGGAAAACCACTGCCCCGGTGCATTCAAGTGTTTGTTTACAGCTCATTAACTACTTGATGGAAAGGTTGGGGTGGGGGAAATATTGACAGAAAATCAATCAGAAATGAAGATTAACGATCTCCAAAATATTCCTGTGGGTCCATAGGGAAATGGGACTTGAGTTCTAAAACCAGGGTCTCATAAACTGAGATATTGTTTCTCCATTTGCCTTTGCGCAGAGAGAGGTCACCAGGAATCAGGTTGTGACGAGTGGCCACACCTGCAGGGA
Source organism: Homo sapiens (assembly GCF_000001405.40). Classification (NCBI taxonomy): domain Eukaryota; kingdom Metazoa; phylum Chordata; class Mammalia; order Primates; family Hominidae; genus Homo; species Homo sapiens. The sequence continues at coordinate 47,747,909 of NC_000018.10, read as the reverse complement.
ATTTGAGATGGGCCTCCAAGGGAACCTTTTAGCTGTAAGGCCTGTTCCTCCTGGCCTTTGTTCCTGTCAGCAGGCAGAGAATAGAGAAGAAACTCAGGTTGGTTCACTTCACCACCACCGTGAGACTGGGCAAGCTGGGACCAGGACAGGGTCCCACGGGTGCCTTCGCTGCGTCCCATGCCTCTGTTCCTGTTTTATTAACTGGATGAGATCAGGCTTCCCAGGTGGAGCTGGAAGGGAAAGGCAGGCAGGTATTTTCAAATAAGCCCATGGGAGCTAGAGGTCAAATAACAGCTGGGAGATGCCTCACGCCAAACCCAGGGTGGCTCTGGAATGGCACCGGCCACAGTGGGTCCAATCACAGGGTGGAGAGGAGCCCAGGCTTGGTCCCCGCCCCCCAGTTCTGCTCGCAGGCTTCCGTCTTCATCTTCCCTCTTTCCATGTGACTGCAGTTCAGGCAGGGTACAGTGGTGTTTTAAGCTTCTGCCCCTCACCCTGAACACAGCTGCGTAGGACCCTCCAGAGGCACTCCGGTCTGGGGCAATGTCTCTACTGAGTCCCGCCCCAGGCTGCTTTGGTTGCCTGGGAGAATTCCCAGGTCCCCCTGCTGCATAGGCCTGTTTGGGACCCTGCACTTTTTTGGCAGGGCTGGATTTCCCAGGCTTAGGGGCTGGCTCCCCAGGTGCATCACACTTCAGTGTGCCCCCAAGATCTGGCCACCTCCCCTAGGTACCACCATTTCTGGCTCCCCTCTCTCTGACTGTTGAGGGGCTTTTCTGCTTTCCATCCTGCAGAGATCCTTGAGACTAAGAAGCTGAACAGAGCCTGGCTGCCTGTTTAAAATGGAGAGGAAGAAAACAGCAAGAGAGAACCCCAGCATTTGGATTGCAGTCTTCACCTCTTGCCTCATGGGGATCCACATGGTGAATGTAAACACAGTGCTGAGGCTTGTGTGGAGTCTTGAGTCCATGACGCTGGAGACCCCAGGGTAGAAGGTAGACCACCAGAGCTCTCATGCATGGGAGTGGCTCATAGCCATCACCTTTGAAATCTATTGTCTCGAGACATTGGCGAGCCTGGGCCTCAAGAGTCTTCTGGAGACACCTTCCTGCACTTAACACTGATGTCACTGACGGGGGAGCTCTGGAAGAGTGCCATGAACTTTCAAGGTTGGAAGAGGTTTCAGATGGTCTACACTGGGGTGTCTACTGGTGGCACTTAGCACTACTGACATTTGAGGCTGAATACTTCTTTGTCAGGAGACTGACTTGTGTGTTATGGAATATCTAGTAGCATCCCTGCCTCTACCCTCTAGATGCCAGCAGCATGCACACACCTCCTCCCATGTTGTGACAACCAAAAATGTCTGTAGACATTGTCACATGTTGTGGGGGAACAAAGTCACACAGTGAGACCCATTATTCTATGCTAATCTTCTTTAACAAATGCACAAACCAATACCAAGAAATAGGATATGGCATAAGCAACATCATTGAAGACTAACAAGTAGAGGGCCCAAATGCTTGGATTCTGGAATCAGCCACATCCAGACTCAAATTCCACCTCTACTACTCACTAGTTCTTCTGTGATCAGAGACAAGTAACCTCTCCTGGCCTTAGTTTGCCCCTCTATTAAATGTGCATATTAATTTTACCACCTGTATGGGTTGCCGTATTCAATAAGATGATGCACATGAAGAGTTAACAAATTGCCTGACATCTTGGAAGAGCTCAATTAATAGCTGTGAATATCAGAATCAGAAGATAGTTCTGAGCTTTTCTACTGATTAGAAATAGAAAGGCCTGCAGAAGGTATGAGACAATGGCATTCTGAGGACACCCAACAACCTCTCTCTCTCTCCAAAAAAAATAGACATAAAGAAAAAACTTTTGGCAAAGTTCTTATACATGCTCAAGCATAGTAAGCTGAGGTTGGGCGTGGTGGCTCATGCCTGTAATCCCAGCACTTTGGGAGGCCAAGGCGGGTGGGTTACGTGAGGTCAGGAGTTCGAGACCAGCCTGTCCAACATGGTGAAACTCCGTCTCTGCTAAGAATACAAAAATTAGCCAGGCCTGGTAAGGGGAGCCTGTAATCCCAGCTACTCTGGAGGCTGAGGCACAAGAATCACTTGAACCCAGGAGGCGGAGGTTGCATTGAGCTGAGATTGTGCCATTGTACTCCAGCCTGGGCGACACAGTAAGACCCCCATCTCAAAAAAAAAAAAAAAATAATAATAAGCTAGGCTGTAACCCACGAGGGAAGATGGAAAGGAGATGGGAGCAGATTAACCAAGGAAACAGCAGTGGGCCTGACCCCGAGAGGGCCCCAAGGTGGAGGTGGCTGGTGGTGACAGGGAAGGGCGTCACTGGGACAGTGGACAGGTGACTGGCTGGGATATCGCAGCAGGAGCAACAAGTGGCCCTTATGTAGTTTCTTGCTTCTGCCATTGGCCACGTAGTATCCACAGGAGTGGATGCCTGGGGCAGATGCATGTGATAGGTTTGGTATCAAATGGGGGGTTTCCTGGGGCTGGGCAAGTCTTAGAAGGAATGAGGATCCTTCACTCCCAGATGTCAGGGGTGTGTGGCCATGCCCATCTTCTGCTCTCAACAGTTGTTCCCTTTCCCTTCAAGCAGGGTGAGCAAACAGAATTGCCAGTGCTCAGCCTCAGAGAGGAAGGTGGAATCAAGAATGGCCAAATGTTTGAGGAGAGCTGATGTCATAACGCAGGAGCATCCAGATGACGAGTGAGGGAATTAGCTCTGAGAAGACAGAGGGAACAGCACAAGTAGAAAGGACTTTAAGGTAAGAAAAATTAATGTCCTCTAAAAGACGTGAAAGCATACATATATCATTGTATGGATCCATACAATAAGAATTAGTGGCTGGGTGTGGTGGCTCACACCTGTAATTGCAGCACTTTGGGAGGCCAAGGCGGGTGGATCACCTGAGGACAGAAGTTCGAGACCAGCCTGGCCAACATGGTGAAACTCCGTCTCTATTAAAAATACAAAAATTAGGCGGGCATGGAAGTGGGCACGGTGGCGGGCACCTATAATCCTAGCTACTCAAAAGCCTGAGGCAGGAGAATCGCTTGAACCCCGGAGGCAGAGGTTGCAGTGAGCTGAGATCGTGCCACTGCACTCCAACCTGGGCAACAGAGTGAGAATCTGTCTCAAAAAAAAAAAAAAAAGAAAAGAATTAGCTAGAGATTATGAAAATGGAAATTTTGCTAGTTGAACAAAAATCTCAGAATTGGTGGACTGAATTGAGGGATGAGCATAGGTGAAGAGAGAATAGCCAAAAGATCGAGGCAAGAATTTCTCCAGGAATGATGCAGAAGGTAAGATGACAGACAGCGTAAAAGGACAGTTAGTCAACACCAAGGACATTTAAATAAGGAGTACCAGGAGAATGAAATAGAAATAATGGAGAGGAGGTGACACTTAAAGAATTAGCAAAAGAATTTTCCAGAACTAAAGAAAGACATAAGTGCTCAGATTTAAAGGGCCCACACATAGCTGGCAGAACAAAACAAAATACAAGCATGGACATGTAAGTGAGATTTTTAGGACAACAAAGATAAAGGAAAAGTCCTAGAAGTCTCCTGAGAGAGAAAAAAAAAACTTAAATACATAGCACAGTTAACCCTTGAACGATCTGGGGGTTAGGGATGCTGACTTTTTGTATAGTAAAAAAATCTGTGTGTAAATTTTGACTCTACTAAAACTTAACTACTAATGGCCTGCTGTTGACTGGAAGCCTCACCAATAATGTAAACAGTTGATTAACAGATACTTTGTATGTCATATGTGTTAGACACTGTATCCTTACAATAAAGGAAGCCAGAGAAAAGAAAATGTTATCAAGAAAATCGCAGGGCCAGGTGTGGTGGCTCATGCCTCTAATCCCAGCATTTTGGGAGGTTGAGGCAGGAGGATCACTTGAGCCCAGGAGTTCGAGGCTGCAGTGAGCTATGATGGTGGCATTGCACTCCAGCCTGGCAGTCAGAGCAAGACCCTGTCTCTAAGAAAAAAAAGAAAAGAAAAAAACAGAAAAAAAATCATGAAGAAGAGGAAATCTATTTATTATTTACTAAGTGGAAGTGGAGCATCATGTCGAGTAGGCTGAGGAGGAGGAAGAGGAAGGGTTGGTTTTGCTGTCTCAGGGGTGGCAGAGGCGGAAGGAGACCTGCCTGTAAGTGGATCTGTGCAGTGCAAACCCATGTGGTTCAAGGGTCAACTGTATATTCACTCCCTGGGGCTTCTGTAACAAATTATCACAAACTGAGTGGCTTAAAACAACAGAAATTTAATTATCACAGTTCTGAAGTGTAGAAGGGTTGATTCTTCTTGGAGGCTGTGAGGGAGAGCCTGTTCCATGCCTCTCTCCTAGCTTGGGTGGCTCCTGTCAACCCTTGGCACTCCTTGGCCTGCAGCTCCATGATCCTGCTCTTTGCTTCCATCTCCACATAGCCTTCTCTGTGTCTCTGCATTCTTTCCTTTTCTTATAAGGACCCCAGTCCTTGGACTTAGGGCCCACCCTAAAAGATCCCATCTCAAGATCCTTAATTATATCTGCACACACCCTCCTTGCAAATAAGGTCACACTAACAAGTGCTGGGGGTTGGGTCTGGGACTTAAATGTGTCTTTTTGGGTAACTCACTCCAACCCACTACGCATAGGAACAAGAATTGGATTGATATCATATTCCTCATTAGCACAATTGGATACAAGAAAATAATGGAGCAATGTTTTCAAAGCTCTGAGGGGAAATGGCTTTGAACATAAATGATCATTCAAGTGCGAGGGTAAAATGAAGCTACATCAGACAAGTAAGGGTTCAGAACATTTACCAGCCTTCCAGTTCTTCTTTGGAAGAATTATTGTCTTTGGCTAGTGTGTAGGATGCCTGCCTTCCTCCATCTCCTCCCCTGTCAGCAAGGAAAAAGTATCCCAAATAGCCTGGCATTAATACCTTTACAACATTAAGATATTGATATATAAAAATACTAACATATTGATATATAAAATATTAATATATTTATGTTGTTTAACAAACTATTACAGTTATTTAGACAAAAATATTATTAGATAACATAAGAGAGTGGTTTGTTATCCTGTTCTCCCCATCCTAAATCTGCACTCCCCAGAGTAACCCCTCTCAACTCTTTTAGCTATTTAATCTGCTATTTACTTCTATATTTTAAAATTTCTTGCATAGGTAGCTATTTCTTGATTTCTCAGTTTTAAGAGTTATTGATTGACTTTCAACCACAGATAATTAAATTTTAGCTCTTTACACACCCATTTGCTCTCTCACCAAACACACAAACTATCCTTCCCCCATCCTCCAATAGAGCTGTATCACAATTTTTCATAAAAGTCACTAGTTGGGTATTTATATTAGTATGAGCATATAAATATTCATAGCTAAGCCATGTAGGGTGCTATGAGTATAATTCTTTTTTCTTCCTCCTGGATTGATACTTGCTTTTGTTTTCATTTGCTTAGTTTATAACTTGTTAGTGTATTGCAAATCTATTCCTAAATTCTTCTACAGAATTGAAAATCTCTTTAGAATATGTTGAAATATGTTAACTATTTGATTAGCTATCATCCTGGGATTTTTCTTCACCTCTTTTCTTGGTGGGATTCTTGGGTCCCATGTCTTTCTTTTTCTAGGTTTACTTCCTTATTTTGGAGATCTGTATCATTCAGTAGTTTCCTGTGAAAAATGAAAAACTCTCACTCTTGGCAGTTTGGTTGGTTATAGAATTATAAATTGGAGAATATTTTTCTACCCTCTTTGAAAGCATTGTTTCGTTGTCTTTTAGCTTCCAGTATTGCTATAGATATTCTGATTCTGAATCATTTGGATATGATCTTTTATTTTAAATGGGATCTTTTTCTACACTCTGGAAGCTTTTAGGGTCTTCTGTTGATTAATCTCTTTAAAAGACTGGGATGCCCTTCTTTTTCTTTCTGCATGTAAAGAGATGTGATGGTTGCAGTCCTAGCAGCCATACTGAACCATGAGATAATGTTGGAAGAAGCAGCCCTGTTCTGCAAAGCAATAAGATAGAACAAGCCTGAATTTCTGACATCATGCAGAGTCATTGCCATTGAGCTGTCTTTCACTTGAGAGAAAAATACATTTCTACACTTTTAAATTACTATTTTGTGTGCTCTTTGTTTAACAAAGCTAAACATTTCTGAATGATAATATGGACACAATAACATATTTTCCTTCACGAAATCACTTTTAAAACACTTTCAAATAACTCTCAATGCTTCTATGATAAAAATACACAATTACTTTCTGCCCAAATTTATCTGAATAAAATTGAGATGGGCATTATATAATTGAGCATCTTACATACAACAAATACAGGAAAAGACTGAATCTGGAGGAAAACATAATAAGGTTAAAAGAAGCTAGTAAAACTTGTTGTTTATTGTAAAAATGTTTAAAAGCTGAAAACCACCCAGAAAAATTTCAGATGCCATCATGGGGGATAGCAGGGTTGAGGCGGTGAGGAACCGAGGGAGGGATGGGCAGTCGGTTTGTTCTTAGTTTGATCTAAGGCTGAATATAGATACTGATTATTTGTAGATATTGTTATGGAAATGCAAGGGATTGCTGACAAAATTTTAAGGGTAAACACCAGAAAATAGAAATCCAGGGTGTAACTCTTAAAATATTAGAAAAAAATGAATCAAATGAAGACAGCTCAAATGAATTACCAAAGGCAGAAAAATGGGTAGAAATCAAATAAAAAAGCATAATAAATAGAATACATATAGAGACATACACACATACACACACATCATTGTTAGAGTAACTCTAAGCATATCAGCAATCACAATACTTTTGAATGAGTTACATTCCTTTCAAATTGGATTTTTAAAAATCCAGTTTCATGCAGTTTTCTAGCAAGATACATATAATGTAAATAGAAAAATTTAAAGAGAAAGGAAAAATGTAAAGATATATATCAGGGAAGGCTAATAAAATAAAAATAGGGATAGTAGCATTAATAGCAAATAAAATAAAGGGGAATATTTTATGTTGATGAAGAAACTCCCTGTTAAATGATATATGATAATTATGAGCCATTATGCATATAACAGAAAGTTTACATATATAGAAAGCAAAGTTGATAGTACTGCTGGGAAATATAGATAAATATAATATTATAGTCAGATACTTCAACTTACTTCTCAACAGATCAGACCAACAAGTAAGGTTATAGGGGATGCAAATAACATAATAAGGTTGGTGATATATAAAATGCTTGATATATACTGAACAAATAGAGAATAGAAATTTCTTTCAAACATGCGTAGAACATTCACATAGTTGCCCACATATTAGGTAACATATAAAACATTAGTATATTTTTTCTTTTTTACATCGATACATAATATTTGTACATATTTATGGGATACATGTGATGTTTTGTTAAATGCATAGAATGTGTAATGATCAAGTCAGGGTTCTAGCATATCCATTACCTGAAGCATTTATCATTTCTATGTGTTGGGAACATTTCGAGTCCTCTCTTCCAGCTATATTTTGAATTATGCAACACATTGTTGTTAACTAGAGGCAGCCTACTCTGCTATCAAATATTAGAACTTAATTCTTTCTGTCTAACTGTGCATTTTGTAACCATTAGCCAACCTCTGTTCATCTCTACACTCCCACCTCACCTTTCTCTGCCTCTGGTATCTATCATTCTAGTCTCTACCTCCATGAGATCAACTTTCTTAGCTTCCACGTATGAATGAGAACATGTAATATTTGTCTTTCTGAGCCTGGCTCATATCACTTAATATAACGACCTCCAGTTCTATCTATGTTGCTGCAAATGACATGATTTCATTCTTTTTTATGGCCTAATAGTATTTCCTTGTGTATATATAGCATATATTTTTTAACCCATTCATCTGTTGATTCCCACTTAGGTTGATTCCATGTCTTTGCTATTGTGAATAATGCTGCAATAAACATGACGTTGCAGGTATCCCTTTGTAAAATATTAATACATTTTTAAAGATTACCATGATACTTAAATGCCACATTCACAAGTCATAATGCAATAAAATGAGAAACCATCAACCAAATAATGCCAAAAATAAAATCTCTGGACTTGTGATTTAAATAACACATTTATCTCAATAATTACTGAATTAAAGGTTAATCAAAATGGAAATAACACATTATTAGAACAAATACAAGAGCACAGTATATCCAAATATGTGGAGTATGATTCTTCAGAAGATATTGTAAAGCTTTAAGTTCATTAATTAGAAAATACCAAGTCTGAAAATAAATAACCTATGATTTCAACTTAAGAAATTAGGTAAAAAGCAACAATATAAAACCAAAGACAATAAAGAGAAATAATTAATAAAGATGAAAGCTCAAATGAACAGAAAACAAAAAGTGGAGTTAATTCATAAAACCAAAATCTTTTTTTCTTTTTTAAAGACCACCAAAAGAGACAATCCTTTGCCAATCCTTTGCCAAGATTGATGAACAAGGATTGAAACAGATAGACAACAGCAGGAACTAAAAATGGACCTAATTACAGCAGAAAAATAAAAAATAAATTATAATTGGAGAAAGAATATTTATGTTAAAATTCTCACTGTCACTCTCAGCTTTTCATGTCTATAAGTATACTATAAAGATATTATTGAAGTTGTGACTTTTTCATAGAAAAAGTCACCACTTTAAAGTTCCTAACTTGTATATCTTTAGATGATAAAGGGTATCATTGTATTTTGTATGTATTTCAAAGTTATTGTTCTTTTAAAGGTTTCTCCCCTCATGGTTTCAACCATTCTGGATGTGTCACAAATCAGCTTGCACTTCGTCTTAGGTTTGGCCTTGTCTACAATGCTGTGCCACTTCCTGGGGCACCCACACAGAGGATGCTCATTTGGTGGGTGCTAGGGTGAATATTTGTGTCCCCCCAAAATGTTCATATGTTGAATCCTAACTTCCAAGGTGATGGGACTAGGAGGTGGGGACTTTGGGAGGTGGTGAGATCATAAGGGTGGAGCCCTCATGAATGAGGTTAGTGCCCTTATCAAAGAGAACCCAGGGAGCTGCCTTGCCCTTTCTACCATTGGAAGACACAGGAAAAAATGTCCCTCTAGAAACCAGGAATGAGCCCTCCCCAGACCCTGAAGCGGCCGGCACCTTGACCTTGGACTTCCCAGCCTTCAGAACTGTGAGAAGTAAATTTCTGTTGTTTGTAAATCTCCCTATTCTGTTACAGCATCCCCAGTGGGTGAAGATAGTGGATATATTCAAGCTAGTCTTTTTTGGTTGTGAAGGGTAGAGACTTATTTTGGAATAAAAGGTCTTTGTCAAATCACTTTTGGATTGGATTGGAATTGAAATCTGTCAGGGCTCTCTCTCTCTCTCTCTCCATCTGTCTCTGTCTGCAGGTGCCCTCCAGCCCAGCCCTTTCCTTCTCCCAACAGCCTGCTTCATCATGCGTGTTTCCTATCACGCCGGGGTAGTGTGGTTCTGAGTTGATTCCACCTTCTGCCTCACTGGCTCCATCTCTCACTCATCTCTAGTTGAAAACCATGAGAGGGCTCAGCTTCCCTCTCCAACACTAGGCCTTAATAGGTCACTGTCCCTCCCAAGGTGTGGCTGCCCCTTGGTTGGGTGCCCGCCTCTGGTCCAGTCGGGTGGATTCCAGGGTCTCCTGGCAAAGCACACACAGTGTGGGCAGCAGCTGCATGGCTTTGGCCATTTCCCGTTGGATGGGCCGTGAAGGTGTCCTCCATCACTGACATCTCCAGCACAGGCTGAGGTGGTTGCCTGGGAAAATGAGCACAGTCTCCAAGGCAGGTCACTCAGAGGGTCTGTGTCTCTCCTGCCTTCCTTTATGGCTGTCCTCTCCCAACCCCTGTGTCTGCAGGGAGAGGGCTCTGAACCTCTCAGAATCTGGGGACTATGTCAGGGGGCAAGGAGGGCATCCAAAGGCCTTGCCTGTGCTCTTGGAGACTGCACATCCTTAGTTGGGATGAAGCCAGTGACATCCCAGCATCGAACTGGCCTTTGGGCAGAGGTCCTGGCAGCTCCAACTACAGCTGCTGCTTCTTCCATCTTTGGAAATGTGGGAAATGTACAGGCTTCCACAAGGCCTCTGGGGCCACTTCCCTGTGGGTGGCAGCCAGCTCAGGCAGCCATCACCCGAAGCCTCACTTTTGGTCTTTTCCACCTCTAGCAGGAATGGCTGAATCCCACTCATACTTCACTTAGCTCAAGTGCTGCATCCCTGGAAGCAACTCCAGCACTCCTGGCTTGATCACGGAGCCCAGGGTTGTTCTGCTATCGCAGTGTTTGCAGTTGTCAGTACCATGGCTCAGTGTTTGCTGTCTCTCCTGACCAGGCCATCCCGAGGGAAGAGGAGATTTCCTGGCTGCCTGATGGCAGGCTGGACCACGTGGCACGTTTCGGACCACGAAATGTGGGTGGAAGAGACATGTGCGACTTTTGTTTTTTAAAAAATTTTATTTATTTATTTATTTATTTATTTATAATTTTTTTAGAGACAGGGTCTCACTGTGTCATCCAGGATCGAGTGTAGTGTTGTGATCATGGCTCCCTGCAGCCTCAACCTCCTGAGCGCAAGTGATCCTTGCACCTCAGCTACGTGAGTAGCTGGGACTACAGGCATGCACCACCGCATCTGGCTAATTACTTTTTTTTTTTTTGTAGAGACAAGGTCTCTCTCTGTTGCCCAGGTTGGTCTTGAACTCCTGGTCCCAAGGGATCTTCCTGCCTCAGGTTCCCAAAATGCTGGGATTACAGGCATGAGCCACTGAGCCTGGCCAGACATGTGCCATTTTGAAGCAGGCACTTCGAGACCCTTCTGTGTTGCTCCACTGTTTCTCTTTTCCCCATGCTGTAAGACCTGCACGCCCAGGACTTGGCATGCTCCTGGATGCTCCTTCCACCTTGGTCCTGAAGTGAAGAGGTCGTGGAGCAGAGGGTGATGACCAACCTGTGATGGTCATGAAGGTGAGTAAGAAGTGAGCCTTTGCTGTTGGAAGCCTCTGAGGCTTGGGGTCCCCTCTCCCTGCAGCATCCTCAGCCTGCACTGTGACCCTCTATTTGCTTCTGTCTTCTGCCCTAGACTATGGGCAACTTGGTAGCAGGGACTGGGCCTTTCATTTATTCAACAGCTTCTTCTTTGGTGATCTCTATGTGATGAGCACTGTGCTAGACCTTGAGGATAAAGACATGAAGAGATTGGTCCATGACCTTGAACCTCCCAGTCCGATGGGAACCCAGGCACATGGCAGTGATAAGAGCCTAAAAGAAATGTGCCTCAGGGGCTGCAGGAGTCAGAGAAGGGGATCCTCACCTGCTGGGGATGGGAGGGCCAGGGCAGGTGGCACATAAAGGAGGTGAATATGTCTCTATTTGTCAATTAATATGTAAGTTTGGGCCATCCCTCATTCCAGAAAGGTCTTGAAGGCGAGGAAGCCTTTGGGTCTGTGCCTGTGGCCGTATTGTCAAAGAGAAAGGTGGCACGTTAAGTCCCTCTGGGCATGTTTGTCAAATGTCGAATGTCCCAGCTTTGTTCCTTTTCTGTTCTCTTCCTTCCTCTGTCGCAAACCCATCCTCCTGCCCTCGTCCTTCCTGTGTCCCAAGGATTTACGCTTCTTCCCCACCTCCCCAACCCCCACACCAAGCGGACGACTTTCCTCATACACATTAACACCTACAAGCAGAGTCACTGGCCTGGAATATAAAGAAGGTGCTGTTTGATGTAAATGGTATTCCGGAACACATATTTAGGATCTTCAGAAAATCCTCATCCACCTTTCAGCTTCAATACCTTAGATTGAAGGTGCAAGAAAAACAATGTGTAAACGGCATTTAGAGGTAAATTATTAACATTAAGACCCTCTTTATTAGACAGTCGTACACAAAGGAATTTTATTTCTGATCCTCTGACACATGACAAATGGCTGCTTCAGACAGAAGTAAACTGCGTTCTCTGGCAAGCAGAACCGAGGGCTGTATCAGCTGGGGGAAGAAAATCCAATTTGCTTTTAAATGCCATTTGCAGACTGCTTCTTTCATACTAACAACCTAAGTTATTGAAGTTGAGAATGTAAAAATTTAGACATTCAGAAACTTTACACAGATCCTGTCTGGGCAAGGAGGTCCCTTCTCAAACCTAGGTGGAGACAATGTCAGGGTATTTGGGCAAAGAGCAGCCCCATTTTTCATGCATGCTCTTTCCCCCTGTATGCCAGGGGTTTGTGGAATAAACTGCTTTGCCAGACAGTGAGCAGAACATGAAATCCACCGAATTACATCCTACTTAGGAGTTTCCAAAAGGCGGCTTTGAAACAAATTCCCGAGGATAAGTAGGATAGGCGATCGTGTAGCCAATATGTGTGCACACATACAGTGAGCAAAGCCTGTCTTCTAACTGTTTAAATAGCCAGATGTGGGAAGAGAAATGGAATTCGTAGTCAATAGCCCATTGTTCTGCTGGTTCTTTTTCGCCCCTCCTGCCCCTCCCTGTGGTGACTGGTGTGCTAGTTGCTGGGTCATAGGTGAGGTGGGGAGTGGGCTGGCAGAGGGGTGCCATGCTGGATGGAGGGCTATGTGGAGTGTGCAGGCTGGATGGGGAGTTGGAGCTGAGGGTGTCAAGGAAAGCCTGGGAGCAAGGTGGAGTGGCCACTGGAGAGGGCCAGAGGGACAAGGACCTGGGAGTCAGCAGGCAAGACACAGCTAGGGTGCTCTGAAGCCCAGGAGGGCTGATGGGGCTGGTGAACGCATAGCAGTGAGAGAGAGCAGGGTTTTGTAGGGGTGATGTGGTAATGGTGGGATTCAGTGGCAGGGATGGTGGTGGGCGCTGCTGGGGGAGGTGGACATAAAGGGGGGATAAATAGAACAGAGGTTTGGGGGCAATGTGAGACAAGACCCATAATAAAAAAAAAAACAGAGAGCACACAGACTCCTGACATCAGGGCATGGGCTCAAAAACCAGGCAGGCAGTCTCAGCAGTTGCCATAAGACCAGAAAATGGGCTCATGCCAGCTCAGCTTCAAAAGCACTGTCTGAATTCTGTTACTGGCAAGAATCAATATGAGGACATGTAAGCCTGGCTCTGCAAGTGGGAACAGGTTTAACACAATAACAGGTTGTGTCTGGTGACTGTGGTATTGGGGTCAGGAAGATCATGACAGGACAGGAAGGGAAATGGACAGAGATTCAACCAAGGTGGGTGAGAACTGAGTGGTCCAACTTGTGAGACCTGTGGAAAGGCATCTTGCTATATCAAGGCGAGGGAATTGCAAGGGGTTGATACGATGGTTGCTATAAAATATTCCCATTCCCCACTCAAACTCCTTCAGAGTCCAAATCCAAGAATTCAGTTTCTTCAAATCTGTCAGAAAATACTATGGCATGGATGAACTGGCCATGATCCCGATATGAGAGTGGGCAGTAGAGTTAGTGAAGAGGAGAGGTGGCACCCAGTCCTGCCCAGGACCCTCACAGAACTCTCTTCACCCCCAGTATGGTTGAGACTCTCTATGAAAGTCTTTGTTGCATGGGCTCAGGGAGTGGCCCCAGGCTCCACTTCCCAAGCCTTCTCTTTGTCTCTCTTGACTACTGTAGCTAAAGCATCAACTTGGATTAGGGTCTGCCTGTCTACCTGTGGCTAACCAACTATTAGGATGTGTGTGTGCGTGCGTGTGTGTGTATAAAACATACATCTTGATATATAAAACATGTAATATAACACATGTATGAAGAATTGGCTCACATTGATTATGGAGGCTGAAAAATCCCATGAGCTGCCATCTGCAAGCTGGAGACCCAGGAAAGCTGGTGATGTAGTTCCACTGGGAATCTGAAGGTCTGAGAATCGGAAGGGCTTGTGCCAACCCATGCCGGGGAGGGCAATCTGCTCAGTGTAGTCCACTGATTCAAATGATAATCTTGTCCAAAAGACTTCCACGGACACACCCAGAATTTTTTTTTTTTTTGAGACAGGGTCTCACTTTGTCATCAAGGATGGAGTGCAGTGGCATGATCTCAGCTCACTGCAACCTCCACCTCCTGAGCTCAAGCGATCCTCCCACCTCACCCTCCCAAGTAGCTGGGACTATAGGCATGAGCCACCATGCCCAGCTAAACACCCAGAAACATTTAACAAGATACCTGAACATCCTGTGGCCCAGCCAAGCTGATGTGTAAAATTAACTGTCACCCCAATTGCCCCTCATTTCCCAAAGCTGCTGTCACCAAAGATATGGACTCGAGTGCTCTGTCTTCCATTCCCACAGCAAAGAACCAGGCCCCGCTTCCCAGCATCCCAGCCTGTGCTGGAGTCTCTCTCCTTGCCTGCCTGGGTGAGAGATTAGTTGGCTGGACACAAGGGAAATGGAGACCCTGGTTGGTTGACATTTCTGGCCCTTGCACACCCAGATATCTACCTTTATTATGACAATGACCACACTCTGTGGCAATAATGATATTGTGGACAGGCATGCAGATACAATGTGGAGCCCTAGCATGCACTGACACATAATAACCATGGGGTGGGAAGGTAGCTGGACACCTTTGGGAGCTGGGAGTCATGTCATGGGAGCTGGGACTGAGGGTTAGGGGAATCTGGATAAACCCTCAAGGGCTGGAGCCATAGGTTCAGCACAACCTGACCCACATCTGTGCTAAGTTGTCCAGCCCCCATACACTCCATACCCTAGTCCCATCCTCTCGTGTCCTTGTCCCCTCCCAGTTCAGTTCAGTAAACATCTGTTATCTCCAATTGGACATCCATTTGAGACACGAAAGCAGTGATGAAGAAGGCATGGGGGCTTTCTATGGGCAACATCTCTGCCAGATTCTCAGCATTGGGTTTTCTGGAAGTCTCCATGCATGGGGACAAGGTGTGGATATGTTTTGGAGAAATGTACTGAGTGGCAGGGGTAAGTTGAGAGCATGTGGGTCACATTCCTTTCCATGGAGCTTCCCAGAGCCTCCGGGAGTCTTTGGTTGAGGTTGATTGGGCCTCTTTACCTTCACGTGTCCTCCTGCAAGTTTCTGTCCTGGGGTAATTTCGAACCTGTGATGCAAGATCTGGCTCTTTAGTGATTTGGGGGAGCTCTGGTCTTCCACAAAAGGTGAAAAGCCACTGGGGAGCAACACACCACTGGAGACTTGGCCTGGTTAGAAGGGGAGTCAACCAAGAATCCATGTGGTAATTTCTTTCTATTTCCAAGTGAGTCCAGGACTGCCTCCTCCAGGCAGCCACTCCTGCCTACAGGCCTCTCCTTCATTTCAAGCTCAGCCAGCATTTCCTTCACCTTTTCATTAGGAGATATTTGTGTGATGGCTTCAAGTCCCTTTCAAATGCCTCTGATTGTACTTTCATCTAGATTGTTAGTTCTCAGTGGACTTCAGAGTCCAAGATCCTTTCTTCTTTCCAGACTCTTACCAGTCACCCCAAAACTACTAATAATTACATGAGAATATTATAATTATACAATTATTATTATAATAAAGGACTTACCAAAGGGAAAAAACATCAAATGGTCCCACCCACTGCACAATCATTACTACGTGCTTTCATTTTTCTAGTTGCCATTTAATTTTTGTCCTATTCATGCTTACCTTTTGTAATTATAATCATCGTGGGGTCAAGGTTTATGTCCATTTTAAACATTGAAATATCCTTTAAATATGTCATTGAGAGTATTTTTTCCATATTGTGTCACGGAGGCCACCTCTATTCCCCTTCCTCAGTAACGCCAGAGATCCTGTCTTCTTCTTCCTCTTCCATGGCCACAGTCTGTAAAACTGATAGGGGCCGGGGAGTGGAATGTCTACTGGAGATGTGTGAAATCACTCAGTAAACTCTTGGAGGAGACAGGTACAGTGGCTGCACTTGGTTTCCCCTCTCCAGACCTCCCTCTCCCTCCCCCTTCCTCCCCTGTCTGTCCCCTACAAGCTGTTGTTTGGTTAAACACGGTTTTGCTTTGGTTGTTTCTTCCTGCATGCTAAGGCTTGGGGAATAACTACATTAGAAACTACCAAGCAGAGGCTGAAATCCACGCATTACATCCTACTTAGGAATTTCCAAAGGCGGCTTTGAGATAGATTTCCAGGGATAAATAAGATAAAAAATACGCTAGGTAATGTCTGTACACACACAGAGCGAGCAAAGCCTTCCAGACTCGTTAACAGGGGAAGGTGGGGAGGGGAGTGCTTGCTGTAGGCTGGGGCTTGCAGGGCCATCTCGCCCTGGCATGGAGTGAGGAGAAGCTGCTCTGGAATGGAGTTGGCCCTGGGCTCCTTCAGGACCTGGTTTGGCATTGGATGGTACCATTTCTTGGAGTCTATGGCCATGTTGCTGAAAAATGTGTTCCCTGGGGGTACTGTTGGAGGCTGGCTCTCATCAGCCGCTGAGGGGGTAAGGCTTAAAATTGAGGTCTGATGTCATGAGCTGCCTTGACACCTGCTGTAACCAGGAAGGCCTGAATGGCCTACAGGCATGTTCCCTTCCCCATTCTGCTCTCACGGACAAGGCCACCTAGCCAAAGAGACCTTCGCATCAGGGGGGCCAGGCACAGTTCTTTCTTATCCTCAAGCAGTGGGTTTCAGTTTGCTGCTAGCCACAGAAATGTTCAGACAAGCCAGCTGCATTCGCCTGTGGGACTCAGTGATCACTTCACCCTCTCGGTACTACAAAGCTGCATGCCATGTCCCTGGTTGTTCACTCTGTTCCTTTAACAACCCCATGTGGCCCTCTGTGGTGTGCTGGACGCTCTTCCCTGGAATGTGAGTCTATCTGACTCATACACTGCTGTTGATCTCATCTTTCCAGTGTCAGGCATCAAGTGTTTGGTCACCCCCATATCCCCAGGGGGGAATCCCACCCTCTCCGACAGGGTGAATAGGAGGTGATGAAAATAGCCTCAGAGACACCAAGGGGGCGGTAGAGGCTGAGAGTCTACATGCACAGGCGGTGTGACCTCAGACCAGGCACTGAGACCTTTAGGACCTCATTTTCCTCACCTGTCCATTGGGATAATAATTTCTGCCCTTCCTAAAGGGATCACCAGGAGTAGTCTGTGAAACTAAAGATGCCAGGGCAGAGTCAGCTGTGGGGTGCTTTTCAATGTAAAAGTGATGGAATTACTACTGCTGCCCTGACAAGGGGTCTGAGCCACTGGGCAGGAGGCATGATGAGGGCTGAGGGATGACAGGTGCTCGTGTGCATAAAGTATTATCATCACGGTGATCATTGCTCAGTTGGATTCCCTTCTCCTGCTTTATTTTCATTGTTTATCTTTTTCCACTGGAAGCAGCTAGAGACGTTGTGTTTGTAGGTTTCTTTGTCAAGGCTCCCAGCTTCTCCATCGAGGAGTCGATGATCTGTAAACAAACGTTTCGATGCACAGGCGAGCTCCCTTGTTTAAAGGCACCTTGGGGGGAACCCTTTTACAATGAGAATGATTGCCATGCAACGTCTGTATTTGTGAATTTGGAGTTTTGCTTAGCAAGTTACTTTAAAATGAATATCCTGGGCATGACAGACTAGGAACAGTGTGGAGAAGACTTTCAAGTCCTGTGAAATGGTGCCAGATACAGAGGCAGCCAGGCAGGGTTTGCTCCTGTTAGGAAGTTTGCTTTGAGGGACTCAGAGGCTGATGAAGGATGAAGCTGGGGGAAATGGTGCAATGCATCAGAAAAAGCCTCAGCCTCTGCACATTTCTAAGTATGTGATCATGGCAGCCTTCCTTAGTCTTCCCACCTGTTAAATGGAGATAGTAATGGTAGCTTAAGTGTTGTTCTGATGATGAAGTGAAATGTCGCATGTGACATACATGGGATCTGCAAACCCAGGGTGCTGTCCGGGCTCTGAGCACACCGTCTTTCCACCTCGACAATCCCCGACAGAGAGCAGGAAAGGCTGGTTGACTCTGCCATGGTCTCACCCTTTAGCCTAATTGTTGGTGGACTTTTGCAGGAGCCTCTGCTGTCATCCCTGAAGCTGGGGGTTGCAGTAGGAATGCCTTGCAGTTGTCAAAGTCCTTCCTGGGGTGAGTGCAAAGGACCTCACTTTTCGCCAATGGCTCTAATGCTTTTTCTTCTGAGTCCTCACTCTCATCTCCCTCATTTCTTGTCTCCTGCCCCCTAATTCAGGGGCCCCACCTCTCTCTTTCCTCCATCTATTTGCTTCTTCTTCCTTCTTTGCCGCTACCTTCCCTTTGTCCCCCCACCGTTCCCTTCCTCCCTCTCCTGCTTTGTGTCCCCCCATTTCCACCCTGAGCCCCACAATCTGTGTCACAAAGTTGGAGAGGCAGATCCGGTGGCCTCTACAGCCATAGCCCCCTCCCTCAGTGCCACCATACAGAATTGCCTGCGGTCCTGTCCCATTTTACCCTTCTCCTGTGGCTAGGATTTGCACAAATGAACCCGGGCCCAGCATAGGGGCCAGGGCCACTGAGCTCTGGAGGGCAGGCTCTCAGCCCAGCCCGGCTGCCCCCTGGAAACAAGCTGCTCCCTTGCCCAAGTGACCAAAATAAGAGAAAGAAAGGAGCAAAGGCCTGCACAGGCAGGCCCAGTAGCACTGAGTGAGACCACACCAGCCTGCGCAGGAGCCTCAGTGAGCTGGGCTAATTAGAGGGGCCTTGCAGTCCCCATGGTAATTTGCTTAAATGGAAGAAGTTGCTTTTCTTTCCTTTTTCTGTTCTCAGGAATTCCAGTTTTAGGCTCTGGCAGTCTCTAACCACCCTTGGCCCTCTGGGGAAGTGTTTGCTATGGAAATATGCAATTAATATTGCAGCGATCATAATTGCTAATTATTAAAACAATGCTACCCCCTTTTCCTGGCCTAGTTTCATGTTTAAAACCATTTAAATAACAGGGAGGAAGAAAAAAAAATGGAAAAAAGTTAAACACCAGTGCTGAACTTGTGCAGAGCCAAATGAGATGGTCCCTGGGCTACCCAAGATTTGTCCTGGTGTTCGGAAGGACAGAGTTCTCCAAAGCCTCCGGTCTAGGCTCCCCTGGAGCCATGTGCTAGATAAAAGCGAGGTACAAATTGCGTTTTTTGTCACTGGAATCCTATTTCCACAGTGACACGGAGCTATTTTCTTTTCTTTCTGATTGATCTCCAGTAGGATCCTAGACCATTAGGACTTACAGTGTCCTGTCTGTCTCAACCCATTCCTGTTCGCTTCCTTGGAGTCAGGGCAAGAATTTTCTGGAAATAAACAGTTCAGTGTACTGGTGCTTGGCCACTCTGAGGGTAAAGTGGAGGAATGTCTCTAATGAATGACTGTAGCCATTTCTAGGGGTTCTTTCAGCAAGGAGGTTTCAAAGCATCAGTAGCAATGGCTGCTTGGTCACTACCCCGTAAGTACAGTTTGCGTCATGCCTCCCCACAACAAGAACCTTTCAGTGTCATCTCCATGCTCAGCCTATAGGTTTGAGCCCTAATCCTAAACTTGGCATTCAAATCTTTCATGACCCAGGCTCAGCGCATTTGTCAGGCTTTATCTGCCACTACCTCCCACTCCAGCCAGTCTGGCCATTCCCGAGATGTGCCCCATGCTCCCATGCTTCTGTGGTTACATGGAATGTGCTTCTCAGCTTTACTAAGCAAAATCAATTCCATCCTTAAAGATCCACCCCAAATCTCCCACCTTCCCAGGACATCACCCTCTACCCTCTGAACTCTCCTACCAAGTACTTTATCTCCCTTAGGGCCTCATTACGCGCTTCTTTGTACTTGATCCATCTCCATACATACCCTCTAGTCATGAATAAATGCTAAACTTCTTGAGGATGTTGATTTGTAGTTACAGACTTCAGTCATCTTTGCCTGTCCAGGGCCTAGCCCTACACTTTGCCCATAGTAGGGGCTCAAAGATGATTGAGGAAATAATGGATAAAATCCAAGAAACGTTTCAAAAAAAAAAAAAAAAGGACATGGACATTATGTTCATTTCCTACAGCTACTGAACAAAGTGCCACAAACTCCGTGCCTTAAAACAACAGAAATGTACTTTCTTGCAGTTCTGGAGGCTAGGCATCTGAAACCAAGGTGTTGATGGGGCCACGTTCCCTCTGAAAGCTCTAGAGAGGATCCTTTCTTGCCTCTTCCAGCTTCTAGTAGTTGCTGGCAATTCTTGGCGTTCCTTGGCTTATAGATGTGTCACTCCAATCTGTCTCCATTGTCACATGGTGTTCTCTCTCCGTGTGTCTATGCCTAAATTTACCAGTTTCTAATAAGGACACTAGTCAGTGGATTAGGACACACCCAAATCCAGTATGACCTCATCTTAAGTAAATTACAACTGTAAAGGCCCTATTTCCAAATAAGGTCAGATTCTGAGGTTCTGCATGGACCTAAATCTTTGGGAACACGATTCAATTCAGGGCAGTCACCAACAGGTAATGGAGATGCATTTGAGGTCTTCGCATTTTTAAAGCCCAAGTAACTTGAATCACGATGGGGCCATAGACAAAGAATGGAACTTTTACAGGGTCCTCTGCTTTTTGCCTTGTGACAGGTAGGGGTATTTATCTCGAAGCTGGAGTTATACTGGGATAGAACTGACAAAGATAACCACTTGACAGTTATCAACATAGACGTTAGAGGTGACAATTTCAGCACAATCGAAGTTTCAGCAGAATCCAAGTTTTATACTTTATTCCACCAAACATTTTTCAATAAAACATATTTCTTCCAACTTAAAATATGCACTATGATGATAGCAGAGAAATTAAGAAGGTGTTGTCACAAGTGTGAAGAAAACAGGGGAGGAGACAGCAGGGCATGGAGGATTTTAACAATGTTTTGGGAGACGGAGAGGGAATTGAGGCATACGTTTGAGATAGTGGAGTGGCAGATATTACACTCTAAGGATCTGCAGAGGGGAAGGCTCAGGAGAAGTGAGCAGTTTGTCCTGCAGGACCTCTGAGGACCCTGGCATGGAGGCCCCAAGTTATCCCAAAGGATGAGAATGAGGCATGAGGCTGCATCTGGTGGACTGGTTGAACATTTGCTTAAAACTAGTTGGAATCTCCAGGCTCCTCCCCTCCTCATGCAAACAGACATCACTGTCTTTCCCCATGACTTCCCTTTCATAGAGGTATTTTGTTTTCTGGACAAAGGAGGCTCCGTGCTTCACTCTGTCAGTAGAGGGAGGGGTAAAGCACTCAGCTGAGTAACAGGGATTCTGCTTCCCCCTCACCCCACTTTTATCCAAGTCATATACATGTTGAGGGCTACTGGAAAATCTGTGCCAGATGTATGGGGAGAAGTCCTAGGCTTACATTTGACTTTGCCTCTTAATAACATGTCACACTATGCTAGCCAGTTGGCCTTCCTGAGCCTCTGTTTTTTTTCTCATCTGAAAAATGGGGCTATTTGATAATGCCTACCTCCACGGGAATGGGATGGGGGTGTGTTGTACATGAGAATGCTGCATCAGATGAGAGGGTTGCAAACTGTAGAAATGTGCATAGTCTAGCAAAGGCTGAGCCTCCAAGTCAGAGTGGGGCCAGGTCCTGGAGTCAGGGCAGGGTTGGGATGGACCAGACATTTTGAGCATAGGGTTCATGTTTCCAAAGCAACGGCATGCCTCCCCCACCCTCCAGTTTCCCAGGAAGTGTCTATCCCACCCTATTATTGCATCAGTTTCCAAACCTTCACTTTTTGATGAAGCATTCTTGGGTTCCTTTGCTCATGCAACAGTCGGATTCTGAGCACCTATCACATTCCAGGTGCTATGCTACTGAGGATATCATGAGTGGAACAGTCATGGTACTTGCCCTCATGGAGCTTACAGTCTATAGGAAGGTAGATTGTAACCAATCATCAAACAACGAAGTCAGATGACAGTGGTGGTGATTGTTACAAGGGCGAGGCAGGAGGCACTATGAGAGTGTGCAGAAGGGAGAACCGGCCTTTGTCTGGGGCTCAGAGAAAGCTTCCCTCAGGGGCATGTAACAGAGCTGTGACCTGAAGGCAAAAGTTAGGGTGTCACCCAGGAGCAGAGGGCAGGCAGGAACCAGATACAGGACAGAGCATGCTGTGGGAGGAACCAAAGGACCCTGGGTGGGGCTAGGGTCCCCTGAGCAAGGGTCCATGTGTATAAGGAGGCTGGAGGGGGCAGGGCCTTGCTATGCAGGACCTTATGGGCTGTGCAAGGATGATGGTCTTGATCCTGAGAGCCAGGGATCCACTGAAAGGCCTTCAGCAGAAAGATGTGGGATTGACTTTGTCTTCTGCAAGCCTGCTTTGGCTGCAGTGAAGGGAAAGCTCACTGCTCTCTTCTGCTTCTTCCAGTCTGGACACAGAACCAGTGGTGCCACTGTTCTTGATCTGGGTCCAATTCTGCATTATCCTTGTCCCCTCTCTCTAAGATGCTTCAGCTGCAGTTTTTATTTTTGGAGGCTCTTGTAGACAAGCCCAGTTCTTCACTTACCCTTGCTGGAAATACGACCCTGTTCTACTGAGAAGGTCATTTACTTAGTCCAGGCTCGTAGTTTCTGGAGGTACCAAGTGTGGTACTGGAGTAGCCAGCTAGCTGATTGGTCAGGGTGACTGGGGCTGATACATGGTCCTTTCAGGTCCCCCTGCTATTGGAGGCAGTGTGGTGATGTGAAAGGAGTTTGGGTTTCGGACACTGGGGTTTAAATTTCCCCTCGGCCACTTAGTAGTTGTGTCACTGGGGCAGGTGACGTGCCATGCAGGAGACCCAAGTATGAGCTTCAGAAGCTTTTGAAATGGATCATACATGATATGCAAAAAGGCAGGCCTTGCATACACCTATTGTTTCATAAAGGTTGAGCAGCTGCACTGCTGCCAATGTGATGAGGCTTACCAAGGGCCTCGCTTGTCATGGTGCAGGAGTGGGAGGCTGCAGGGACTGGCCCAGCTACAGAAGATGGCCCCTGAAAACCACCCAGCAGGAGCTGCAGTGCCCCAGCAGTTCTGCTCTGAAAATTCAAGTCTCATAAAGGCTTGAGCATGGAAGAAGCTTCCTGGCAGGGGCAATTCTCCACACCGAGTTTTGGAGGGAGCTGTCCAGCCGTGACAGGAACCTGGCTGGTGGTTGTGGCTGGGGGTGTGGTCTAGGGAGCAGGACAAAAGCTGGGCCTGGTGTCTCCTCTGAGCCTAGGCTGTAGTCCAACAGGGGTGGGAGGACACAGCAGGCAAGTGCAGTGCACAAGCCCCTCCTGCTCCTCTGGCTGGAGCAGAAGGACAGGAGCAGGCTGGAAATTCTGACACTCTTGGGCCCCTGGGGGGTGAAGGGTGTTTTAATCCCCAGTACGTGTCCGAGTTTGAGCAGGATGGTGGATTCCAGGCCACTGCCGGCCGGTGGGGTCAAGGCTGCCGGTCCTCTGCCAGCAGAGCTGTGGGTGGACTCCATGTCCAGGCTGGGAGAGGCAGGGGAAGATGGGGTGTGGGAGTGATGGGAGCCCTGATTTATGACTGCCTTTGCTGGTTTGTCCACTCTGAGACACTGGCCACACTGGGAATGTGTTGTGGGGGCTGCTCTGCTCTTGGGGTGGCAGCTAAGTGTACAAGCGTGGGGAGCAGGGGCTACATGGCTGTGTTCACACAGGGTCTCACCCTGGGCTGGATGTGATTGAGATCTTCATGTTTCTGGATGATACTGGGGGAGAGAAAGTGACCGCTGTCTTCTCCACCTTCCTTGAACCTGAATCCACAAACCCGAGGCAGGGGGTTTGCTTTCTACAAAGCTGCCCTTCAATAAGTAAAAGTGTGTCTGTGAATGCCCCTTCTAGAACCAAGGGTCCATTTTCTTCCCCACATAAAAGGAAATGAAATGTGCAGGGCTCTAATAAAACATGAAAGGCTTAGGTGTAAGCCGGGAAGCAGGGCTTTGAATGGGATTCGGTGGTCTCAGCTGCTTGGAGGTGTATCTATTATATGTCAAGCAATTAGAAACAGGTTTCTATTAACTGGCTGACTTTGTTTGCAGCTACCAGTGAAATGGACCGCTCTCCCAGTGGCATCTGCCAACCCTTGCACACCTTGGAATCAGTTACAGGTGTTCAGGGTTGTAGGTCTTATATCTATATGTTGAATATGCACATGGTTTTTGCAAAGGCACTGGGACCTTAGTTATAATACTGATACCAGATTGATTGATTTATTCATTCATTTATTCAGCCATGCATGTTCATAAATACCGCATGACCATGTGTGTGCAAATGACATCAAGTAATTCAATAATAGGAGGAAGTAGATAATAATTGTCACCTGTGTGGAACTGATAACTGCCATGGGAGTTTGAAACTGGAGGATTGTTTCTGGGGGGGCGCCATGGAGAAGGAGGATGGAGCTGGATGTTGGGGCTGAGTGAGATGGAGTGAGGCAGGTGGGTCAGAAAATGGCATGAGCCAAAGGGCAGACACAGTCTAGCGGGGACCATGAGGAGGCTGATCTGGCTGAAGGGACAAATGAGGGAGGGTGAGAGAAGGCAGTTTCCATGGGAGGCTGTGGAGGAAGAGCAAATCCAGAGATCCTAATACCTCCTGCTCTCTTCTTATGTTACTGCCACACCCTATTGTGCATGGCCTGACAATGGTTTCTGGCTGGCCTCACTGAAACCAGCCCTGGGGTCACACATGGGAGTGCGCAGTCCCCAAGCTAAGCCTCTGAAGCATATCCCAGGATCCTCCACACTGGTGCATTTGGAAGTCTGTTGAGGAGTCTGC
Organism: Homo sapiens; assembly: GCF_000001405.40. Classification (NCBI taxonomy): domain Eukaryota; kingdom Metazoa; phylum Chordata; class Mammalia; order Primates; family Hominidae; genus Homo; species Homo sapiens. Next base: position 47,723,139 of record NC_000018.10, on the reverse strand, counting down.
AGGTGGCTGGAGCTCTAGAATCCTCGGTCCACCCCTGAAGAGCTAGGGCAGGGCCTGGTTGCTGAATGTCAGCTCAGCCTAGGAGGAGCTTCTCCATAGCAGAGTGGGTGTGTTTTTTGGTGTGCCCAGGTAGGAACTGGGAGATCCTCTCTTGTGTGGAGGCACTTGTCACGCTGGCTGGACAGTGAGACTAGAGGAAAATCTGGGTTTTCCTTGACTTTCCTGCCAGTGCCTTTGTCTTGTAGAAGAAGCACCATGAAAGGTGCTTGAATGCCAAGCAAAGGGAGGGAAGTTCTGGCAGAGACTGAGAACAGGGTTGCCCTATGCAGCTGCACAGGTTGTCTACTGCACAACCCCAGCAATGCCTTTCATGTAGAACAGAGCCCGTGGGGCTGTGCAGGATGTAATCCCAGCATCCTTGCATGGCAGCCCTGGCCTGGGCGAGGAAGGCTCAACTGGTGGAAGAAGAAATGCCCCTTTAAGAGCATACAGGCCCAAGGGGTAAACTCACCAGCTGTTCAGACACAACTCTCCCTCTTTAGGTTCCCCTTAATGGCATTTGGCATCCCATGGGTCATGGCCAGTCTGTTTCCAAGTTTTACTGAAAGAAAACTTGTGGCTTTGACTGGGATTATCTCTGAAACCCTTCCTCTACCTGCAGAGGTGTGATATCTGGCCTGGCCTGGGGAAGAGACAGTGATGGGGTTTGGGGGAACAGCAGATGGCCCAGCAAACTAGACAGTTAATCCAACCAAATTATGGCAACAGATGTTTGAAGATGTTTGCATTCAAATTCAAACTGTTAGGCCTCTTGGAAGAGCCAACCAGAATGGGGAAGTTTGATCTCCTTCTTAATTAAAGCAAAACAAAACTAAACAATAATTTTTAAAAACCAAGCCCTGATACCAAGTTGTCAGAGATCATCCACCAGCAATGGTGGAGACTCTGGCTGCCTGCCTGGGGGTTGGGGTCCCGCCCTCAGAAGAGAAGCTTGCTGCAGGAGGGGGACGTCGGAGGAGGGTGGTCAGCGGCCCGGCAGGTGGGGTGAAGGATTGGAGGACGGTAATGATGTGCGGCCGGGAATGCCCACCAGCAATGGCCGGCCCTGCATTGCTCGTTCAGCGTGGGGGACGCGCATCTCGAAGAGGGAGCATTATTGATGCTCTTGCCTCGGGGAGGGAGAGCCGATAATGGATGGTGGAAGGGGGATAAGCTTTGTCATCAAACAAGGGGCCTGAAAGATGGTCTGCTGGAATGTTATCAGTCATGCCTTGATCAAGATGTAAGACTCTCAAGGTCTTCTGTCTCCTCTCTCCTCCCTTCCTGCTGCTCCCCTCTGCTGTCCTTCCTCTTGCCCCTCCCCGAGCTCTCCGTCCTCATCTGCCAGGCCCCACACTCTCCTCTTCCTCCTCTCCCACCTCTTCTTTTCATCCTCTTTCCTTCCTTTTATTCTGTCTCTTCCTTGTCTTTCTCCTTTTCTCACTTTTCTCTCCCTCCCTCTCTCTCTCCCTCCCTCCCTTCCTTTTTCTCTCCTCTTCCCTTCCTTCTTTCCTTCCCTCCATCCTCCCTGTCTTCCTCCCTGTCTTCCTCCCTGTCCTCCTCTCTACCTCCTTCCTTCGCTTTTCCTTCTCTCTTTCTTTGTCTCTTTTACCCTTTTTTTCTCCTTCCCTGTTTTTCCTTTATTTTCGTCTCTTCTTTCTTCCTCTTCATCTCCTCCTCCTATTCTCCCTCATCACTCTCCTTTTGTCTTGTATTTTCTCTAATCCAGGGTCCATCTCCTTATCACTTCCCGGGCCTAGGCTGGCCCATGCGTTGCCTGGGTAAGATTTTTATTTCAAACCAAACTACTAAGTGATGCTTTTATTCTCAGTAGTTACTACCTGCTCTCCTGCCTCTCCCCTCCCCCATCGATGTTACTAAAAGTGATCTTTGAAGTGATGATATGAGTCTAGGAATTCAAACAAATCTTTTCTATTCTCAGCTTCCAGCAGCTCTGGGCCTTGGGGATGACCCAAACCAAGGCCTCTTTACAGGCCCTGCTGGTCTGGGCCTGGCTTCCAGCTGTGGAGGTCACTGCGTCCAGAGCCACTGCTGTCAACTGCCCCAGACTTGAGTGCTCCTCAAATAACAAAGGCATGGGGAGCTGCTGCCATCCCCTTCCATCCAGACCAGGGCTTGTCTGAGTAAAACCAGGACACCATTAGGTTTGTCCAGAGGCCTCCTTCTCCCTGGGCTCACCTTTCTGTGCACACTGCCCCTCATATTCAGTGCCCTCCTTTGGCCAGCAAGCGTCAGGTGACATTAGTCTCTTTCACCCGATGCTTTCATCTTGATGCTCACCCACTCTGAGGAAGGAGTGCATGATGACAGCCCAGTGTTGGGATGAAGCTGCCATGCTGGGATTTTAGGTGTCTTTGAGCAGGTGTGAAAGGTATTATTTGAGTCAAGAGATCTTCTTTGTGCCCCTAAAATCACAAAATGTAGAAGACTCTGTCTATATGTGGGGCTGATATTTTTGTGTTTGCAGATTAGACATAGCAGTACTTTTCCAACCTTAAGGCAAAGAACCGATCCCAGTCCAATTCTTAAGAAGCATGGAAAGGGCCAGGGACTGTGCCAGGTGCAGTGTCCCTGTCAGCATTTCCTTGAGGGTCCTCATATCTTAGAAGCATGCTCTCTGGGTCTCAGTCCCCACTGCTGGCTATGTGTATTGAGTGCTGATTCTGACCGGTGCTGTGCTAAGTGCCTCACATACAGGATCTCATGTAATCCTCATGTTTCTCATGTAAATGATATCAACCTCATTTTACCGATAAGGAGACTGAGGTCTGACAATGTTCAGCAACTTCCCCAAACCCATCTACCTTATTTCAATGACACAGCTGGGATTTCACCCCAGATCAGATTGACTCAAAAGGCCGTATCTTAACACTCCCCCTGGCTTGGAAGAGAGCCCTGCCTTCATGATAGGGGTGACACTGTAATGGAGGGAACAATGCCAGGCTGTGGAGAAGCCATGTTGGGGCAAGTGGGTCTCTTCAGCACTGTTTTTGTGGGGGCGTGCTGGAGCTGGCTCCATGGCACTCTTTAATCCATTAGTAACTTGAAATTGGCCACAGTGAGGGTATTTACACCATGGAAATTGGCAAACACTCCTATTCAGGGCTTCTCCCCTAGGAGCTGGTTGTTAAATATTTACACACCACTGATCCTGATCCATGCATGGGTGAAGTTTGGGTGGCTGCCTGGATCCATGTCCCAGCCTTTGCAAGGTGGGGAGTGGGAGAGTTGGAGTGGCCCATCAGTTCAGGAAATTCACTCTTTGGGAGAGGGCAGCAGGAGCCTGGTGTGGAAATGGAGTTGGAGAGGTGGTAGGGAGGGCCCAGGGAACTGGCTTCCAGAAAGAACAGGTGCATTAGCATTCCCCATGGAGCCACAAGGATGGCTAATGCCTGTACCTAATGCCTGATGGAGCAGCCGCCTAGGCCTCCTGGCCCTGGCTTACGTAGGTAGGATGAGAAGGAGCCAGGGGTATTGGTGATTACAAAATCAATGTGGACATGAGGGGGTAGGAGGTGGGTCAGATTAGCCAGAGGAGCTAAGGGAGGGACCAGGCTGGCCCCTTGCCCACCACCTCTCTACATCTGACCTTTCTGACTTTGAGCTGGCAAGTGCTGAGGTTGTATGGGCACCTGGTCTGCACTGTGCCCTGTGTGGAAAAGTGGTGCCTGGGAGCCCTCCTTCAAAAGGCACACCTACATGGACTTGGGTTGAGAGTGAGCACAGGGTGGTGTCTCATTGGGTGCAGGCTGTGTGGCCAGCAGGGGGAGGTGGCTGAGGGCTGGAGTCGGGCACCTGCCAGACCACTTCAACGGCCTCCTTCCCCTGAAATGCCCCAGCCCATGGCCCAGTCGTGTGGCCTTCCTCTGAACTTCCACAGCATCCCCCCATCCTTCCCTAAAAACTTGCCGGTTACTCACTGCTCCTCCCACTGTGACGAAAGTCCTAGGGTTTACTCCCTGTGTCCCCAGGTCCTGCTGCTGCACATCCTCATTGCCTAATGAGTACCTGGTGAGGAATGCTGAGCAGAGGAAGCAAGATGTGGATGAGGAGTGGTAGGGGGGCAGTGTGGCTCAGTGAGGTACCAAGGAGGGGTGAGCCTCTCCTGCAGGCCGTGAGGGAGGAGATGGCTGAGGCTGGGATGGTGTAGGAGGTGGGTGGGGAAAGGGAATGGCAGGTCCAGGCAGGAGAATTCCCTGCTCCCCAGTGAAAAAGACCTGACATCAGGGTGGGAGCAAGACTTCCTGGTCAGAGAGGTGGGTCTGGCTTGGAGTACAAAGCTGTGACTTTACTGCAGGGGGCCCTGGAACCTGCAGGCTCTTCTCAGGCCACCAGCCACATGTGGGCCACAAGACATCTCTGCAGCAGATGGAATAGTGGTCCCCCAGAGATGTCCATGCCCAAATCCCCAGGATCTGTGAATACTTTGCCTTCTATTGCAAAAGAGATTTTGCAGCTATGATAAAGTCAAGAGTCTTGAGATAAGATGTTTTTCTGGATTATCTGGGTCAGCCTGATGCAATCACAGGGTTCTTATAAGAGCGGGGCAGAAAGTCCAGGGTCCAAGAAGAAGGCAATGCCATGATGGAAGCAGGAATTGGAGTGGTTTGGCAGGAGCCAGGGAATGCTGGCAGCCTCTCGCAGCTGGAAGAGATTCTCCCCCATGCCCCCAGAAGGAACCAGCCCAGCCAGCACTTTGATATTAGCTCCTTAATACTCACAGGGGACTTCTGACATCTAAACTGGGAGAGAATACATTCTTGCTGTTTTAAGCCACTAGGTTTGTGGTGATTTGTTGCAGCAGCAACAGGGCACTACTACAATCACAAAGATCAGGTGAGAGCAGCACAATGCTGTGTGGTGCAGCAGGTGGACCTACTCCATCCCAACTCTAAGCCATTGGCTCAGGCCCTTCCTCTTTGTCTCCCACCACTTGGGCTCCTCTGCACTTTCGTGGACCTGCAGAACTCTCACCCACCTCAGGGACTTGCTGTTGCCTGGAACACCTCTTGTTTGACTATTTGCACATCTGGCTCCTTCTCAATCTTCAGTCCTTGCCTAAATGTCATTTCTAAGTGACATTCCCATCGTTCTCTGCCTTAGCACCCTATTTACACACACACACACACACACACACACACAATTTATCTGCTCGTGGTTCATTGTCCATTTCCTTGTCATTAGCGTGCAAGTCCCTTGAAAGCAGCATGTTCTCATCATGCTACCCCTGACTCCACTTTATCTTTCTTTATAGCCCATACACCCTCAACCTTATGCATGGATCACCTCCTTTTCTCACTAGCCTGTGAGCTCCAGCAGGCAGGGGCTTAGTGTTTGCTCATCACGATGGCCTGGCACAGTGCCTGGCACAGAGCAGGTGCTCATGCATGTCATTGGATGGATGATGGATAGATGGATGCTCTCAGAAAATGTCCTGAGAGCTATTGGTGACACCTGAGTATGGATGTCAGGGCTTGGGTTCTCTTTCAGGGGAAGTTGTACCTCCACTCTCCCGACACATCCAACGTCTTGAGCAGTTTCCTGGGGCCAGGTCCTCCCAACAAGCCAAACATGTGGGCATCATTATCTCTGTTTTACAGGATAAGGAAGCTGAGGTGTGGTGAGATGGGAGATTTGTTCAAGGTCACACAGTTGGAGGGCAGTAGGAGCTAGTTTCAGACCAAAAGGCAGCTACTGCCCTAGGCCACAGGCCTCAGGGTCAGAAAGCTAGGCCCATAGGAAAGGGATTTTAAACATCCTAGGACAGGATGATGGGGGGATCTCTGGGGTTTCTCAGGGGCCTTCGTAATCATACCTAGAGAGTTCCATCTTTTGAGGAGCTCTCCAAGCCTATGTCCAGAATCCAACATGCTCAGAAAGACTCCTTTACACACCTGCCCCTTCCCCCTGCAGCTGATCCATCATGTGCCTTAATTTGGAAGCCCCCCCGGACAAAGGGCTGGTGAATTCACTTCTATAACCCCTTTCCAGCACCTTGGTCAAACGGCTGTGTGGTTTTATGGTTTGATAAGCCATAAAACACCCTTGGTACAGCACATCTTTTATTGACTCTTCAAATTGCCTGTTGTCATCGAAGGTGGGGGATCATAAAATGCCAGCCTTATTAGTTTTCCTGCAGTGGAAGCTGCTCAGAGAGAGGTGTGGGTGTCAGCTGGGAAAAAAGGAGGCAGAGATCCCCACTCTCCACCCTCCCAGACTCAAGGAACACCTTCTGAGTGTGGGGTTAGAGACGGCTGGGTCTGTCTTCATCTTCCCATCTCGGCTGCTCAGTGAGGACAGGTGGCCAGACCCTTCAGGCCCCGAGTTCTCTGGGCTCTTTCTCTGAAAGGAAGAATGACAGAAATCACCCAATACACCCCCTTCTTTAGAGACTGGAGACAGGGGGTCAAACCAAGCATTTTGCCCAGGAACCCCCAGTGAGGAGATGGCAAAGGCAAGACTAGAACTCAGGTTTCCTCACTCCTAGGGCTTTTTTTTTTTTTTTTTTTTTTCTGGAAAGGCAGAACAACATATTAGCTAAGTCTAGAGGCTCTGGAGCCATACAGCCTGGCTTTGAAGGTTCGCTCTGCCACTCAAGAGCTGTGCAACTTCAGGTGAGTTACTCAGCTTTTCTGTGCTGCAGTTTCCTCATCTGAAAATGTCAAGTAATAATAATACCTACCTCCTGGGTTACTGTGAGCAGTAAGTGAAGTAATACATTCAAAGTGCGTGGAAGAGTGCCTGGTTCATATAGCTCACACTGGAAGGGCTAGAAAATATTTGTTGAGTGAACAAATAAATGAATGATCAAATGATTGAATGGTCAAGTGTGAGCTGAACCCTACAGCCTGATCAGGAGTAGGAACTGGCCTTTCAAAGATCTGGACCCTTCCAATATTCAGATCTGTTACTTACTCTCCCAGGCCTGAGTTTCTTCCTCTATATAATGGAGACCCACGGTCTGAGTCCCTGGACTTGCTCAATTCCAGCCCCCTACTGTGGCCTTACCTCTTGTCTTCTCCTTCCCATCACCTGTTCTCTCAACTCCCTCCTTGTCATCAGTTTTCCATTCTGTGCTAGCTCATGTGCAAGCCTCCCCTACCCAAAAGCAAAAAGCCCCTCCCTTAGCTCCAGTGCCCTGCAGTTCCTGCCTGATCTCTTCCCTTCTCTCCCATCCCACACTTCCTACTTCCTCTCCGCAACTTCCGTCCACTTCTGAACCATGCACTCTCCTCAGCTGTGCCTGCCCACAGCCATGGTTCAGTTCTCCAGTGACCTTCTCCCCCCCACTGTCAAGCCAATGAGCTTCTTCAGCTCAAATATATGGGGCCTTTCTTCACTGGACGCCATTGGCTCCAACTCTGCCTGGAAACCTTCCTTTGCCTTAAAGATCTGGTTTGGTGCCTCTTCTAACAGATATTCTTTAGACATTTGGATGACATTCATTAAGAGAAGGGGACTGAGTGGCTTGTGGGGGAAATGGGGGATGGAGGAAGGTCCTGGTGTGTTTCTCTGTGGATGCTCTGCTCTGGCCCCAGATTTTCAGACCCCACTCAGGTGCAGAGTCCCAGCAGTAACCAGCCCCACCAGCCTACAGTCAGCTTTGAGATCTGCTGTTGCTTCTCTAGGTTGGCCTCCTGTGGCTCCCAGCCCTCTCTAAGCATGCCTCTCCTAAAAAACTTGTTCTCATCTCTTTCATGTCAGTGATATTTTAGTGACCTGTGACCTAGTGGTTTGTCTCCTGCAGATGCCTGGCTGTTGACCCCACCCTGGAATCCTTGGTCTCTGTTATCTCACATGCTCTAGGCTTTTCCTAAACTTTTGGGACTGCCATTGCCATGTTCCTTGGTGAGTCTCTCTCCTTCTATCCGGTCCTTAACTGTTGGGGAATTCTCCGTATTTGACCACCTGCTCTTCTCATGCTATGACTCTCCAGGGATCTCAGCCACTCCCATGTGTCAACTCACACAGTGTACTGATGATACCCCATATGACTATCTCCAGCCCAGACCTCTGCTCAGACTCAGTTGTCCAACTTTCTGCCTGCAATCTTCACCAGATGTCTTGGATTCTTCAAACTCTATGCATACAACCGTATTCCCCAACCTGCTCTTCCTCTTGATGTCTCTCCAGCTAGCCAGAGGGTGGGGGCTCCTCCCTCAGCTCCACTGCTCCCATCAAGCTTTCATCAAGTTTTTCTTACTCCATAGCTAAGTAATGGTGATAGCTGACATATATTGGGCACTTGGTGTACATCAAGTACTTCTCTAAGCTCCCTGAAGACTTCGACTCCCATAATCTGGACAACACCCTTACAAAGTAGGGAACGTTAGTAGCATCCCCATTTCGCAGACAAGAAAGCTGAGGCCTGGAGCCACATAGGTAGGAAATAGCAGAACCAGGACATGAACCAGGTGCTCTGGTTTCAGAGTGTATGTGGTTATTTGCCACCCTCTCACCTGTCCAATAATCTCTCCAACTCACTCTTTTCATTCTGACCTACACTGTCACTTGCTTGGACTACAGTCTCTATGGAGTTCCCTGTTTCCACTGGGTCTTCCTCAAGGCCACTGCTGAGCAGCCACCATAGCAATCTATTAAAAATGCTCATCTACAAGTCTCCTCCACTGACAATGCCAAAATGCATTGCCACCTGACGTATTATGTATTTTGTATTTATTAGTGTATGTGTTTTAATATACTTTCTCTATCTATTAGAATGAAGGTTCCGGGAGGGCAGGCACTATCTGTTTTGGGCACTGCTGTATCCATCCCTGACATCAGGTATCTGACCCCTGCCTTCTACCTCAAGCTCAGCTCTCACCACTCCCTGCCTAGAAAGCCAAGCTCCAGCCAGTGGTCCCCCAATGTCATGGTGCTTCTCTTCTTCCTGGCTTGCTCCTGTACTGCTCCCTCTGCCTGGAAAACCCCATCCCTTATGACTGGGAAATTATAGTCTATATTTTAAGACTTAGCCCAGGTGTCTCCTCCTCTGAGAAGCCTTCCTGAGACTCCCTGTCTAGGGTATTCTCTTTCTTTGTTTCCTGCAGTCTGTCATAGCTCTCTCATGTCTCCAACACCCCTCCATACTGTGAGAGTGTTTTTTTTTTTTTTTTGAAACAGGATGTTGCTCTGATGCCCAGGCTGGAGGGCAGTGATGCCATTGTGGCTCACTGCAGCCTCTAACTCCTGGGCTCAAGTGATCCTCCCAGTTCAGCCTCCTGAGTAGCTGGGACTACAGGCACACACCACCACACTTGACTAATTTTTAAATTTTCGTGTAGAGACATGGGTCTCTGTTTGTTGCACAGACTGGTTTCAAACTTCTGGCCTTAAGCAATCCTCCTGCCTCAGTCTCTCTAAGTGCTGGGATTACAGGCATGAGCCATGGCACCTGGCCTCAGACTGAGTTCTTTTTTTTTTTTTTTTTTTTTGAGATGGATTTTCACTCTTGTCACCCAGGCTAGTGTGCAATGGCGAGATCTCGGCTTACTGCAACCTTCACCTCTCTGGTTCAAGTGATTCTCCTGTTTCAGCCTCCTGCATAGCTAGGATTACAGGTGCCTGCTAGCACACCTGGCTAATTTTTGTATTTTTAGTAGAGACGGGGTTTCACCATGTGGGCCAGGCTGGTCTCAAACTCCTGACCTCAGGTGATCCGCCTGCCTCAGCTTCCCAAAGTGCTGGGATTACAGGTGTGAGCCACTGCACCCGTCCCAGACTGAATTCTTTAAGGGAAGGCCTTTTGTCTTATTTATCTTGGTAACACAGTAGGTGCTCAAAGTTTGTCTCATGACAAACAGAGGCAACAAGTGCCTGGGGATGAGACTACCTACCAGGAAATACATAATCTAAGATGGGGAGGCTACCTTTAGAAACCATGGAAACAAAGCTTACATAGGATACAGACACTAGCACTCACACAGACATTGTGAAGACAGGGGCTGAGCAGGACATGAAAGGTGCTCAGTAAATATGGAGTGAGTGAATGAATGAATGGTGATGGGCTGGGTACAGCTCACTAGGGACTGTCTTCTGAAGGAGGAAATGTTGGTTGGTTCTAAGGGAGGAATGGAGCAAAGCTTATAAGAGTGGGAAAATGAGGCAGTCCAGGTCTCTCACATTTTCCCTTACAGCAATAATGGAGACTTCAACTTTCATTTGTGGCTGCCTTTTGTCTTGTTCAGTGCCTCAGTTTTCCTGAGCTGCAGAGTGGAAGCTCTTAGACCCGGTCCATGTTTAGTGAGGTTGCTGTAGAGTTGAAATAGGGAGAATGGCTGGCAGTCTGGAGTGGTGACAAGATGTCAGGCTAGTGTCTTAGATGCTATTCTTCCAGCACAGTGATGACCCAGTGGGCACTGGACACCATGGCGGGCCAAACTGACAAAGCTCAGTAGCATGCAGGCTTCAGCAGTCCTGTCCTCAGCAAGGTTGTTGGGCCAGGGAATATGTCCAAAACACCTCCTGCCCCCTCCTGTGCTCTTCCACAGCCCATCCAGGTCATCTGAGAGCTGCGACCCCAGCCAGGCTGTCATCTGGGTAGCAGTGAACAGGATGCAGAGGGGTGGAGATGGCTCCCTTCTGACCAAGACTAGACCGTGGTGGCCGCTGCCCCTTAGTGCTACATGGAGAGGGGACATTTTCCAAAAGGACTTTAAAAGCATCTTTGACATTTGAGTATTCCATCTTTGAGGGTATTCAAAGCTCCTTCCTTCCTAAGGTTCTTTGGGTCTCGAAGGTACAAAATCAGAAACTGATGACATTTCACTGCCCCTTGGGGCTGTGGCTTATGAACGTAAGAAATCTCTGTCTCCTGTTTGAATGGAAGAGCTTTACAATGAACTAGCCAGGCTGAAAAGTCTTCTTCCTCCGTCCAGAGCTTCATACCTAGGGATTTGGGAAGGAACCATGATGGGTTTTAGAAGACCTGTAAACCTTCTGAATCCATGTGATACTTTGTGTTTGTGGGCATTTGTGCACACGTGCAATAGTCTTGCCCAACAAGCAAAGAGTTTCTGTGGCCAAAGCAACAACAGAGAGTATGAGAACTGTCATTTTAAGCCTAACAGAGCACTTGTATGTGGCAGGTACTGCTGCTCACCAGGATCTCACAGTTCAGAGGAGGTGATGCCCCTAAGACATGGTTAATGGTGTAAAGTTATGGGCTGGAGAAGGCCACTAACAGGAAAGACCTGTGGCCTGGGGACCTGGGGAAGGCAGAGGTAGGAACCTGAAGGATGGGCAGAAGTCATCTATTTGGGGGCAATTACTCTACCAGGTAAGGTAGTGAGCCAAGACCAGGAGGTGAGAATGTATAAGCCACACTGTGGAGAATGGGTTGTGAGATTTAGGCAGCACTCATTTCAACTGCTGGTCTGTAAGGGGCTGTGGGAGGCTTTGTTTAAGCTTCTCCCTCAACATCCCTTCCCTGATCAGTTACAATGAAGCCCCACCAGACTCACTGTTTAAACCAGGCTGTGGGTGGTGGCAGAGAACACACCGAGGCCTTGGAAGCCTCTGTTTCATTCACTGCCTTCACTTGTTTAACTGACCCCACAAGTTCCCCATGACCTTCTTCCCCTCCCTTAGTCCACTCCTTGCTATCCCAGAGTATTAAAAGGATTTCAGAATGCCGAATGATTATTGATATCCTAATGAGTCTGTCCAATGGCCATTAGCCTGCAGACTACTTGGATATTTTTAAACTACTAAAATCAAATCTTACAACATCCATTATGCCCTGGATGGTGCATTGCTGTTGAGGCCCTAACATGCATAAACGCAACTGAGCCTGCATTATCAAACATTTAAGCCCTTAAAAATTGCCCAACCTCTAAAATCTCCTCTTAGGACCCCGTTCTGGCATTGCTTGGGCAGACACTAATCCCCATTAAGACCTCTCCACCTATTCGCTGCTCAGGGCCTGGGGTCTGCTTTAGACAGAAGCAACAGCTTTTAGGCACATTAAAGGATCAGGCTGGAGCAAAGATGATCTTCTTCTCTCTTTGAGGGGAGGCGGGCTGAGGGGGCAAACCAACCAATCACTTTTGAGGATAAGAACACTATTGAAAATAATTCTGAATATGTCTGTATGTATTTGAGGTGGGGTTGGGGGCGGGGTGTATTACAGAGCTATTGTGCCCAGGTCCAGGTGGTTGCTTCTCTAGCCCATGAAGAAGCTGGGAGATCTTCATGGAAAGCAGACAGGGTTTAGTCTAAGCAAGTTTGACCTCAGTGCCACCTAGGCCCTCTTCCCTTTGGTTAGTGAGCTGTCCACTTTGTAGGGGGAGCTGTTCTATAGTTCCTACCTGGGCCATAAAATAGCAACACCCACCATTTGGGAAGTATGGGGGGAAGGATCTCAGTGTGTGGGGCTGCTCTAGCTTGTGGCTCTGCTACTTCCTTGATGGGGCAGTCTAACCTGTTCCTCCATGTGGTGAATTTCTAGAGGCAGGCTCTGCTGCTGTGGGGGAGAGGCTATGTGTCTAATTCAGGAGTTAAGTATCAGGAAGCTCAAACCGTATTTCCCAAGGCAGCTTTATCAATACAGCTGTTACTTTGGCTTCCCTCTGTCTGACTCTTGCGTCTTATTTCTCAGTCAATTCAGAAATTGATGGGACAAATTGGGTATTTCCTATTGACTTTCTGACCTTGCAGTACCTTCCTAGGGCCCAACACCCTCTAGCTGCCTACTGAACAGCCTCTCATGTCTTCCCTTGAGTACTGACTGCATCATGATACAACTCTTCTTATACCTTCAAAAACCCCACCCGTCATCAGCCCCTTTCCCTAGATGCTAAAATCACAGCTAAGCTGACAAAGTGACTCCACTTTAGCCCTGTATTGGCTCCACCTCTGATGCTCATGTGGCTTTGAGCTAGCAATTTAATATTTAACTTATCCAAGCCTCATTTTTTTTTGTTCTTTTAGGGTTATAGTGAAGATAATCCACAAAAAGCACCTGGCACATAGTAGAGATTCAATAAATGTCGATTTCCTTCCTTTCTCCTCTCTTTACTAACTAGGTGACTTTGAGAAATGACATAGGCACTCTGAGTCTCAGTTACCATCTCTGTAGTCAGTAATGTTGAGATGAAGCAATGTTCACTGTACTGGTGATGGTTTTGAGATGATGGGATGGCAGAAGTCTGAGCTGCAGCAGACAGATGAGGCCAGGGAGTTCATTCAAGGCCACAGGGCCAATGGGACTGAGGTTGGGCTCAACCCCAGGTGTCCTGACTGCATTCTGCAATCTCACCTTTGCTTCCCTTCTGACACTAACTGTGAGGTTCAAGACAGGACACCTGGGAAGCCCAGCTCAGACGTGCTTGGCTCAGGACCGAGTTCTGCCCGCTCCTGGCTGGGGCCCAGACTTCCTGTCTGATGCCCCTGACTTCAATTTCTCCCTTCTCTTTGACACTCAGTCCCCTAGAAGGAGTGCTCTCTCGCCCTTGCTGCCTGATTGGTTAGAATTAATCTTTTCCACTGGGACCTCACTCTATGACTGATTCTCCCTGCAAGTTCTAGAGCCCTGAGTCCACATGACTGATGATAACTGCTGTTCCTCTGACTCCTCCATCCAGAGTTCCGCAGTCTCCTTCTCCTCTTTTCCGCCTGTCGAGTCTTTATACTGTGAAAGTCCTGACATAAAACTCTTGGTGTATCTTTGTTCATCTATAGACTTTCCTGTTCCTCTTCATCACTGTAGGGAGAGGAGGACTTCTTTGGTTGCTGATTTGAAATCCTTTTCAGGCCTGAAATGCAGACTTTTCTGCCCTTTCTTTTCCTGCTGCAACACTGAGTCATTTGCAGAGGGAGGATAGCAGCAGAGGAGGAAAGAAAGCAAGCAGGAGTTGAAAGTCCTGTCGTCTTGTCTACAGATACCCCGGATTTAGATAACCTGGGACGTGGGTAATTTGAAAGCGACAAATCTGCCTTTTGGAAGTGGGAAGTTGGCAGGGTGGAGTCCCTCTTCCTGTGGCTCTAGAATCCCACAGTTCTGTCCATTGCTACTCTGGACAGATGGGAGGCTGGGTACTCACTATTCTTATCTCAGTCAAGCCTGTCTGTTTGGTACATGCAAAACCCCTTTGATTTGCTCTTATCTAGACTAAGGGCAGGGGAGGGATTGGGGGCTAGATAAAGCAAAATCTGTGCTTGGTGGGAAGCAGCCCCCATGGACCTTAGGGGCAGACACTTTCCAGGGGGCATGGCATGCTCCCTGTCCCAGCTTCCTGCCAAGTTTTTCATCATCATTTTTCATTGCTCAGGCCTCAAGCTGGAGTTAAGCCGGGGCTGATACTCCCCACCACCTAGCAGTGTGACATCTGTGAATGGATTTCTAATTACACATATAAATCAGCATGATTGGAAATTCTTGAAATTTTATTGGGAAGGAAATTTATAGTGATTAAAACCAATTAATTTGGGCCTCCTATTAATCCATGTGGCAGGGTTGATGCTGCCATGCTGCTGTGCCTCCTGAAAGCCATTGGGTGGGGTTGGGCTCAGTCTGGGGGCCACTGGGGGCGTGTGCTCATTTTTCAGGTTACAAATGCTCATCCTATGTTTTAAATTACACCTCTGCCCCCGGCCACATATCTTGTTTTGTGGCTAAAAATAGAGTTCTGGGCTTTCACTAAAGATTCAGAAACACTAAAAGGAATCTTTTTAATCAAAATAAAGAACCCTTTTTAATTACTCAGCCTCTCTCACAGTTGGAGGTAATAATTGTCGAGTGCTCTTAAGTAGGGCTGTTATTAGATTTCCCTAGGGCTCCTCTATTTTCTAGAAGTTTGCAATGCTGGCTGTTGAATGCCAGAGAAGGAGTCAACTCTTGTCTCTTTAAGTCTTTAATGTCAAGGCTTAAAGACCTGGTCACATGTAAACAGGGAGAAAGGGAGTGAGCTATGGCAGATACCAGGTCCACGCGGGGAAGAGCCTCCCAGTGGCTTCACACTGCAGGTGAAATCAAGTTTAGATCCCTCTGTGTTAGGCAGGGTTATCCAGAGAAACACAATGAATAGGATATAGATACATATGTAGGGAGGAATTTATTATAAGGAATTGGTCCATGTGATTATGGAGGCTAAGAAGTCCCACAATGTACTGTATGTAAGTTGGAGGCCCAGAAAAGCAGCTCATGTAGTTCCAGTCCAAATCCGAAGGCCTGAGAGCTGGAAGAGCCAGTGGTGTAAGGTCCCATCTGTGTCTGAAGGCCCAAGAGCCAGGAGTGCCAATGTCCAAGGACAAGAGAAGATGGACAATCCAGCTCAAACAGAGAGGGCAAATTCTTCTTTCCTCTGCCTTTTTGTTCCATTCAAGCCCTCAGTGGATTGGATGATGACCACCCACGCTGGTGAGGGCAGATCTTCTTTACTCAGTCCACTGATTCAAATGCTGCTCTCTTCTGGTAACACCCTCACAGACACACCCAGAAACACACCCAGTATTACCAGCCTCTGGGCATCCCTTAGCCCACCCAAGTTGACACATAAAATTAACCATCACACTTCCTTATTGAATGTCTCCTTTCCAAGACTCTAACCAACATCACCTCCTGTTACATCCAGGCCAGGGGCTTTCCTGGCTTTTGTGTTTTTTGTTTTGTTTTGTTTTGAGACAGGGTCTCACTCTGACACCCAGGCTGGAGTGCACTGGTGTGATCATGGCTCACTGCAGCCTCAACTTCCCAGGCCCAAGTGATTCTTTCTCCTTAGCTTCCTGAGTAGTTGGGACAGGAGCATACCACCATACCCAGCTAAGTTTTGTATTTTTTGTAGAGATGGCATTTCACCACATTGCCCAGGCTGGTCTTGAACTCCTGAGCTCAAGCAATCCGCCTGTCTCGGCCTCCCAAAGTCTTGGGATTACAGGCATGAGCTGCCACACCCAGCCTTTCCTGGCCTTTATTCCTGCCAGCTTACCCTCAGTTCTGTGTAGGTGAGAATGCGCCTGGGTCCATGCCTTGGGGCTGCTGTGAGAAAGTGTCATGAACTGGGTAATGTAAAACAACACAAATGTATTGTCTCAAGTTCTGGAGGCCATTAGTCTGAAATCAAGGTGTTGGTAAGGTCATGCTCTTGCTGAAACCTGTATGAGAGAATTCTTTCAAGTCTTTTCTGGATTCTGGTGTTTGCTGGCAATCCTTGTCATTCTCTAGTTAATAGATACATCACTCTGATCTCTGCTTTTTTCATCACATGGCCATCTTCTCCATCTTCTCATACATCATTATGACCATATACTCTGCTGGGTCAAAGAGGGCCCAGGATTATGTTTCTCTTGGCTGGTGTTGAGATCACATGGATTCTCCATCAGTGCATTAAAATTGTGCTACATGTTATATCACTTCTTATTTGCAGCCTTACTGTCTGGTACAGTTTTCCCTGAAGTTTCTAATTACTGTCTTTCATTTTTATGATAAAACATGGCTTTCTCATATTCTTGACCACTAAAACTATTCTTAATTACACAATCTATGGCAACCTATTTCTCCACTTTACCCCCAGGTTTCCCTCCCAGGAGCTACTCTGACCTGAAAACTGGTCCTCTCAGTTGCTATTCAGCCATCTAGAGCTGGAGGGTTCCAATCCCTGTTCCCTGGACACCACACTTTTTCCTCTCTAGGTTTATTTCACTGTTGTGTTTGAATACAACCTCAAGCTACAACTTTTCATTTTTAAGGAACCTCTTTAGGAAGGATATTTGGGGGGCAGGTGATATAGTTGTGATATGTGTCCCTGCTCAAATCTCATGTTGAATTGTAATCCCCAGTGCTGGAGGCAGGGCCTGGTGGGAGGTGTTTGGGTCATGGGCGTGAATCCCTTATGGCTTGGTGCTGTTTTTTTTTTTTTTTTTTTTTTTTTTTTTTTTTTTTTATTATACTTTAAGTTTTAGGGTATATGTGCACATTGTGCAGGTTAGTTACATATGTATACATGTGCCATGCTGGGGTGCTGCACCCACTAACTCGTCATCTAGCATTAGGTATATCTCCCAGTGCTATCCCTCCCCCCCCCACCCCACAACAGTCCCCAGAGTGTGATATTCCCCTTCCTGTGTCCATGTGATCTCATTGTTCAATTCCCACCCATGAGTGAGAATATGCAGTGTTTGGTTTTTTGTTCTTGCGATAGTTTACTGAGAATGATGATTTCCAATTTCATCCATGTCCCTACAAAGGACATGAAGTGAATTCTTGTGAGATTTGGTCATTTAAAAGTGTATGGCATCTCTCTGTCTCTCTCTCTCCTGCCATGTGATGTGCCTGCTTCCCCCTTGCCTTCCACCATGATTAGAAGCTTCCTGAGGGCAGATGCCCACGTTATACTTTTTGTACAGCCTGCAGAACTGCAAGCCAATGAAACCTCTTTTCTTTATAAATTATCTAGTCCCAGGTGTTTCTTTGTCATAATGTAAGAACGGCCTAACACAGTAGGTTTTCTGAGTCCTTTCTTGTCTGGAAATGTCTTTATTCTGCCCTCACTATGAATTGATAGATGTTTGAGTATAAAACTCTAGATTTGAAATTATTTACCTTCTGAACATTGTCCACCTTGCTCTAATATCTCTCCACATACAGTGGCATTTGAGTCTACTGCTTTTGTTTTCTCTTTTCTGTAAGCTCTCAGAATGTTTTCTTGTCCTGGGTGTTCTGAAATTCCACATATATAAGTAGGTGTCTCTTTTCATTCAGTATTCTGAACAAGGGTGTTCTGTTTCAGTTCTGGAAAATAGTCTTGGATTATTTCTCTGATAATTTTCTCTCCTCCACATTCTGTGTTGTGTTTTTCTGAGATACTTATTAGGCAAATATTGGACCTCCTGGATTAGTCCTCTAAGTCTCTTATTATTTTGTTAATATTTTCTATCTCTGTGTTTCTTTTGAGGAGGGGGAGAATCTACATTCTGAGAAATTTCTTTAATGCGATTTATTTTGTGGCTGGCTTTCTACTTTTTAAAAAAACACAAATGACATTATTTATCTTTGTAAGACATCTTTTCTTTCTTTATTTTTTTAAAAAGTTCTTCCTTTTTTATAGCACTCTGTTCCTGTTAAATAAATACAGTGTTCTCTCAAATTCCCCGATCCTTTTTTAAATTGAAAAAGTTAAAAGCTTTCTGAATCATCTTGATTTTCTCAGGGAACCAGTGTTTTTGCTTTCTTTTCCTTATCCATACTGGTGATCCTTCTTGTTGGCCTGGTGCTTCTGGGCCATCCATTCATATTATAGAGGGAAGATTGGTATGGGATTCCTTTACTGGGCATAGGTCTCTTATTCTCACTCCCAACGTCTCTCCCTTGAGTGGGACATGTGCCTTGGAGCTCCTTGGTATGTCCACTCAGCTGACACACTTTAATTTAAAATGCATGAGATGCAACACATCAATCAGGCCACCCATCTCAGATATGTGCATGTGCGTGCACACACACACACACAGTGGCAGAACAGTTTTACCTTGTGGTCCTTACAAGCATGCCTGAAACCTTGGTAGTCTCCAGTCAGTTCATTCAATGCTTGTAGAAAGGAGCAGCTACTTTTTGTTGGCATAAGGGTTCTTACTGGGCCACCCATTCAGGAGGCAAGATGGAGGTGGTGGGGAATATAGAGAGAAGGGGTGCCAAGTGGTACTCCTTGGTATTTATTTTCTAGGTATAGACTTTCAATCAGTCTCCCAGTTTTCAACCCGAAGTCTCATTCCTGCTGTCACTGTCAGTCTTCCTAGGCCAGCTAGAATTTGCTCCTACAGTCTCTTTATACTATTATGACCTGTAAGTCAACATGCCGCATCCACTTTATGTCTTCTAAAAACCTATTGAACTTTCTCACTTGTCACCCCTGCCTCCACTCATCTTATTTCTTCATTGTTATAGGTTTGCTTCTTTTTATTCTTCTATACTTTAATTTCAGTGAGATTTCAGGTCGGCAGGGAAATAAATATATGTGCTCAGAATGCCATCTTAAATCAGAAGCAAAATATTTTCTTATGTGAATTAACAGAGTAGATGTGTTTCCTGAAAGCAAAAGAGCTTAGTAATTACCAAACCTCTTGCTTTACAGGTGAGAAAACAGAGGCCCAAGTGGGTGAACTGCTGAGGTCACACCTCTGCTTCCCATCTGGAATCCTGGTCTCCTGAGGCAGGGCTACATTGCAAGTGGAGGAAATGATCTGGATAAGAAAAACTTTGAATCAGAAAACAAGTTTGAAGGAAATGTAGTAGGACTATTTTCATCTGTGCCTTAGTTCACCTAAATCTATCTATCCATCTATCTGTCTGTCTGTCTATCTATCTATCTATCTATCTATCTATCTATCTATCTATCTATCTAGGTTAAAACACCTTTAATGAGAGGTAGAAAGACACTAATAGCTCCCCTGTCTGCTCTTGACATTTTACTATGTTAGGAAGCTCTGGAGCCTACAGCTTGAGGAGAAACCGTGATTCAAGTCAGTCAACAGCAAAGCCCTCATTCTGTCCTCCTCAGAACTCCTGTTCCAAATGATCCTATGTTACAAGTAAATACTGCATCTCATTACAAGATGGAGAGGCAGGGAGGACACTACCTGGAGCTGGCCTCCCAAAGCCTGGGACTCTAGGAACAAGACAATAGCAAAGACACAAGCCCCAGCCCATGGATAAACAAAATGGGGAGGACAGAGGCCTTGAAAGAGGAAGATGAGGAAAATACAAGGGCTCAGGGAATAAAGGAGGGAGTTATCTAAAACTAGAAGCATACTAATGCTAGGAAATCCCCTATGATCCCTGGTGCACCTGTGCACACACCTGTGTCACTATTAGCCCAAAGGAATATTTACCAGAATGTGCACATTCACAAGAATTTGAGGTCCTTTCCCTTACATCATGTCCCTTTCTTAGTCACATCAGTACCCAGCAAGCCCAAGCAAATCCATAAAGGGTTCTGATTCTTTGGGGGACCTGCCATGAGGCAAACCTGTAAAAACCAGAATAATGTGGAATAACTACCCATGCATTTCTGCAGGTATATAAAAGCTTTCGGTGTGCTTTAAGGCATTTCATTCTCTTAGCTCACTTAAACTGCCCCATACAATCTTGCTTATATCATTTCCTTAGCACAGTTGAACATAAGGTATCTTATCACCATCCTACCCAGACTTCCAATGGATGAATGTAGACCTGTGTTATTTCAGCCTATTTGTGAAACCCCAAGGTTAGCAAGGCAGGAAGAAGGCCATGGGTTTGCAGAAGTCTAAGACAGACTTCCCACTACAGCCCAAGAGAGCAGGGAAAGCAGAAATGGGGACAGCCTCCCATAAAGAGATGATTTTTCTTTCCATCATCTCCCATTTTAGTGCATTTCAGAAGCCCCCCTTTCCCAATCTCAGCCTCTTTCATCCTGTTGCCCTATAACTGGGATACATTTATTCACCCTGAAGTATTAAGGGCTATTGTCCTACCTTCCCTGCTCCCCCAGGGGATATGCAAGGAAAGTGTAATGTTTCACAGAAATGAGTTGAGGAAGGTGAAAATTTCAGGCCCCAGTGAGGGAGAGAATATGGATGTAGGTGGCTTCCCAAACCATGCATGCTGTATCCCCTGCCAGTGGGCAAAGCCTGTTCTCTTGCATATTTGAGTCTACTCTTGATTTCCCCCTAATTAGATGGTACCTTTCCTACCTCTGCACCCCTGACCAATTAGTAGTACATCTTTCATCAAACTCTTCTTGAATTCAGTCCTCTGGGTACTTGGCTTGGAAGGGTCCAGGAGGATGGGAGCCCTGTGTTCTTTATCCATGTATTCCCTACAGTGTGTGTATGAGAGGAGGAAAGAGCCTGTTCTGAAGCCCTCACTATGCCAGACTTTGTGCTGGGTACTCTATGTATGTTATTTAAACTTCCTGACAAGGAAGTGGATATTTTCCCATTTTCCAGATGATCACACTGAGGTTCAGAGTTAAATAAGTCATCCAAAGTCACAAAGGGCTCAGGATTTAAGTTCATTCTAGCTTCAAAGATAGTGCCTTGCCTTCCCTTGCCTTCCCTCACCTTGCCTTGCCTCATCTTCCTCATCTTACCTCATCTTACCTCGTCTTGCCTCGCCTTGCCACGCCTTGCCTCGCCTTGCCTCACTGTGCTTCACTTTGCTTTGCCTTGCCTCCCCTTCCCTCCCTGTTCCTTCCCTTCCCTTCCCTTCTTTTTTCTTTCTCTTTTCTTTTTTTTTTTTTTTTGAGGCAGAGTCTCACTCTGTCTCCCAGGCTGGAGTGCAATGGTGCCATTTGGCTCACTGCAACCTCTGCCTCCTGGGTTCAGCAGTTCTCCTGCCTCAGCCTCCTGAGTAGCTGGGATTACAGGTGTGCGCCACCACACCTGGTAAATTTTTGTATTATTAGTAGAGGTGAGGTTTCACCATGTTGGCCAGGCTGGTCTGGAATTCCTGGCCTCAAGCAATCCACTGACCTTGGCCTCCCAAAGATAATGCTCTTTCTAACATACCTTACACATAGTAGCTTCTCACGATAATTTTACTGAACTAAATCCAACCAACCATTTCACAAGCCCTTGTGAGTGAGGATCCCTCAATCCTGATTCCCTGGCATCCGAGTCCCTTTAAATCAGGCTGGTAATTGCTCTGGGCTCTCTGCGACGCAGTGCATTTAGCAAAACAAACATAGGTTCCATTTCATACGCAAGTAAATATTTTCCCAAAGCGATTAGCACCCAGACAGCTAATAATTACTGCACGTGACACTTTTAAAAGCTGACTATGCATATTTATGGAAAATGATTATTATCACAATATTAGGAGCTCATTAATCCACAAGAGCACATGTGAAAACATTCCAAAGTCAATGTGACATTTGTGTGCAGTAAATACCCATCTGCTTTGAAAACTGGTGTGGTAAGTGCTTGAGCATTCCAAAGGTAGGGAAGCCCTTTGAGTGAGGACTGAAACTGTGCACTCTTGTTTGGGGTATGGTTTTGAACACCCCAGTTCTTTCCAAACACAGCACCTGTGCACACGCATGCTCGCGCGCATGCACACACACACATCTCCCAGTAGGATTTAAGAAGGAGTAAAGAGTCTTACCTTTCTCCCAAATCTGCTTCCGGCAGCCAGTGTTCCTCATTTGGTCCATTGGGTGGGCTCTTTCTGCCCTTCCCGCTTGCAGTATCCCCTCCCCCATGCCGCTTCCCTGCATTGCCCCCGCAGTGTGGGGTTGTTTGATGGTTTGTTTTCAATTTAGAATTCTAATAATGAAGTCACTCCTTGCTGAAAATCTTTCTGTAATGGATTTCTATTTTGTTTTTGTTTTTGCCACTCTGCGTCACCTCAGCTTAAACAAATCACCTCATTTCACTCACCTGGCCACAGTGGTTGTCCAGGGATGGGTAATTCAAGCCCAGTCCAGCCCAAGGCTTTAGCTTGAATCACCTGAGAAAGGATTTGCTGTTTTTTTTTTTTTTGGAGTCTTGCTCTGTTGCCCAGGCTGGAGTGCAATGGTGCAATATCGGCTCACTGCAACCTTTGCCTCCTGGGTTCAAGTGATTCTCCTGCCTCAGCCTCCCAGGTAGCTGGGATTATAGGCACATGCCATCATGCCTGGCTAATTTTTGTTTTTTTTTTTCAGTAGAGACAGGGTTTCACCATGTTGGCCAGGCCTCGGCCTCCCAAAGTGTGGGATTATAGGCATAAGGCACTGCACCTGGCCCGATTTACTATTCTTGAACCTCAGAGGACGTGAGGCTGGAGCAGCTGTGGCCTCCACGTGGTGCTGAAGGAAAAAATCGGCTCCTGGAGGAGAGCAGAGCTGAGTTTAGAAATGGCAAGGCCGGATCCTGACGGCTTGGTCTGAGGCCCTAATTCTGTCGCTACCTAAAGCCAGCCTGACCACTGCAGTTTTCAATTCCAGGTACCAATAATTATCTCTTTGCTAAGCTAACAAGTTTGGGATTTCCTCCATTTGCTTTTGATATACATTCAGTGTTCCTCCATTGCTTTTGAGATAGAGTCCAAATTCCTTATCAAGGTTTGCAAGACCCTCTGGTGCCTGACTTTATTTCCCTTCAGCCTCATCTCTCCTCGCTATCTGCCTCACACACTTGATGTTCCAACTAAATGGAACTTCTTCCAGTTCCCTGAACGCACTTCACCACTTTATTGTAATTGCTTTTAATTGTCCATCTCCTCCGGGAGACTGTTGATGCCACAGAGATAGGGCTGGGTTTATTTTATTCACTGTTGTAGCCCCAGCACCTAGAAGGATGCATGGAATGTTGTTGCTGCTTCATAAATATTTGTCAGATCTATGAATGGATATTGGTTTGTACTTGCATGAGATGCCATTTGGTGGATTAATTTGTTCTTGGACTAAATCTCATTTTATGCACTCATTTGTTCAATAAATATTTAACTCAACAGCTACTGTGTCAGAAGCCAACAAAGATTAAAAAAAATAGTCTTGGACTTCAATCAGCTTATAGTCAGTGGGAAAAAAAGGTATAGAAACAATCATAATATATGATATGACAACTATATCTTTTTTTTTTTTTTGAGACGGAGTCATGCACTGTTGCCTGGGCTGGAGTGCAATGCCGCTATCTCGGCTCACTGCAACCTCTGCCTCCCGGGTTCACGCAATTCTCCTGCCTCAGCTTCCCAACAAATATATCTTTTGCTGTAATTGAGATGTGTACAATATATAAGGAAAGCAAGGGAAAAAGCTCTCTTAAAATTTCCTGGGGATGTCAAGGATGTTAGGAGAGACTTCAGAGGGGAGGTGATGCTTCAGAGGGGAGGCAATGCTGGAGATAACTGTGACAATAACAATACTGCCAACAATGGCAATGGCGTGGGACAGGCGCTGTGTTCACATTCGATAGTCATTCTTATCTCTTTTAATCCTCAAAACCACATGTGAGATTATTATCCTCATCTGCAGATGGGGAATATAAAGATCAAAGAAGTAAAGTGCCATTTGCAATGCCACTCGGCAAGTAGGTGAGATGTATCCGGTCAGGGGTGCTTTGCCAGGCAGAGAAGGTAGGGAGAGAGAGTGTCATAGGAGTGGCAAGATTCCACACAAAACTCAGAGAAGTGCTGGCCCTGTCTTTACTATTCTGATACTTTGTTCATCATGCATTGTATTTTGATTAATTTTGATTTTTTAAAATATTGCATTAAAATATTATCTATATTGATTACTGAGCTTTTTGGTGTCCCCTAAAATTTTGCTGATTACCTCACTTGCCTCACCTTATTCCTGACTTTGAGTGAGAGGTGCTGTGTGTTTGGGAAGCTGCAATTGTACAGGTGCATTGAGTTAGCCCAGGTGGTAGCGGGAACTGAGTGATGAGTGTAGATAGCGAGGTAGGCAAGGGCCAGGTGGTGGTAGCCTGTGCTCATGTTATGGTATAGAAATATTATCTTATAGGCCATAGGCCAGACATTCTCAACCTTAAACAATGTGTAAGCTCTTTTAAAGGAAAAAATAATTCCCAATGACCCCACTCCCCCATGTTTCTTTTATTATTTTTCCATATTTATTGTATATATTGACAAACAAATGTCAGTTATGCGTATGTATAAACTTAACACATTTACAAATAAAAACAAACAAAATGCAAAACTAACAACATTCAAATTAACAACTTAAATGGATGATGTTGGTTTGTTGAAACTGAGCTACTGCTTTGGTGTGAATAAGGCGTTGACCACCAGCACAATTTATTTCAAATGCTGCAATTACCTCTGCTAGGTAGGGTGCCCATCACTGTTCTTCATTTTAACTTTTGCAAAAGCTTCTTTCCTAATGTGGGTCTTCATTTGGCTGGGAATGAAGACTTGACATTTTACTTCGCCTCTATTTCTCATTAGTTGCTACAAGTAAAGTGGGTCATCTTTGTTCCAATGTGATGGTCAATACAAAAGCAAATGTAGGTGTGGAGTTAGAAGCCTTTTAGCCATCCAAATGATCTAAAATATGTAAGTAGAAATTTAAGCGTCCCATTGAGAAGACTCAAATTTTGGAGAATCTGTAGGTGGACCACGGTTTGAAAAATATTGCTGTAGACCAGGGGGTAAGGTGGGGAGGGATGTTGAGAGATTTTGAGCAGATCTGCATGTTGGAATGACTGCTCTTTTCGCAGCGTGGGTGGCTAGAGGCATGAATCCAGGTGAGCAATGACAAGGGTAAGGACCTGGGCAATGGAGAGGGGATAGGAATGGGGGCAGCCTGAGAATTGTTGAGGAGGACCTCAACAATTAAATTGTTTTGAATTGTTGATAGGACCTAGGGACTGAGGGAACGTGAGGGCTGAGGAGGAGGGAGGATTGTGAAAGACTGCCAGGTGTTTGCCTTGAATGCTTAGCAGATAATGATAGCATCATGAGGGGGAATTCCAGAAGAGGAGTGGGTTCTGTGGGGGCTAATGGCTTTAGCCTTGGACATTCTGAACTTAGATGTCCATGGGGTAACTAGGAGAAGCCTCCCGGTAAACTGTAGGATCTAGAAATCAGGAGGGGACATCAGATCTGGAGTGACCAGAGGAATTTGAGTGTGCACACACATAAACCAGATGTTCTTGGTTCCCCAAAGGTGAAAGCATGGGCCTTAGGAGGTTGTTGAATCCCTTGATATTTATGCAGAAATTTGAGTATGGTTAGTGTATTTTTCTGGGGAGAGGGTCCTCAGCTTTCATCCAATTCTCCAAATGGTGTATGGTCATTTGAAAGGAGGAAGGCTGAAGAAAGAGGCCTGGGGAACAGCAGCACATCTGGGGAAGAGCAGCAATTGGAGCCTCTGCAGATGGCAGGAGGGTGTGAGCAGTGGTTGGGGAGGTAGGCACTAGGAGAGCAACAGGAACCTTGCAGAGGAGAGGGCAGACAGGACACAGAGGTGAGGGTCAAGAGGAAGGGTGGGCAGGGAGCAGAGGAGAGGGCAGACAGGGCACAGAGAAGAGGGTGGGCAGGGCGCAGAGGAGAGGGCGGAGAGGGTGCAGAAGAGAGGGCACACAGAATGCAGAGGAGAGGGCAGGCAGGGCGCAGAGGAGAGGGCGGGCAGGGCACATAGGACAGGGCAGAGAGAGCGTAGAGGAAAGGGCAGACAGGACGCAGAGGAGAGGGCGGGCAGGACGCAGAGGAGGGGTGGGCAGGGTGCCGAGGAGAGGGTGGGCAGGGCACAGAGGAGAGGGCAGACAGGGCAAAGAGGAGGGGGTGGGTGGGGTGCTAAGGAGAGGGTGGGCAGGGTGCCAAGGAGAGGGTGGGCAGGGCACAGAGGAGACAGTGAAGAGGAGTGGGTGGACAGTGGTGTCATATGCAGTGGCCTGGTCCAGTGAGCTGGAGATGTGCCATATGGTTTAGCCATAAAGAATCAGTGCCTTTTGCCAGGACAGTTCTAGTGGAGCAGAGGTTGGAGGGGCTGGATGACTGAATGGAGGAGGAGGCAGACAGTACACACAAGCCTTTGGGAAACTTGATTGGAAAGGGCAGGGGAGATAGGAGTGAGCAGAGGTTAAAATGTTCTAAATGCAGGGGAGCAACCTGAGCATGTTTGTGTCCTGGGGAACAGCAGAGAGAGAGGCAGAACATACGCGTGGGGAGAAGGTACTGAGGCATCTGTCAGACAGGGAGGGGTGGTGGTGGTTTAAAATACAGTGTAGTAAGAGAAAATTTGAGGTGTAGTAAGGCCAACAGATCAGGAGGTGATTGTCATTGAGAAGACAATTTGTTACCCAATATTCCCAAGAGGAGAGGGGGCATGGCATGCCACAGAGGCCCCAGGGTTGGTCAGGAGGCAGAGGGAAAGAGGGAGTTGGGGGGACTGTGTGCAAGAGCCTTTGTTGCAGTTTCTGCAGGAACAAACAGGTGAGACAGGGTGTGCCCGGTTAGGATTGGGTAGTTTGAATCTCGGTGGGCTCTGGGACATTGACAATAACAGCTTTTTCAAAATGTAACAAGCAGGTGTCTTTTGAACACCCACTGCATGCTGGACGTTGTGTAGCGGGGTTTATGTTTGAATAAAATATAACCTCAGGAATCAAGAACAAAGATTCTCACATTCTATGTCTCACATTAAATCTCTGATAGGCTTAAGATGCACCTGGAGGAGTATTGTTATTGTTTTTGTTTTAATGCACTCTCCTGGGCCATATCTCAGGCATTCAGATTCTGAAAGTCTGGGATGAGACCCAGGAATCTGCATTTATCACAAGCATCCAGATAGGAAACATTTTAGACTTTGCTTGTGAGAGTCTCTAAAGCAGCTATTCAATTCTGCTATTGTAGCCTGAAAGCAGCTGTAGATGACTATTTGTAAAGGAATGGGTGTGGCTATGTTCCATTAAAACTTTATTTACAAAAATAAGTGCTGGACATTATTCATAGTAGCCAAGATATGACAAAAACCTAAATGTCCATGAATGGCTGAATGAGTAAATAAAATATACAAATATACTTTCAATGCAATATTATCTAGTCTTAAAAAAGAAGGCCGGGAGCAGTGGCTCACACCTGTAATCCCAGCACTTTGGGAGGCCAAGGCGGGTGGATGACATGAGGTTGGGAGTTCGAGACCATCCTGGCCAACATGGTGAAACCCATCTCTACCAAAAATATAAAAATTAGCTGGGCATGGTGGTGGGTGCCTATAATCCCAGCTACTCAGGAGGCTGAGGCAGGAGAATCGCTTGAACCCGGGAGGCGGAGGTTGCAGTGAGCACCACCCCCCCAACAAAAAAAAAAGAAGAAGAAAATCATGACATATGTGACAACATGGGGGGACTCTGGAGGACATTATGCTAAGTGAAATAAGCAGACTAGAAAAACAAGTACTGCATAATCCTACTTATGTTAGGTATCTAAAATAGCCAAATTCATAGAAGCAGAGAGTAGAATGGTGGTTACCACAGAATGGGGAAAGAGAAGCAAACAGCTGCTGTTCAATGGGTATAAAGTCTCAGTTATGCAAGATGAGTAAGTTCTAGGGATCTGCTGTAGAGCAATGTGCCTCTAGGTAACCAGACTATTGTGCACTTAAAAGATTAAGAGGGTAATCTCTTGATAAATGCTCTTACCACAAAAACAAAAACAACAATAAAGGGGCACAAGGAAACTTTTGGAGGTGCTGGATATGTTTATTACATTGATTGTGGTGATAGTTTCACGGCTGTATGCATGTACCCAACTCATCACATTGTATACATTAAATGTGTGCAATTTTTTTGTATGTCAAATGTACCCCAATCAAGCCTTTTTTTTTTTTTTTTTTTTTTTTTGTTGTTGTTGTGGCTGGAGGGATTTGGCCCCTGGCTGTAGTTCTCTTATTCCCAGTCTACATTCTGAGTCCTCAGTCTCTAGCTCTGGGTTCTGTGAAGGTTGTCATTCTCCAGTCCCTGAAGGAAGGACTTGCTCTTCTCCCTGAACAGGAATTCAGGGGATGCGAGGTTGCCAGTAATCTAAGAGGGTAAGGTGAAGTCCTGTGAAATGTACAGATCACAGACATTATCGGAGTTCCTGAACAACACTTTGTACATATGAGGCATGAACTCAACACCATGGATTAGAAAATGGCTATGACAAGGTCAGACACCTCTGACTAAGAAATCTCTAGTAACAACAATAGCTTCTGCTTATTGAATTACTTGCTGTGCTGTAGACACAGCACCAAATACTTTCATGCTGTATCTCAGTTCATCCTCTCACCAACCTTATCAGATAGATATTACTATTATCATCATTCTTAGATGAAAAAACTGGGGCTCAAAGAGATGAAATAACTTGCTCAAGATACACAGCTAGTAAGTGGTAGAGCTAAGACTCAAACCCAGGAGGACCAACTCCAGAATCCTGCCCCTACCATAGCATAACCATGTAGGATGCAAATCAACTAATGTTATAGTTAAACTACAGGCTACATATAGACTCCAGGAGGGCTAAGTGTACTCACCTCCTGTTGCTTTGGAAACTCATGATGACAAAGGTGACTGTGATGGAGGAGTGGTGTCTAAGGCTATTATAAATTATGCTTACCCATGGAAAGTCTTGGCTTGCTGGAATTACCAAGGTCCAATCAGAAAGTGCTTGTTAAAGTAATCAGAGAGGTAGAGATAGAAACAGGAATTCGAAGTTGCCCCTGGATCATTTGTCAAGAGATTGACTTATCATTTTCCAAGAACTTCTGGAGTCTTTGACTTTATACCTCTGCCTTCAACTGAGAGATGCTGCGGCTTTAATCTGAAAGAAAAAAAATTGATTCTGCCTCTGGGTTTTATTCTGCTGGCCAAGCTATCCAGGGGCAACTTCCAATCTGCATTTCTGTCTCTGCTTTGCTAAGCCTGATTAAGTTCATGAGTGTTCACTGGTTTTCAAAACTACCTCTAGCTTCTTATAATTTCAAATCAAACTTTGTTTTGGAAATAGTCATTTCTTGTTTCTCTGGGGACTTCTGAAAGCCTTTCTCTTTTTTTCTCCTGTGAGGTTTCAGGGAAATATTTAATTTTTCTTTCCAGATTTATTTGGCTTCGCTAAAGACATCAGAGGCAAGGCAAAAATGTCCACTTTTATCCCACCTCTTCCAAAGTACACTGACGGTTTGTTGAGTGTTCATACCACCTTCCTGGTTTAAGACGAAGGCTAATGGAGGCAGATATTAGAAACAAGCTTCTAGGAGTCAGGACTTAAGCTCTTTGTAGTTCTACTTTATATCCTTTGAATCTGTGGCAGAAGGCTAAGGTGTCCACCTGAAGTTTGAAGTCTTGTTTTTTAAATTACAAAAAGTTGTATCTCATTTTCTCTTCCAAGACACATCTGTTTTCTCTTTGTAGGAAAATGATTTCTCCTGCTGTCTGCCTTTCTGTGTCCATGTTTGAGCAGAGTTTACACTCTGGGAAGACACAGACATACCAGGTGTTTGTGGGTCCATGTTACCCCTAACATATCTGCCCTGTTTGAAAATTGCAGGAAAGGTAACCACCTAGTTATACTTAAGTGGGGAAATCCCACAATGACAGATTTCTCACAGCATGAGAAGTGATGGAATAAGTCTGTCCTAGGCCATTGGGTAGATCTTTGGAGTGGAGATGCCTCTTCTCTCAGAGAGTTTATAGCTGTCTCCTTGGATTCTAGTCCAGGAGTCATTAAGAATGCAGGCCTTGAGATCAGATCTACCTGAAGTTGAGTTTATGTCCTGCCTTAGCCAGCTACTAGCCGAGTGATCTGTAATATATCTGAGTGGGGAGGTCAGGTAGGCAGTTGTATATGTGATTCTGGCTGGAGCTCAGGGAGAGGTTTGGGTGGGAGAACTATATAAAGGCATTGGTAAATGCATGGTGTGTAAACCATGGGACTGCAGGAGCACACATGGATAGAGGGAAGAATGGGGCTTAGGACTGAGCCCTGGGGTGCACCAGTACTCGACAGAGTGGTAGAAGGAGAGGGCAGTGGGTGAACTATGGCAGGAGCAGCCAAAAAGAGGAGAAGATGCTGGCGGAGGAGGTGCCAAGGAAGCCCAGGGACCTTATGCTTCTAGGAGAGGCTCAGTACAAGAGACCGAAAAATGGCCTTTGTATCTTGCAACATGGGAGTTTTTGGTGACACTGACAAGAGTGGTTTTGGTGACATGTGCAGCCAATGCCCTAGTGGAGTGGACTGTGGAGAGAGTGTAAAGTGGGGAGGTACAGATGGTGATGACAAGTCAACTTGTCCCCAGGTTGGCTGGGAAAGGGGATTGATAACACAGGGCTGTGGGTGGAGGGGCGAGATGATGGAAGAGAGTGTTTGATGGTTGCCCAAATGCCAAAGTTAGCACTAAATGCTAAAAAAGCAGTAGTTACTATTATCACCTGGATTTCAGTCCTCAGAAATGCCCTCTGCATGGGAGTTTGCCTTTGAGGGAGCTCCCAGAGATCAGAAGGCCCCCACACACAAGAGAATGAATCACTAGAGGTTAAACTTAGGCGAACTGTGAAGTTTCTCTTTGGAGGCATGGGCTTGTTCTTTTCCCCGTTCTATGGACAGGGTTGCCCTTGAGAAATCTGCAAAATTCCTGAGAGCTTCTGGAATCCACAGGTCATCTGCCCTGGTGTGGAGTCCTGCACTCTCTGGCTTATGATCCTCACTTGAAAGTTGAATTTTCTGATGATCTGTCTGCAGGCTGGGGTTGCAGAAAACCAGAGAGAGAGAGAGACAGAGAGAGAGAGAGAGAGAGTTGAGGATGAGTGCATGATCTTTTTTAAAGAGCAGAGTAAATCTTACACAAATCTGATAATCGTCTCAGCAACTCTGGGCCTTGCCATTTACATTCCCCAACTTAGTCTCCCTTCAACATCAAGGACAAAAATAACGGCTTGTGAGGACTTAACGGCTTAAGGATGGAAAACTTAAAACTGGTCGGATTCTGCCCAAATCCTATCAGATTTTCTTGCTTCTCATAAACCTTTAATCAGCATCAATGGTGTGTGAGTGTGTGGGTGTGTGTGCACTCACATACACACGCACTCTGCTCCTCTCCCCTTAGTCAACTTAAATGACAAAGCAACAGTGTGAACGGGTGATACACACACCAACAACTGGAATTGTGGCAGAAATGGGATCCAATATTGGCTGCCACTGGTGTGTCTGAAGGCAGAACTTACCCTTGGGTCAGGGCTAGGGATGAAATAGAGGGTGCCAGGCACCCTGACTCTCACATGCCAAGGTCCCTGCGTAAGACAATTGAGGCAAATTTGAAACTTATTGCTAAAAATAATATTGTAAAGAGTTTTTAACCAATGATTTCTTGCAGTTGTCATATATGCTAGGTAGGCAATTGCTTCTGATTACTTTATTTTTTATTTTTATTTTTGAGACAGAGTCTCAGTCTGTCACCCAGTTTGGAGTGCAGTGGCACGACCTCGGCTCACTGCAATCTCCGCCTCCCGGGTTCAAGTGATTCTCGTGCCTCAGCCTCCTGAGTAGCTGAGATTACAGGCATGTGCCACCAGGACTGGCTGATTTTTTTTTTTTTTGTATTTTTAGTAGAGATGGGATTTTACCATGTTGGCCAGGCTGGTCTCAAACTGCTGACCTCAAGTGATCTGCCCACATCCCACTCCCAAAGTGCTGGGATTACAGGCATGAGCCACTGCACCTGGCCTGCTTCTGACTTATTGTGAGACATACAAGAAGACCCATTAAACAGGTATTCTGTTAACTTGCTGCTGAACGGAAGCCCATAATGATGCCCCAGTTTCTTGCTTTCATGGATGGGGCTACAGGCCTTCGGGAGTGGGGAGGTAAATACAACACAAAAATAAAATCCCATACATGACTCCACACTGTCAAAACTTTGATTTCATTTGAATGCATCCTATAGCACTGCAGGGTGCACATGCTCTGTCTGGTTGAGGCATGGCTGCATGTACTTGTCTTGTATTTAGTTTGCCTTTGCAGATGGCAAACGTTAATGGTAGGAAGAATTTCTGTGTAGGGACCTTGATCTTTATGATGATTAATGTCGAAAACAGAATTCCAATATGGAAAAATTCAGTTTGCTTTTTAGGAGAGTTGATTTTTATCTCACAATGCTGGAAACAGAGTGAACTGTCAGAGCTGCTCTTAGAGAATGGGGCAGGTGGTCACACTGAGCTGTGTGGTCCAGTGTCAGGCTAGCTTCTCATGTCCTAGGAGGAGCTGGGTGGTCCTAGCTGCATCCTCTGCCTCCTCTCTGAGGTTGTTATTGCTGTTAAAGTCAGGCTGGCCTCTTTCCCTTTTCCCTTCTCTTTTTTTTCAGTAATATTCACTGCTCTTCCTCTCCGTGTTGGCAACCAGGCTAGTACCAGGACATGACAGCACATCAAAACAGCCTCTGACTTTTCAGAGCCTACATTCTAATGGGAAGAGAGAAATGAAGCAAATATTTCTAAGAATCACTGTATAAGTATTAGCTGTGCTGAGGGAAGTTATACAAAGCTGGGAAAGATAAAGGAGGCAACTGGTCTAATCCAGGGGTTTGGCAAAGCTTATCATGGGGAGCAGTGCTCCTCACATGGCCAGGCGTCTCTTATTGTCCTCCTCCTTCAGAGGTTACTGTAGTGTCCCCCAGTTTGCTTAGGGGACTTTAAGTGGACTCTGTTCCTTGCAGCCAAGGACAAAGGTTAAAAAACAAAGCAAAAACTCTCCTTAATTCAAAGGAATCCAAATCTAATGGAGAAATTCCAGGCACCAGGAAGGGACATAGTAGGGGATGTTTTTGAGGGGGAGGGGGCCAGTCATTATTTTTCAGATAATATTGCCACATCTAAGGCTGTCTCTGAGTAAGGAGCTGCTGTGAAACTTGCGCAGTGGAGCAGTGGCCCCTTTGGTTGGCAGGAGGGCTGCCCATGGTGGAGGAGAGCCTTCCTGCAGTTTCCTGGCCCAGAAAAAAATGATGGCATTAATTCCAGGCCTGGAGAAGAACAGAAAGCCCTGGAGCCTAGGCACAGCCCTCTGATTTTCCTGGGAGTTTCCCTGAGTTAAAATGCATTGGCTGTGAGTCAACATTTTCCTCGCAGTGGGGGGCTCTGTGCCTGAGTTCCTTGGCCTCATTTCCTTACCAGGACCCGGATGACTGACAGGCAGCCGTGAATGACAAGCCCCCAAAATAAGGGAGGGGTGTTGGCAGGGGGAAAACAGCCCTGACTTGGCAACAAAGCTCTTTGCTTTGGGGCCTTGTGAATAGCATCCAGCCTCATCCAGAAAATGTATCTAGAAAGTGCATCTCTGGGTGGGTGCAGGAGTGCAGCTTGCAGGTCCAGGCAAAGTGGAGCTGGTGAAAGTGGCCATGAAAGCA
Source organism: Homo sapiens (assembly GCF_000001405.40). Lineage (NCBI taxonomy): Eukaryota > Metazoa > Chordata > Mammalia > Primates > Hominidae > Homo > Homo sapiens. The sequence continues at coordinate 47,689,291 of NC_000018.10, read as the reverse complement.
GAGGGAGGCTCACACCATCCATGAGGAAGAGCAAGACTAGCCAATGTGTCCTGGAGGACTTTGAAGTATGCATTGACAGTTCTCTATCTCTCAGGACAGATGGGTGACCAGGATACCACCTCACAGTCTACTCTGCACATGAGCTCCTGTGAATTTACTCTGATCCCTGGGCTGGGAATTTGAAGAGCTGGGTCCCACTTCCAACTCTATGCCAATCTGCTGTGTGACCCTGAGCTCTCTAAGCCTCAGTCCCTTCAGAGAAAAAAAGAGGGTCAGGCCCAAGAAGTCAAAGGTCTCTTCCAGTTCTATTGGGATCTTACTAGAAGTTCTTTTTTCTTATGCGTTTTAACCACCATTGAATCACCTTCATCTGTGTCTTTATGATATCACATACGAGGTGGAAAACAAGCCCATTTGCTATGTGGTTGGCAGGCTTCCACGGAATGAGTTAGCTCTACATTTTGGGGTAGTTTATGATCATAGATTCAGATTCTTCTTTCTACCCTCTCATATGAAAACCAAAATGTAATTATAGCTTAGCGTCACAAGAGCCATCAGCCAGGTGGGCAGAATTTGCTAAACCATGGGGAAATGTAGTTGGGAACAAAGACTTCTATTCAGATTGGATTCTGTGACAGTTTGCTAAAAGCTTGTGAGATCTCCGCAGTTTCAATATTTTTTTGTGACATTTTGAAAATGTCGTTTTAAACCTTTTTATTTTCATAGAGCCCGAATAAACTAAAATGTTGTAAAGATAGTATGGAGGTATACCTTCACCCAATTTTATCCAGTGTTTTACCTAATGTTAACATCTTATGTAACTATAGAACATTTATCAAAACTGAGAAGAAATTAACATTTATGCAATACTATTAACTACACTGTGATCTTTATTTGGATTTCCCTAATTTTTCCACAAATAATCTTTTTCAGTCCTGAGATCCAACCAGGATGCCATTCGTGCCTTTAGTTGTCCTGTCTCCATAGTGTTCTCTGACCTGTGACAGTTCCTGTCTTTTATTTTTCTCCTCCATGATCTTGACACTTTTGAATAGTTCTGGTCAAGTATTTTGAAGAATGTTCCTCAGCTTGGATTTGTCTGGTACTTTCTCATGATTAGACTGGGGTTTTGAACTCAGAGGAAGAATGCCACAGAAATGAAGTACTCTTTCATCTTATGAGGTCAAGGGTACATGATATCAACATGACTTGCCACTGGTGATATTAACTTTGTTCACTTGGTGAAGGTTTTTCCATTGTAAAGTTATTAGTGTCCCCTTTCCTTTGTTAGAAGTGAGTATAAGTATTTTTATGCTCTAAATTTGTGTGGGGATATTATTTCCAAGTTCAGGCCCTAGTCAAAAAAGTCCTCCTGTCCCAATTAATATGATTCTCTGAGATTAAAATGTAATGCTTATAAAAGTGCTTTTGGTGGTACTGAGGAGGTATCAGCAGGTTAAATAAAAGTGGGTCTCTAGCTGAGGTTTCGGGTAAGTCAGACAGTGGGCTTGGGGCAGCAGGAGGTGAGGAGGAAGGAGCAAGAGGACAGAGTGGGCGATTGATAGAGAACAACTGCCCTTGGCTGGCACAGAGGAGCAGGCTTCGCAGGGAGCTAAAAGAGTGGCAGGTTAAATGCGACCTGTGGCAAATTAGGGGAAGAGGGAATGCTGTGTGAGTGGATGTTCTCCCACATAATTTCTCACCTAATTCCATGAGGCACTCACTCAGGTTAGGGACGTGGTCTGTGACCATGAAATGGAGGTTGACTGACTGGCCGGCATGGCTCTCAGACCCGTACCTTTGACCTCTAGGGTCAGCATCATGGCCCTAGATGGATGAGAACCCCATTTGGGCAACTGTCAAACTGTGAGGGGTCTGCTTAGGGGGATATGCATGTCTGGCCATGCTTGCCTGGGGTCTAGGAATATCAGCACTTGCCATTGATCAGAAGGTAATTTCACATCCTCAGCAAGCAAGGGGCCTGAGGACATCAAGTTCCCAGTGCCTGTCCCAATGCCTGCTGGGTATGGGTTTGTAGAATAATTTTTGGGGGGCTCATCCTGGTATTGCCCCACTCTGTTCACAAGGGACAAGTCATCAAGCTATTTTTTCAAGACTTTGGGCCATTTTTGCAGCCTTCTTCAAGTCACAATGACTTTTAACAGGCAACATCTGACAGTGCGGGAGCCCCTTGCAGCCCTGGGTGAAATTATGATAACAAGAGAAAAAAGCTATTACTGCCACCATGCTTTCATTATGCAAATTATATTAAGATAGGCTGTGTGGATCGCCCCTGGCTATGCTATAATCTCCATGCAGTGATTATAATGTGTCAAACTTAGTCATTTTGATTATGACATGTTAATTACATGCCATCCTCATGTAGACATGAATATTACTCCCAGTCAGACAAAACACAAATTGGGGCCATTGTTAGTGGGTTAGTTGTGTGTATGTGTCTTAACTTTTTTTTATTAAATGGATTAAAAGATTTAACAGATATGTAATATTGCAAACTAATTAAATACCAGCCAGGTCCTCTGTGTTCCAGTGGGTGGAGAGAGGGGATGAGACTCATTTGGGCTGCTTGGGTTGCATGTTTGTGCTCTGGGCACTGTTGGCAAAACAGGGTTTCCTGGGAAACAAGAAGCTGGGGTTGCTGGAGATGGAGGTGGGAGGGGGTGTGAGCTGGGGTGGGAGGGAGTGGGTAAAAGGTTGGTAGGGTGGGATGTAAGGGAGCATCTGAAAGTTCCAGGCCCGATGTAGATTGGGAGAGTGGAGAAGAGTGATAGGGATGGCTGAGCCAGAAGGGCCCCTGCCAATCCTGAAGCCTGCCTCTCCTTTCACAGAGGGGGAGACTCAGGACCCAGAGAGGTGAAGGAACTTGTCTAGGGTCACCTAGCTTGTCTGAGAAGGAGCTCTGACACAGCAGTGCATGACACCACTGTGACTTAAGACTGCCATTTCCCTGTGGCAGTGGAAGAGTTGACCTAAACTTAATGGAAACCCCCATGACACTTCCAAGGGATCACTGAGAGTCGGCTCATTGGTCCATACATTCATGAATCAGTCACACCCACACCTCTTAGCTTGGCATCCATGGTCTTCCATAATCAGGCTTGATTCTCTCAGTTTTTGGGGGTTGTCTGCTAGTCCTGTCTACTGTAACTCTTTTACTTCTATAAGAATGTTCTCTACTGCATTGTCCTCCAAATGCACCCTGAATCTTTAATCCTTTGGGCTTCCACAAAATCTGAAATAATAATAAGACCTGGTATTCATCTAGTATATTTTATAGGTATTTATTTACTATGTTCCGGGCACCATCCCCTCAAAATTTATTTGTATTAATTCATTTAGCTTCACAGCAACGCTGTCTAATATGTTTTATTCATATTCTCATATAACAGATGAGAAAACTGAGGGACAGAGAGCTTAATCCAGGCAGTCTGCTTCTGGAACCTGCACTTCTAATCATTAGAATATGCTGCCTTTCTGGACTGATGTTTTCTTTCAAATGTATTCATCTTGCAAGACCCATGTCACATTGTTTCTTCCCCAGGAAGCTTTCCCTGCTGTAGGAGATTGTATTATTATTCTCAGATACTTTCTGTTCTTTCCTGAGGATAATTATATCTCCCTGTTCCATCAATGGTTGGCTTGGGCATGTGACTTGCTTTGGTCATAACATGAGTGGAATGACACTCAGTGTGAATCTCATTCCATGAACTGTGAGGGGACATGACAAGTATTACAGTCCAAGGAGAAGCTTTACCAACTGGTTTTCTCTTTTCTCTCTATCATGACAAATAGAAATGTCCTGGATAGAGACTGCTCCATCAGCCTGGGTTCAAACGAAAACGATGGAACAGAGCATAGCTTGTTCATGTGCAGTGAGCTGGAAATCAATCTGATACAGACTGTTGCTGTTGTCAGCCACAGACAGTTTGGAGTCATTGGTTACTGCAGCATAACCTAGCCTATTCTGACTTACACACCTGCTCTTGTATCCCCATAGATCCCTTGCCCCAGCAGTCACTCCTGTTCCTGCTGGAAGTTCCTGACTTACATGATTTGCTAACTTGTCAAATCTTTTTCTCCCCTACAGGCTTGTCAATGCCTCCAGGGCAAGCTACATGCCTTACGCTTGTTTGCTTCCCCACTCCTTCCCCACACTTAGAACAGTCTAGGTACATAGTAGGCTCTTAGTATGTGAGTAACTATTGAGTTCTTGATATATATATATATAAAAATATATAAAATATATATAATATATATAAAATATATATATAAAATATATAATAGATAATATATATAAAATATATATAATAGATAATATATATAAAATATATATATAATATATTAAATATATATTATATATAAAATATATATTATATATAAAATATATATTTTATATATTATATATATAATATATATAATATATATAATATATATAAAATATATAAAATATATATAATATATAATATATATAAAATATATATAATATATATAATATATATAAAATATATATAATATATATAAAATATATATATATAAAATATATATATTATATATATTTTTTTTTTATGAAGGAGGACATTTCACAGAGATCCCATGGGGCCAGGCCACAGGTTCTGGTGACCCTTTCCCACTTCTCCTTATCGCTTTCTTTAACCAATCTTCTCTCAAAGCCATCCTCTGTGCTTTCCTCCCTTTGTCCATGTGCTGGAGACCTAGAAGAATAGTGAGGAGTCTTGCCTCACTATAGGTCTTCTCAGGGCTCTCTCTCTCTCTCTCTGTGTGTGTGTGTGTGTGTGTGTGTGTGTGTGTGTGTGTGTGTGTGTGTGGTGTGATCAAAGAGCAAAGAGCCCAGCCACCAATCCCATTCCTAAGTCCCCCATCTTCCTCCATGGCACCCCATCCAGGTCTAGGTCCAGCCTTAACACCTTGGGTCCTTGCTGCCTCACCTCTGAACACTGGGGGCTGAGTCAGAGGAGCTCTCCAAGTTCCTTGCAGGCCTAAGAGCCATGAGTTCAGGCTCATGTTTATGGCAGAGGAATAACTAGTGAGGAGAGGGAATGGGGCTGATATCTCTGCCACCTTCCTAGGGTGCAGATTTGAGAAGGAACTCACTGTCAGAGGCATGCAAATGCCAGCTCTACACTTTCTTCAATTTTGCTCCCTAGGAGCCTCACTCACCTCACCTAGTCACCCTAAATAAAACAGGATAATAGGAAATTGAGTATGAATTGAGGGATGAAGCTAGGCCTTCCTGTCCAAACTCCTCCCTCAGCACTGTGGTGAGTCACTGGCCACTTAACTTCAGCTCAACTTGTTTGGCTGATGCTGGTTTAAGAGTCTGTAGCCCCCTATGAGAATGCAAACATTCCAGGACTTATGTGTAGTAGCCATCAGCCAGCACTTCATGGAGTGTAGTCAACCAAGGGTTTTGAGTAATAGGGCACAGTCTTAGGCTCCTTAGAGGAGTTCTGTGGAATAAGAGAGATCCTGAAAGGTAGAGGTATTTGAAAGAACAAATATGATGACTTAGAAATTGGGGGCCAGGCTTGGGTTCCAGGTCATTGGCCACCTCTCTCCAGTATAGGTTTCCAAGGGGTACATCCTGATCTAGAGAGAGACAACAGAAGGCAGATCTCGCACAGTTACTAGGAGAACTCCTGACCCTAACAGCAGGCCACTCCTGGCCCCTGGGATGGTCATTTCTCAGTGTGCCACAGCCACTGGGAGTTAAGCTTTCTGGGAGCAGGTACTCACTCCACTCTTTCTGAGCTCTGCCTTCAGGGACTGACTCAGTCCTCTGCACTCAGACCAAGAGAGAGTAAACTTCCTCCAGCCCCCTCTGGAGCCCCTACACATCCATTTGTCTTATCAAGTTGAGACAGGGAAGGGAGAAGGAGAGAAAAGTTAATTTAAGGGGGGAAATTATCTCTGTTCTCTGCTAATGGAACCTGTAAATTAGGGCATTTAATTACCAAAGACAATTTGTTCATTTTGGATGCTAATATTTACATTAGCAACTGCTTTGAAAGCATGAAATCTGATGAATTGTCAAAACACTTTTACTCCTTTTCCCCAAATTAATCAAACGAGCTGCGATCGGGCTATTTATAAGTCTAGTTAAGTATATCTCCCTAGTGAGGAATTTTTCCTCCCACCTCTTTCACATTTGGTGAGCTCTCACAGCTACTCAGCTTCTCACCTAGATACTTGGTGCCAGAGGATCTCAGTGGGAAGGTGCTTGATCTATTTCTATATTTAATGACACATTTCATCATAGTGGAACAGAGCATTGTACCACCTTTGTTGAAATTATATTTCAGTGATAATCCCTTCCATCTGTATAACCCCTGGTGACTTCCAAAGTGTTCTTACAGAGAAGAGCTCACCTCCCATGCCTGCTGGCGAAAGCTTCAGACTCAGATGCTGACGGCTGACAGGTTTAGATGGGGCTCTTGCCCTAAAAGAGCCCAGGTCTATAAGAAAACATTAATTTGGGAGAGGAAGGTGCCAATGAATGGGCCCAGAATGGACACCTAAGACCATCTTCAGAGCAAGGACTCTCCAGAAGCCACCACCTCCTGTTGCTAGCCATTCTGATCTCAGATGAGATTCTTGCTCTTGCAATTGACCTTGATGGTAATCTGCCCTATTCTGACAACTACCCACACTCACTCAAATTCTCAAGGGATCTCTCTTCCACTGTCTAGTGGCATTGTGGCAGGTGGTAGAGATATCAGCCCCATTCCTCCTTCTCACTTGTTATTCCTCTGGTATAAACATGAGCCTGGACTCATGGATTTTAGGGCTGGAAGGAAACTGGAGAGCTCCTCTGGCTCAGCCCCCTGACATTTGGAGATGAGGCGGTGAAGGCCTAAGATGTTAAGACACTTGGTTAATTTCCTACATCTGAATGGGGCTGGGGGAAGGAGTCTGAGCTGTGGTGTCTGGCTCGCAGGAATACTACTAGCTCCCTTCACAACAATAAGCCTGTATCCTGTGAGATGAGCACAGGGAAAGGATGTCTATGCAGAGAGGGTGGCTGAGGCTTATTCCATGCTGTGGTCTGAATGTTTATGCCTCCTCAAAATTCATATGTTGAAATCCTAACCCCCAAAGGGATAGTGTTAGGAGGTGGGGTCTTTGGGAGGCCGTTAGGTCATGATGGTGGAGCCCATGAATGAGATTCATGCCCTATAAAAGAGGCCCCAGGAAGCTCATTCACCTCTTCTGCCATGTAAGAACACAGCAAAAAGACTACCATCAATGAATCAGGAAATCAACACCACATTTGCTGGCACCTTGGCCTTGGACTTCCCAGCCACCGGAATTGTGGGAAATAAATTTCTGTTGTTTATAAGTCAACCATCCTTTTTAAAGTATTTTTGTTATTGCAGCCTGAGAAGACTAAGACATTCCCCAAGGTTTACTTCCTCTTGGGAATCTTTCACTATAATTACTGCTGTCACCATCATGTTTCCCTTTTTATGCTTTGCCCCTAATTTGGCCATAAAAATCTCCTCTTAATTCCAGCTGAGTTCAGCTGAAATATTTAGATGAGATTTTATCAAAGGTGTGGGGATAGCAACAGGTAAAGAAGGAAACAGGAATGAGATCATGCAAATAAGACTTGGCTCATTCATCTTCAATTGGGATCCCCTAAAGAGGATCATTTGCTGTCCCCTCAGCCACCTCAATGGTACAGAAGTTATCTTTAACCTCTGTCATCTGGAAGCTCCTTTGAGCACATCTAGATTCCTCTAATTTTACATCTAGAAGAGAAAGAAGCTCAGCCATGGTGTTAGGAGCTTGCCCTCTGCCTTAGAAATGGTTAATCTGTATTAAGTATTAATCCAACCTCTTTGTAATGTGCCTTTCTGAATTTCAGAGTCTGGAAATCTAAAAGTTACTGACTCCCTGGCCTCTAGAGTTCTGGTTGAGAATGGAATTCTGTCCATTAAATATACTTGTGTGAGATTTGGAAGCTGGGACTAATGCCAGGGCAATTTTCCTGAGAGTTTGGCTAATGGCATGGACACCTTAGGCTGCTAAGCAGAGCTGCAGGTGCAAACACTAAGCTCTGAGGATATTGAAGGGAGCTGCTGCAAAAGCAGCAATGACCTCCCCAGATTGCAGATTACATCACTAGGTCCACTGGGGCCTCCTGATTTCCACCTTTCATGGTTGGTCAGTTGGGCATAGTGCATGCTCAGGATATCATTCCCAGAGATCCAGCCTAAAGGAAGCTCTTCCAGCCCTTTCACTAATTTTCTAAGCACCGGTTTCTCATATTAAATCATTTTCTGCTTAACACAAATTAAATGATTTGTTTCCTGCATGAAGAACTCTGGCTGATACTCTCATTTATTTGGCTAGCCTGCTTTCCTGTCTCAGGTCACTTGTCTCCTTGTATCTAGTTAAGGAAAATGTCATCTTCAGAAGAGCGCCTCTCCCATCTATAGGGTTTGCTTTACTTAATCTGAAATAGCAGCAAAAGACAGCAGTGGGTGGGGATCTTCCTTGCAGGGTTTCTGTTCCTTCTTGCCCCAACTCTAATTCTTCAGAGATGTGCACACAATGTCAAAGGCCCAGCAGCCTCACTGTGCTAAGAAGTGAGAGATCTTCTGGGCCCCAGGGTCTTTCCTGTTCAGACAGCTGAGGGCCTAAAAAGGCATCAGGTTTAAAGCTGCCATATGGGCTGGGCCCCCACAGCCTTAATGGGATAAACACCCACAAATAACACCAATGAAAAGCAAAGAGGCTAGCTTTGATAAGCTTCCTAGAAGCCTAAGCCCTGAGCAGAATTTTCAGGAAGAGGGGAGAAGTAGAGGTTAAAGGGTGTAATCGCTCTGAGATATGAGAGGGCAGAAATGACCCACTGTGACCATCCAATTATTCCTTATACCATGTCTGTACATTTGTGTTCCCATTCATATTTTACTATTCTGAATTATTTACAGATTGTTGTGTCACACAACACTTCAAAATTTAGTGGCTTATAATAACAAGCATTTTTACAGCACACAGTTCCTGATGGTGAGGAATCTAGGAACAGCTTAGTTGGGTGGTTCTAGCTCAGTGTTTCGTGAGGTTGAAGTCAAGGTATTAGCCAGGGTTGTAGCCATTGTACAGCCATTGACTGGGCTAGAAGATCTTCTAATTTCTAAGTTCACACATGTGGCTGTGGGCAGGAGGCTTCAGTTCCTCACCACATGGGCCTCTCATGCCTGCTGGCTTTCTCCAGAGCAAATGATCTGAGAAACAGAGAGGGAGAGGGGAGAGAGACAGAGACTGTAGTGTTTGTATAACCCAACCTCAAAAATACCATACCATCACTTCTGCCATATTCTGTTGGTCATGTAGAACAAATCTGATATAATATAGGAGGGGACTACACAGGGTACGAAGATCAGGAGGCGGGATCACTGGGGGCCATCTTGGAGGCTGGCGACACTTTATCTTTCTTCCCATGCTATTATACACATTTTACACATTGTAGATGCTAGTGGACAGTGCACCTTACCCAGAACTCTCCTGACCCCTAAGCTAACAGTGTGGACTGACCAATAGATCCAAATGTAGAATTTGTAGCTTGATGTCTAAAGAAGTTAGAGATATTTTTATTCCTTACAGATTATAAATTGGGTATTTTAATTGCATTGGTGATAGAAATTTTTTTTCTAAATCTGAGATAATATTTTAAATACATTCTTGAGCCCAGGGAGTGAACTGCTTACTCCTGGCTTGACCACGGTGGGTGCTGACTGTGACCTCTTTGTTCTGTGTCCTTGCATCTTTTTCAACCTGCTCATCAGATCAACTGTGCCCTCTCCTTTAGCTTCTCCGGGAGACAAAGCGCAAGCTATCAGCCCATTAAGATAACTTTGAAACCACTTAAGATGGGCTATTTCAAAAGGTACCAAATTCCCTGATCTTATAACTGAACCATTTAACTAGATCATCCTGTAAAGAGAAAATGCGTTAAAAATACCAGTTAATTACTTTTTTTTTAATTCCCAAGGCACAAATAAGTCCTAGTTAACTGTCTTTGCACATTTATATATTTAGACATCAGGATGTGACTCTATTGCAGTCACAGCAGCCAGCAGGCACAGGAGTCGAGGATGGCTGGCTCAAAAGTCGTGAGACTGGCTTTCTCAATTACATAGGGATGTACTCAACAGAATGTATTGCCTCATACCATCAGGTACTTATGGTGAAAAGCCCTAGGAATAAAATCCTTGAACCAAGGCCTTATTAGCAATTCTTTTTTTGGAGAATACCCATTGTTGGCCAAAGCAATATGGTGTACCTTAAGTATCAATACTGAGAAATGTTAATTAAGCCTCAGTCCTGCCTTGATGTGCCAGATGAGTAAAATTCAAAAGTGGGTTCAATTTACTCTTTGGAACCAATTAGCATAAAAAAATCTGAGGCCTAAAGACTTTAATAAAACCATACAATCTTTGAGCTAAAAAATTCATCTACATTTTAGAGCAGACAGTAGAATAAAGGACCTATATTGGAAAGGCCACTGAAAACCTATTCACGTCAGGTCAAGCATGTCAGAACTGGTTTTATGGGCTAGGCTAGCCCCCATTTCACTTTTTTGAAATCTAGCTATCTAGTGGTCCAAATGCTTGGAACCAAATAAGTATTGAATAAATGAATGAATGGTAAGTCCAAGTCAAAATAGGTTTCACCTCTTGATACACTGAAATTCAAGCCCTTTGCCAATGGGAGAGACTCTTTGGTGCTGTCTCAGAGTCTGGGTACCTTTACTTTTTGTACCACCTAAGGAAGATTGATTATCTGGTTTCTGGTTAATCAACATATTGGAATTGGTGAAATGAAAAGAGAAGTTGCTTCCATAGGCAGGCACAGAGAGTAGTAAATCATGGCAGGTGAAACCTCAGAGAAGGAAGAGACAGGACACTCACAGAAAGCAGACATCTGCTGAAGGAGTCATGGTCATCTGTGGTTGGAGAGAGGAGCAAATAGCCTTAACCACTTTCTTAGCTTTTAAAGGAATTAGTGTGTTACAGCTCAGTACTAATTCATTTACGCATTCTTTCATTCAAAGAACACTTGTTACCCAGGTGCCAGCAATGAGGAAATGAAACACTGTGTTGGGTGAAATCTAAGGTCTTCTAGCTCTAGGGTTCTGCAAAACTTGAGCATCTACGTGGAAAGCCGATTAATATGGTTTGAATGTGTCCCCTCCAAAATTCATGTTGAAACCTAATCCCTATTGTGGTAATATTAAGGGGTGGGGCCTTTAGGAGGTGATTAGGCCATGAAGGCTCTGCTCTTATGAATGGATTTGTCCCTTATAAAAGGGTTTGAAGGGACAAGTTCCACCCTTCTACCATGTGAGGACACAGGATTCATCTTCTTTTGACCCTTCTGCCTTCTACTAGGTGAAGATGGCACTGTGAGATGAGGCCCATTGATGGAGCAGGCCCTCACCAGACATTAAACCTGCTGGCACCTTAATCTTAGACTTTCTGGCCTCAAGGACTGTGAGAAAATAAATCTTGCTCGTGATAAGTTACCCAGTCTCAGATCTTTTGTTACAGCAGCACAAATGGACTAAGACATCTATGCTGGGCCTTCTACATTCTCTGAGTCTATTTCCAGGTGCCACTAAATAAAAAGCCTAACTCATATTCATACTACTCCGTAAAAAAGGCAAGGAAGCTTAATCTGCTTTAGGAAGATTTTCATCTCCATAGGTTTAACCAAGTGAGTGTTGGTGCTCATCTGGGCCCACAGCCTGGTGGAGCAGCATCTTCTCGGAGAGGCAGGAAATGAGGCATCACCGCCTATGTCTGTGGCACATGTCAAGGAGTAAAAGCTGAGGCATCGTGTTGCTGTTTTAGGATTGCGGCACAGGTAGACAGTGGGAGAGGCAGAGCCTCCTGGAAAGACTGGTGAGAGCATCCCAGAACTCCATTGGTCCCAAAGTCAAGCACTTGGTTACAGTTTTGGTGAAATCAAGAAAGGGGCAGCACGGCCGGGCACAGTGGCTCATGCCTATAACACCAGCACTTTGGGAGGCCTAGGCAGGTGGACCACTAGCAGTCAGGAGTTTGAAACCAGCCTGGCCAACATGGTGAAACTTTGTCTCTACTAAAAATACAAAAATCAGGTGGGCTTGGTGGTGGGAACCTGTGATCCCAGCTACTTGGGTTACTGAGGCAGAAGACTCACTTGAACCTGGTAGGTGGAGGTTGCAGTGAGCAGAGATTGCACCACTGCACTCCAACCTGGGTAACAGAGTGAGACTCCATCTCAAAAAACAAAACAAAACAAAAAAAAACGGGCAGCCTATGGGTATGGAAACATCAAAAGGGACACTCCCTTCTAGTGTTAGTGAGGGTGCAGGACCACTTTCTATGTAATAATCTAATTCTGTTATACCCTGTAGCATAATTGACCTGCAGAACCTTGTATAATTGTAAATCATGTGGTCCTGGTATTCTCTTAAAGTGTCTAGGTTACTGAATGCAATTTGGGTTTACTAAAAGATTTCTTTATGCCCCCTTCCTCGGGTCTTCCAAAAATGCCAGTCTTCTCCTAGATTTACAAAATCTGTAAATTGGAAGAGACTGCAATAAGTCCATTTCACCAAAAATGATTTGGGGCCCCTGTGTGTGCTAGTTGTTTAGAGTGCCTCCAAGGGCAGACACATGGGTACGGTGCCTTTCCTCTTAGCCAGGCATAATGAGACCTCAAGCTGCACCAAGTGATGGGCTGGACAATCTAGGGTGCTATGGCCAATGGCAATGTCAACACACAACATAAAGGAGGAGGAAACCAACAAGCCGAACAATGCCTTGTTTTTCTTCATTTCACACAAAATGGAGGGTGTTAGTATGGAGAGGACTATTGGAGGCCAAATGTCATCATTTTGAAGCTGAGGACAGGAGAACTGACAAAGTTCAAGAATGTTTCCTGGGCATATTGGCAGTCATAGGCAAAGCCAGACCCGGGTCTTGGATCTCCTCTTTCTTAAGCCACACTCTTCCCCACTGGCTGTCAGTCTAAGCCTGCTGACAACCACTCTTACATAGGGCAGGTAAGATGATTCTCATTTCCTGGGTTGGTAAGTAAGACTTAGAAAGGCTAATGACTCATCTAAGGACATACACATATGATGGATATTTAGTCTTCTAAAGAATAATTTTCTAGTGCTAAATGTGGAATCAAGAGCTGGTTCTTTTCCTCCAGTTAAATGAGCCCTTCCATAGAGAACCCAATTCACCTGGAAGTAAAAGCAAGTTTTGATGCCTTTTCTTATGAGTCTAGACCCTTTTAGAGGAGAAAGAGGCCATATCAGGTATAGTTCAGAGCACAGACGCTGGAACTAGATGGCCACTCATAAGCCACGTATCCTGGGATAAATTAATCTAATTTCTGTGTGCTTTAATTTTCTCAACCAGAGAACAGGACCAGTAATAGAATCAATTCCATGAAGGTGTTGAGAGGATTACATGAGTTAATACATGTAAAATGCTTTAATATAGTGCTTGGCACAGAGTTAAATGTTAGCTGTCAAGCTGTCACTCAGCCAAGGGGAGAGTAAGAGTTATTACATTCTTGGCCTTCTATGGAGGATATGGCGGCCTTTTTGCTTCTCACTGTAGGGTAGAAAAGGAAGCACAAATCCATCTCCATCTGGATGTCTACTGTCTAAAAATCTTCATAAAAGTCACTGAAAATTGAGAAATAAGCAGGACTAGCAAGCTGCTGTTAGTCACTTGAATTCAAGTTCAAAACAATTGACTTTACTTTGGCCAATGAATCAAGCCTTTAATGTCATCAGGTATTGACCTCATAGCTGAGTCCTGCTAACATAGGGTACATTTCTTCTAGTGGCACTGGTTTCATAGGCTACACTAATCTACACTTGACCATGGCAGAGATGAGTGTCAAATTAAGGAAAATGCATTTGAGAGCTCCATCTTGTTTGTTAAAGGCACAATATCTTCCCTCCAAGATGTAAAGCATATCCCAGGGCCAGGACCTGATTCATGATTCATATCCCATTCAGATGATTTGCTGGATGTTCTTTTTTTTAATTTCTTCACCAATTTTTACTCCTTTGCAAATCAATCTGCCTGTGATCAAATCTGTACTTAGTTCAGTTAAGCAAATATTTTCTGAGAGCTGCTGTATATCAGACACATTGCTAGACCTTGGGGACTCAGAGATGACTAAGATACACACTTCCTGCCTCCCAGGAGCTTGCAGCCTGCTTGGGAAGGCATACACACAAAGGTCAGGGTGTAAACCCAGAGGAGGGGCACCTAACCAGCCAGAGAAACAGAGGAGCTTCTGAGACCCCGACTCCTTCCACTTTCCCCTCCATCAACTGCCCCACCTCTCTCTTTCTCTTTTTAGCAAAACCCTTCAGAAGGCTTCTCTACATATGCTGTTTCCAATTTCTCTCCTCCCATTCTCACTTGAACTTGCCCGTTTAGGCTCTTGCCCTGTCCTCTCCACTGACTGTTCTTATCAAGTCATCATGTTTCTAGATCTAATTGCGAGTTCTTGGTCCTTATTTATTTGAACTATCAATAGCATTGGACACAGTCAATCACTCTTTCTCCTAAAAACACTTTCTTCACTTGGCTTCCGAGATATCCCATACTCCTATTTTTCCTCCTGCTTCACTGACTGCTGCTTCTCAGTCACCTCATCAACTTGACCACTTGATGTTGGTCCCCCACAGCTCAGTCCTTGGGATACTCCTTTTCTATTATTCTTGAGTGGTCTCAACTAGTCTCAACTACATGCTGATGACTCTAAAAACTTTAATCTGAACTGCTCTCCCAAATTCAAGATTCATATAGTCAACTACCTACTAGACATCTGTACTTGGATGTTTAATAAGCACTTAAATCCATGTTCCATACTGAGGCATTGATCTTCTTATCCTCAAACCTGCTTTCCCTGCCATCTTACTATTTATTTAGTTAATGGTAACATTATCCTTTCTGGAGCTTAGGTCAAATAACTTTTGAATCACCTTTAATTCTTCTCATTCTTTCATAATTTACATCCAATTCATTGGTATTTACACTTTACCTGAAAAAGTACATCTGGAACGTGACTTCTTCTTATCACCTGCACTACCATTACCAACCCATTGTCATTTCTTGCTCAGAATCTTTCTATAGCCTCTTCTCCATTGATGTCTCTGCTTCTATCCTTGCCCCTCGTTGATCTATTCATAACATAGAAGTCTATTAAAAGATGGTCAGATCATGTCACACCCCATTTCCTCACCTCCACGACTCCCATCCTAAAGTCTAAGTCAAAGTCCTTATGGTGGTCTACTGAACAGTATTCCATTGCATGGCTATACCACATTTTGTTTATTCATTCATCTATTGATGGGCACTTGAGTATTTCCATCTTTTGGCTATTATGAATAATGGTGCTAAGAATGTTGGTGTACAGGTATCTGTTTAAGTCCCTGATTTCAGTTCCTTTGGGTAGATACCTAGAAATGGAATTACTGGGTCATTTGGTAATTTTATGTTTAACTTTTTGAGGAGTTAGCAAACTTTTTTTCACAACAGCTTCCCATTTTACATTTCCACCAACAGTGCACAAAGGTTCCAAATCTCCAGATTTTTGCCAACATTTGTTATTTTCTGTTTTTGACAGCTGCTCTGCTTCTTGCTCTTCCTTGAAGGGGTCAACCATCCTCTGGTCTTGGTACCTTGCACTCCCTGTTCCCTTTACTTGGAATACTGTCACAAATCTGCATGGTTCACTCTCCCATTCCCTCCAAGTCCTTTCTCAAAGGCTTCATTAACCACTCTATTAAAATTGTACCTCTTCCCTGCTTTAATGTTTATCCATAGCACTGACAGCTTTCTAACTTATTTGATAACTTGCTATTTCTTTGTTATCTGTCCTTTCACCTTCCCCACTCTGTGATGGCAACGATTTTTTTTTTTTCAATCTGTTTTGTCGCTTCTATACCCCAGTGCCCAGAATAATGCCTGGTCTTTTAGGGATGGGCACTATTGTCAAAAGTTATTATAAAATGAAAAAATGATGCCTGATTTGAGACTTAATGGATGTACTGACTAAGGCAGACAGTGCAAGGGTAAGAAAGAGGTTTTCTATGCTGAGGGAGCACATGGATCACCATGAATTGGATCTGCTTAATGAAATGGATGAGAGTCTTCTGGAAGCAGAGACCCTATAGTTACCAAATGTATCATGAGATTGTCTTTGCTCACTGTCAGTTACCATTTTTCTCCCCTGCAAGCAATAAGATATGCTTATATGCTGATGAGTGACCACTAGATTCTGCTGAGTTATAACAATGTGGACGTCGACAGCCATACATACCCTAGCAATCTTGTGAGAGAGGAGAAAGTCTATGATCTATACCTAGAAATAGACCTGCAAGATCAGTACCTTGATATTGTTGTTGTTATTAATATTTTTGTGTGGTACTTGCAACGGTCATTCTCTGAGTCACCCATCACACATTCTATATTTGTCAGTACTTAATGCAGGAAGTTTTAACTCAAGGCTCTTACAAAATGCTGCTATCTCCTGCTGCCCTCTAGTCAAATTAAAGTGAGCTGGACCCCGCCCCCCGTCCCCATCTCCATCAGCACAGGAATTTCCACCAGACCATGATGGTGCCTGTCTGTGGCTAAGTCTACCCTGCTCAGCTGCTCCCAAGAAATGTAGAGCATCAGAAAGAGGCATGTGAAAATGCAATAATGTGAGTCAGGGTCAGAGTAAACTGGTGCTGATGCCAAGTGCTAAGTTTTCCTCCTCTCTCCTTATACCCTTTGCTTCCTGCACCACAAAGTAGCAGTCTGGGGACCTGGTCAAACTTCATGGCAAGTGGAAATTAGGAGAGGAAGGGAGAAAACAACTAATATCTCCTGTGTGTTTTCTAGATCCAAACCCTGCTGGAGGGGCCCTCTGGGCTCAAAAGCTGCTACCTGCCTGTGCTTTCTGCGGGTAGAGAAGGCGCTCTTCCTACCCCAAAGATAGCCCTTTGCTCGCTTCTCATACCTCCACAGACAGGGAAAACATGGATCTGAATGAGTTATTTTGCAGCAACCCACAGCCACCCCTACTTCTGGCCTGACCCATTTCTCCAACTATAATGTGACTCTAATAATCCCTGCTCTGCTCTCCATCTTGCCTAGAGGCTACGAGAGTTCATTAGATTAAAAAAATCTATAAGCTACTTTGAGCACCTTGGAGGTAAGTGCTCTATAAGTACAATGTAATAATAATAATGCTACAATAATTACCTTGACTAATTTATGCATAAGACAGAAAAAAAGATTCTTAATTAAGAAACATTTCAACAGTGTGAACACAGGCCCCATATATTGGAAAGTAATACTACCATCAGGGATTCTAACTCTGGGGCAGATCGACAAAGATAATGAGCCACCCATCCTCATTCTGAGTGCCCTCTGAGTGTTGTGGGTTATGGGGAGGATGACAATGCTCTGTGGCCAACATACTGGAAAGGCAGACGATGAAAGAGAGGAGTTTGGTATTGTAATTACATAAAACAGAAACTAAGTTAACCTGATGATACCCTTATCGGACTGCAAGTAATTAAGAACCATGGTAAGCTAGTCAGTGACATCAATACAATGAATCAGTTTAAAAAAAAAGAATTAAAAAGACACAGTCAAAACAAACAAATATGGAATCACCTGTGGGTGAGTATAGAGCTGGAAGCAAACTTTTGTGATCCTCCCTCTCTCTACCATTCAGGTTCTTAAGGGCTGCTAGGGAAGAGATGTGTGCCTCCAGTGTTACAGGTATACTGCAAGGTTACACTGAAATGTGGAGTGGATCAGGATATGTTCTCATCAGCCATAAAATTGTCCCAGGATGCAGCTCTTCTAAAACAAAGATGTGCAACATTTTTTATAGGGAAATGAAAAAGTAGGATAAGGACAACCACCACAAATCCTGTGACTCATCTTCTCTTTGTTCGGCCAACATTTAGTCTTCCCAAACAGAGGATTTTGGTGGCCAATTTGCAGCATTCAGTATGAAGTGCCTGTGCATGGTAGAATATAAGCCAGGTTACCTTAGTGGCACCCTGGTGTCTGGGTCATTTGTAGTTGCTTCAGGTTATGCACTGGACCTGGATTAGATTTGCTACGGCTGGAGTAGCACGGGTGATTTAACCAACAAAGCGCCCTGTAGGAGATCTAATGCCTTGTTTTGTGGGAAGAAACTGGCTGGTGGGCCACCTTTTTTGAAGGTGACCACGAATGTAGCAGGCTAAACTCCCTGTTATCCTGTACAATTTATAGACCCATTCTCTGGGGAAAGCTGGAGGATCATTAGGAGGTTAAGATAAGACGTGATATTCCTCTTCTAACTGCTAAGCAGAAATAGGAAAGTCTGTCTACAGTGGGTCAGACATGGCTGGAGCAGGGGAAAAGAAGTGTGCGTGTGTGTGTGTGTGTGTGTGTGTGTGTGTGTGTATGTATGTGTGCATGGTCTGGTAGGTGGGATGGGGAGAAGGTAAGCATAAAGCTGTAAGACTTTAAAGCTGTAAGTCAGCTGGCCTCCAGAGGAGCAGCCCCAGTTGAGACCAGAAGAATCATTCAACCAGGTCCAGCCTAAAATCTTTGACCTGCAGACTCAAGAGCTAAAGGAATGCTTGTTGTTTCAAGTCACTAAGTTTTGAGATGGTTTGTCACAGTATGTTCATGGCAATCGATACAAATATGAAAGGATACCTAAGGATACCCGTGAGTCTGTAAAAACTGCCAAAGATCACTGCACTACTAGAAAGAGGGAGCCGGTTCTGGTCCAGCTCTAACTTGATGACCTTGGGATTTTACTCTTCTGCTTTAGATCCTCTTCTCTGCAGAATGAAAGGATTGGGCTAGCTCTTACTAACTGGGGTTCAAGGATTGGTTCTGCAGTGGAGGGGAGTAGGAGAGGGTCTTTGAAGCTTGTGAAATTATATGTGTATTTCACAGGTGCATGTTTTTCATGGGAGAGGGTTGGTTCATACTTTTCACTAGATCCTTAAAGGAAGTATGACCTCAAAAATAAGAATTCCTGGAGGAGAAGCTTTCTGAAGTCTCTCAGGCTCTGACTGTCCATGCTGGGCTTCTGTGTTGATTAAACAGCACACGAGTTAGGACTGAGTTGCCCTGTGAATGGAGGAAGGCAGGGAATGCTTCCTACCCACTGGCCTGCGGTCTGGACTTTGGTCACTGTGGGTAGAGTCTGAGTCTTGGCCTATGACCCACATAACACTTTAACTCAGAAGGAGACCCTGTGACTGGTGGGATATTTTGGAGTAGCCTTGGTGAGCTGTGGGTCCTCTCCATTGTTCTCCTCACTGTTCCCTCTGCCCACCCCTGTCGGACCAGTCTTGGATGTCCTTTTCTCCAGTTGGCCTCTTCTCCCTAGAGCCTTTCCCACCAGTGCAGTTAGTCTGATTTCTTCTTTGAGTCTCCATGCTGCTCTGAGTCTCCATGCCCTTCGAGTTCCTACTGAATGTTGTAATGTCTCATAGCCTCAGCTGGACAATAAGCTCTGGAAAGCAGGAGTCATTTCTTCTGCTTCTCAGAGGCCCTCACAGCCCTGAGCAGAATACATCAGCTGACATGGCCCCTGGACAATGCTGGTGCCAAGGCCAGTCCTTGGAACACTCTGAGTGAAGTAAGCAACTTATTTTCAGGATTCCCCTCTCCACTGCCCAGACTTCCACTGACCCTAGTTGTCACTCCAGACTGGCGGCCCTTCCTTTCCTGAATGACAGCTGAGGTCTGTCTTATGCCTTTCTCCTCTTCTAGTGGAAATTTATGTATCTTTCCAGATCCTGTTAGATGACAAATGAATCGAACTGAATTCTAGCTAAAAGTGAAATTTAGCTAGAAATGAGTTCTAGCTAAAGAGTTAAGGCTAATAACAGCAATGTCTCCCTTGGGTATTAATTCTACATTTGAACTCAATTTTTTTTTAACATTCTTATCCATAGGAGCAATTTTACATCATGATTCCAGATACAAGCTGGTGGGGATGAAATTTTTAGAGCATGTAGTTCATGGCACTCCTCAGATCACACTGCCCATGCCATCTGGCATTCTGGGCTGTTCTACCAGTGGTCTTGGAGAGACTGACAGGACAGGCACATGGCTTTCTAGCAGGACCACCTCAGGCTATGGTTCATGTTTAGCCCTCACATTTTCTAAGTCACCTATAATAAGCAAGTCTGTTAAAGGGATCTTGACTTCAGAGCTGGTGTGTGTGTGTGTGCGTGTATGTGTGTGTGCGTGTATGTGTGTGTGCACATACTAAAACTGAATCACATTCTATGTCTTTAGCTTGCTGTCATGTTTGTTATAATGTAATATAATCAAATCATGTAGCCTGAGGAATCTCCCCAAATCATTTGCTCCGGGGGCCTGCCTTTGGTCTACAAGTTATTGTTATCACTCTCACCATTTTAAAGATGAGTGATGCTCAGCTTCCACCTTTGGTAAGCGAAAGAACTGGGACCAGAACCCAGGACTCCCACCTTCTGTCACAGGGCTCTTCTCTATCACAGATAAATTGTATGAAAGACCAACTCATTCTTTCTCCCTCTCAGCTTTAAATCATTAGTAGTTACCATTGTCCATGAATTATAATATACCAGCCATGTTGAAGCCTATCACTAGGCAGGCACACCCAGGTGTGGATGGTTTTACGCAGTAGGGTGTTGTAAAGAGAGTTATATACAAGCTGCATCTTTATAACCTGCATTTTATCTACACAACTGAGAGAAGACATCTAAAGAAATCCTTTGATGACAATGACAACCCTAGTATTCTCATGTCTGTACAGTTTGGAGTGGTTATAAGAAGCATATTGTACCTTAACCCACACGCGCAGTTTCAGGCAGACTCACCCGTGCAGCACGTGCACGAACACCAGGATGCACAGGGCACAGGAGCTAAGAGTCTGTTGGTGTCGGCTCCACCCTTGGCAAAGGGAGCATGGTGACCCAGGAATCAGAACTCCTGGGTTTTCATCGCACCTCTGACACTGATCTGTGATTTACCCCTTCCTGGGCCAGCGAAAGGGCAGCAGGGATTACTTTCTAGGTCTTAGTTCCCATTCTGACATCACAGGTCTCTATGCATATTCATGCGCACAAAATAGCCCTCAGCCACAGGGAAGTCCGACTCTGCCTGAGGAGATTTGCATGGAACAGAAATCAAAGCCTTAGGCCTCAGAGAGGAAGCTCCAGTGGTGGAATTTTCGGTGTTATCATTATGAGAAGGATGGGGACAGCGTTTGGGGGTCGAGAGAGCCAGGCCCTGGCGGGGATTACCCCCCAAGGGGTGCCGGATCTGCGCGGGGCTTAGGCACTCTGATTGCGCACATGGGCGTCTGCGCACCCGGGAAACCACAGTCGCCCAGCACCCACCTCGGGCTCCAGGTATAAACGTAGGGAGTCTGCGGGCTTGCTTTTCGTTGGCTACTTAGTTTTAATGCCCCAAACCAATTTTAAATAAAATAAAGGAATGCCCCTAAATATTCTATATGGGGTTTTCGTCTCTTTTTTAAGAGGGACATTTCAAGACTAGTTTCCCATAGGTTTAGCCAAAAGGGAAATTAAACTCCACATTTAAATGGAGATTACGCACAAAGGAATCCATTAGTTTCAATATTTTTCAGCAGGAGGGCGCAGAGTTATTTAAATAAGTTTAGATATTAAACCTAAAGTAGCCATTAAAGCAATGTGGATTTGTCTGTTTTTTTCCCCCAGAAATCTTTTTTTTTCCAGCTGACTGAAAAAATCTATTGCTTAACCGATATTTGAATGCATTAAACAAAAAATCCAGGGACTTATTAATATAGCACTTCCTTTGGATTTTTAAGTACCATATTACAGCGTACTTATTATAGCCAAGTGTCATCTTTTGGACAGATTAAACTCTCAGCGTTTTCCCTTCCCCGCCCCCGCCCCCGGCAGAGCAGCGCTAATATAAAGCCCGACATTAAACCGCATTGGCTATGGAAGAGTCTTTGATTGTCATTGAGATTATTTTAAAAGTTATTTAGGTCCCCCTGTTAACATCTCTGCAAACCACTGAGAAAATGTTGTGCTGGGTTTCTCTTTGCGACATTTCTTTGGGGATTCATAAATATTGATTGTACCGTAAAAAATTGATGGAATCTTGAAACAGACTGCAGTTGAGGCAGCTGGGGAATTTACTCAATTTTTCTCAATCGCTGCAGTCTATAAAAAGAGGAGATTTTGCAAATTGTTTCTCACCTTGTCTTTTTAGTATTTAATAGCTCTCAATTCTATAGCCTTCTGAACCACGCACTGGGCATGTTTTCTATCAAAATGGAATCAGGCCTATTCAATGGGAATTAAAAGGTGCGAGCAGGTTATGAAGGGGTTAAACTCTGTTCTGTTCACTCTCTCTTTTCCTCCTCTCTTCCCACTTTCCGTTTTCAGTGTCCTGCTGTTTTGGTCATATTAATTCTACACCTGTCCACAGCTGCCCATAGATGCCCAGGAGAACCGCTTTCCTCACTTCCCAGTGCCATGATGGAGAGAAGGTCAAAGAAATAAATGACAACATCCAGGATTTTTTTTTTTTTTTTTGACGGAGGCTTGCTCTGTTTCCCAGGTACTGCACTGTCCCTCGGCTCACTGAAACCTTCGCCTCCCAGATTCAAGGGATTCTGCTGCCTCAGCCTCCTGAGTAGCTGGGGCTACAGGTGTGCACCACCACGCCCAGCTAATTTTTGTATTTTTAGTAGAGACAGGGTTTCACCATATTGGGCAGGCTGGTCTCAAACTCTTTTTTTTTTTTTTTTTTTTTATTTATTTTTATTTTTTTTATTATACTCTAAGTTTTAGGGTACATGTGCACATTGTGCAGGTTAGTTACATATGTATACATGTGCCATGCTGGTGCGCTGCACCCACTAATGTGTCATCTAGCATTAGGTATATCTCCCAATGCTATCCCTCCCCCCTCCCCCGACCCCACCACAGTCCCCAGAGTGTGATATTCCCCTTCCTGTGTCCATGTGATCTCATTGTTCAATTCCCACCTATGAGTGAGAATATGCGGTGTTTGGTTTTTTGTTCTTGCGATAGTTTACTGAGAATGATGGTTTCCAATTTCATCCATGTCCCTACAAAGGATATGAACTCATCATTTTTTATGGCTGCATAGTATTCCATGGTGTATATGTGCCACATTTTCTTAATCCAGTCTATCATTGTTGGACATTTGGGTTGGTTCCAAGTCTTTGCTATTGTGAATAGTGCCGCAATAAACATACGTGTGCATGTGTCTTTATAGCAGCATGATTTATAGTCCTTTGGGTACATACCCAGTAATGGGATGGCTGGGTCAAATGGTATTTCTAGTTCTAGATCCCTGAGGAATCGCCACACTGACTTCCACAATGGTTGAACTAGTTTACAGTCCCACCAACAGTGTAAAAGTGTTCCTATTTCTCCACATCCTCTCCAGCACCTGTTGTTTCCTGACTTTTTAATGATTGCCATTCTAACTGGTGTGAGATGATATCTCATAGTGGTTTTGATTTGCATTTCTCTGATGGCCAGTGATGATGAGCATTTCTTCATGTGTTTTTTGGCTGCATAAATGTCTTCTTTTGAGAAGTGTCTGTTCATGTCCTTCGCCCACTTTTTGATGGGGTTGTTTGTTTTTTTCTTGTAAATTTGTTTGAGTTCATTGTAGATTCTGGATATTAGCCCTTTGTCAGATGAGTAGGTTGCAAAAATTTTCTCCCATGTTGTAGGTTGCCTGTTCACTCTGATGGTAGTTTCTTTTGCTGTGCAGAAGCTCTTTAGTTTAATTAGATCCCATTTGTCAATTTTGGCTTTTGTTGCCATTGCTTTTGGTGTTTTAGACCTGAAGTCCTTGCCCACGCCTATGTCCTGAATGGTAATGCCTAGGTTTTCTTCTAGGGTTTTTATGGTTTTAGGTCTAATGTTTAAATCTTTAATCCATCTTGAATTGATTTTTGTATAAGGTGTAAGGAAGGGATCCAGTTTCAGCTTTCTCCATATGGCTAGCCAGTTTTCCCAGCACCATTTATTAAATAGGGAATCCTTTCCCCATTGCTTGTTTTTCTCAGGTTTGTCAAAGATCAGATAGTTGTAGATATGCGGCATTATTTCTGAGGGCTCTGTTCTGTTGCATTGATCTATATCTCTGTTTTGGTACCAGTACCATGCTGTTTTGGTTACTGTAGCCTTGTAGTATAGTTTGAAGTCAGGTAGTGTGATGCCTCCAGCTTTGTTCTTTTGGCTTAGGATTGACTTGGCGATGTGGGCTCTTTTTTGGTTCCATATGAACTTTAAAGTAGTTTTTTCCAATTCTGTGAAGAAAGTCATTGGTAGCTTGATGGGGATGGCATTGAATCTCTAAATTACCTTGGGCAGTATGGCCATTTTCACGATATTGATTCTTCCTACCCATGAGCATGGAATGTTCTTCCATTTGTTTGTGTCCTCTTTTATTTCATTGAGCAGTGGTTTGTAGTTCTCCTTGAAGAGGTCCTTCACATCCCTTGTAAGTTGGATTCCTAGGTATTTTATTCTCTTTGAAGCAGTTGTGAATGGGAGTTCACCCATGATTTGGCTCTCTGTTTGTCTGTTGTTGGTGTATAAGAATGCTTGTGATTTTTGTACATTGATTTTGTATCCTGAGACTTTGCTGAAGTTGCTTATCAGCTTAAGGAGATTTTGGGCTGAGACGATGGGGTTTTCTAGATAAACAATCATGTCGTCTGCAAACAGGGACAATTTGACTTCCTCTTTTCCTAATTGAATACCCTTTATTTCCTTCTCCTGCCTGATTGCCCTGGCCAGAACTTCCAACACTATGTTGAATAGGAGCGGTGAGAGAGGGCATCCCTGTCTTGTGCCAGTTTTCAAAGGGAATGCTTCCAGTTTTTGCCCATTCAGTATGATATTGGCTGTGGGTTTGTCATAGATAGCTCTTATTATTTTGAGATACGTCCCATCAATACCTAATTTATTGAGAGTTTTTAGCATGAAGGGTTGTTGAATTTTGTCAAAGGCTTTTTCTGCATCTATTGAGATAATCATGTGGTTTTTGTCTTTGGCTCTGTTTATATGCTGGATTACATTTATTGATTTGCGTATATTGAACCAGCCTTGCATCCCAGGGATGAAGCCCACTTGATCATGGTGGATAAGCTTTTTGATGTGCTGCTGGATTCGGTTTGCCAGTATTTTATTGAGGATTTTTGCATCAATGTTCATCAAGGATATTGGTCTAAAATTCTCTTTTTTGGTTGTGTCTCTGCCCGGCTTTGGTATCAGAATGATGCTGGCCTCATAAAATGAGTTAGGGAGGATTCCCTCTTTTTCTATTGATTGGAATAGTTTCAGAAGGAATGGTACCAGTTCCTCCTTGTACCTCTGGTAGAATTCGGCTGTGAATCCATCTGGTCCTGGACTCTTTTTGGTTGGTAAACTATTGATTATTGCTACAATTTCAGAGCCTGTTATTGGTCTATTCAGAGATTCAACTTCTTCCTGGTTTAGTCTTGGGAGAGTGTATGTGTCCAGGAATTTATCCATTTCTTCTAGATTTTCTAGTTTATTTGCGTAGAGGTGTTTGTAGTATTCTCTGATGGTAGTTTGTATTTCTGTGGGATCGGTGGTGATATCCCCTTTATCATTTTTTATTGTGTCTATTTGATTCTTCTCTCTTTTTTTCTTTATTAGTCTTGCTAGCGGTCTATCAATTTTGTTGATCCTTTCAAAAAACCAGCTCCTGGATTCATTGATTTTTTGAAGGGTTTTTTGTGTCTCTATTTCCTTCAGTTCTGCTCTGATTTTAGTTATTTCTTGCCTTCTGCTAGCTTTTGAATGTGTTTGCTCTCACTTTTCTAGTTCTTCTAATTGTGATGTTAGGGTGTCAATTTTGGATCTTTCCTGCTTTCTCTTGTGGGCATTTAGTGCTATAAATTTCCCTGTACACACTGCTTTGAATGTGTCCCAGAGATTCTGGTATGTGGTGTCTTTGTTCTCGTTGGTTTCAAAGAACATCTTTATTTATGCCTTCATTTCGTTATGTACCCAGTAGTCATTCAGGAGCAGGTTGTTCAGTTTCCATGTAGTTGAGCGGCTTTGAGTGAGATTCTTAATCCTGAGTTCTAGTTTGATTGCACTGTGGTCTGAGAGATAGTTTGTTACAATTTCTGTTCTTTTACATTTGCTGAGGAGAGCTTTACTTCCAAGTATGTGGTCAATTTTGGAATAGGTGTGGTGTGGTGCTGAAAAAAATGTATATTCTGTTGATTTGGGGTGGAGAGTTCTGTAGATGTCTATTAGGTCTGCTTGGTGCAGAGCTGAGTTCAATTCCTGGGTATCCTTGTTGACTTTCTGTCTCGTTGATCTGTCTAATGTTGACAGTGGGGTGTTAAAGTCTCCCATTATTAATGTGTGGGAGTCTAAGTCTCTTTGTAGGTCACTGAGGACTTGCTTTATGAATCTGGGTGCTCCTGTATTGGGTGCATAAATATTTAGGATAGTTAGCTCCTCTTGTTGAATTGATCCCTTTACCATTATGTAATGGCCTTCTTTGTCTCTTTTGTTCTTTGTTGGTTTAAAGTCTGTTTTATCAGAGACTAGGATTGCAACCCCTGCCTTTTTTTGTTTTCCATTGGCTTGGTAGATCTTCCTCCATCCTTTTATTTTGAGCCTATGTGTGTCTCTGCACGTGAGATGGGTTTCCTGAATACAGCACACTGATGGGTCTTGACTCTTTATCCAACTTGCCAGTCTGTGTCTTTTAATTGCAGAATTTAGTCCATTTATATTTAAAGTTAATATTGTTATGTGTGAATTTGATCCTGTCATTATGATGTTAGCTGGTGATTTTGCTCATTAGTTGATGCAGTTTCTTCCTAGTCTCGATGGTCTTTACATTTTGGCATGATTTTGCAGCGGCTGGTACTGGTTGTTCCTTTCCATGTTTAGCGCTTCCTTCAGGAGCTCTTTTAGGGCAGGCCTGGTGGTGACAAAATCTCTCAGCATTTGCTTGTCTATAAAGTATTTTATTTCTCCTTCACTTATGAAGCTTAGTTTGGCTGGATATGAAATTCTGGGTTGAAAATTCTTTTCTTTAAGAATGTTGAATATTGGCCCCCACTCTCTTCTGGCTTGTAGGGTTTCTGCTGAGAGATCCGCTGTTAGTCTGATGGGCTTTCCTTTGAGGGTAACCCGACCTTTCTCTCTGGCTGCCCTTAACATTTTTTCCTTCATTTCAACTTTGGTGAATCTGACAATTATGTGTCTTGGAGTTGCTCTTCTCGAGGAGTATCTTTCTGGTGTTCTCTGTATTTCCTGAATCTGAACGTTGGCCTGCCTTGCTAGATTGGGGAAGTTCTCCTGGATAATATCCTGCAGAGTGTTTTCCAACTTGGTTCCATTCTCCACATCACTTTCAGGTACACCAATCAGACGTAGATTTGGTCTTTTCACATAGTCCCATATTTCTTGGAGGCTTTGCTCATTTCTTTTTATTCTTTTTTGTCTAAACTTCCCTTCTCGCTTCATTTCATTCATTTCATCTTCCATTGCTGATACCCTTTCTTCCAGTTGATCGCATCGGCTCCTGAGGCTTCTGCATTCTTCACGTAGTTCTCGAGCCTTGGTTTTCAGCTCCATCAGCTCCTTTAAGCACTTCTCTGTATTGGTTATTCTAGTTATACATTCTTCTAAATTTTTTTCAAAGTTTTCAACTTCTTTGCCTTTGGTTTGAATGTCCTCCCGTAGCTCAGAGTAATTTGATCGTCTGAAGCCTTCTTCTCTCAGCTCGTCAAAATCATTCTCCATCCAGCTTTGTTCCATTGCTGGTGAGGAACTGCGTTCCTTTGGACGAGGAGAGGCACTCTGCGTTTTAGAGTTTCCAGTTTTTCTGTTCTGTTTTTTCCCCATCTTTGTGGTTTTATCTACTTCTGGTCTTTGATGATGGTGATGTACAGATGGGTTTTCGGTGTAGATGTCCTTTCTGGTTGTTAGTTTTCCTTCTAACAGACAGGACCCTCAGCTGCAGGTCTGTTGGAATACCCTGCCGTGTGAGGTGTCAGTGTGCCCCTGCTGGGGGGTGCCTCCCAGTTAGGCTGCTCGGGGGTCAGGGGTCAGGGACCCACTTGAGGAGGCAGTCTGCCCATTCTCAGATCTCCAGCTGCGTGCTGGGAGAACCACTGCTCTCTTCAAAGCTGTCAGACAGGGACACTTAAGTCTGCAGAGGTTACTGCTGTCTTTTTGTTTGTCTGTGCCCTGCCCCCAGAGGTGGAGCCTACAGAGGCAGGCAGGCCTCCTTGAGCTGTGGTGGGCTCCACCCAGTTCGAGCTTCCTGGCTGCTTTGTTTACCTAAGCAAGCCTGGGCAATGGCGGGCGCCCCTCCCCCAGCCTGGTTGCCGCCTTGCAGTTTGATCTCAGACTGCTGTGCTAGCAATCAGCGAGATTCCGTGGGCGTAGGACCCTCTGAGCCAGGTGTGGGATATAGTCTCGTGGTGCGCCGTTTCTTAAGCCAGTCTGAAAAGCGCAATATTCGGGTGGGAGTGACCCGATTTTCCAGGTGCGTCAGTCACCCCTTTCTTTGACTCGGAAAGGGAACTCCCTGACCCCTTGCGCTTCCCAGGTGAGGCAATGCCTCGCCCTGCTTCGGCTCGCGCACGGTGCGCACACACACTGGCCTGCGCCCACTGTCTGGCACTCCCTAGTGAGATGAACCCGGTACCTCAGATGGAAATGCAGAAATCACCCGTCTTCTGCGTCGCTCACGCTGGGAGCTGTAGACCGGAGCTGTTCCTATTCGGCCATCTTGGCTCCTCCTCTGGTCTCGAACTCTTGACCTCATGATCTGCCCGCCTCAACCTCCCAAAGTGCTAGGATTACAGGCATGAGCCACCGCACCTGGCCCATCCAGGCAACTTTTATACCACAGTCCCAGCAAGGGACACCCTGTTTCCTCTTGTTTATACAACAGAGCCCTACACCATCCTGGCATTCAAAGCCCTTTGCCCACCATCTGACTCTAAACTATGTCTTCAGCCTTATTTTCATGATTCTCCTTCTGAAACTCTGATTTCTTCTTATGGACTTTGGCTCATACTTCTCTGTCATACTTCTCCTTCTTGTCTGGAAGGTTCTCCTTACTGTCTCCTTCTATGGTAGGCAGAATATCCACCTGCCCCCACTACACAGAGAGGTCTATGTTCTAACTGTCAGAACCTGTGAATATGTTAGGTTATATGGCAGAGGGGAATTAAGGTTGCTAGTCAGCTGATCTTAAGATAGGGAGATTCTTGGACATTGTCCTGTGGGCCCAGTGTAATCACCTGGGTCCTTAAAAGTGGAAAAGGGAATTGGAAGGGAGAATACAAGAGATGGCAGCATGAGAAGGACTTGGCCCAAGGATGGGGCCAACAGCCAAGGAAGACAGGTGGCCATTAGAAGCTGAAAAGGAAGCTGAAAAAGGCAGGAAACAGGCCCTCCCCTAGAGCCTCCCAAAGGAACTCAGACCTGCCAGCACCTTGACCTTACCCGGTGAGACCCATGTTGGATATCTGTCCTACAAAACTTTAAGGTAATGTATCTGTGTTGTTTGAAGCTACTAAGTTTGTGGTAATCACCCTCAAGGTAATCACACTTAATCACAACTGTTAAGCCCCTTTTGCCATATAAGGTAACATTCACAGGTTCCAGAAATTAGTACTTGGATATCTTTGGGGGCCATTATTCAGTCTAGCATACCTGGTAACAAGAAGGAGGTGGCCCTGCAAGATAGGGCCTCAGGCTGAGAGGGAATGAGCCCAGTGTCAACTGACATCAAAATCATTGTTAGAGTCAATGTTGGGATTTCTCTGTGGGGACAAAGAATATGGCATTGATCTTATTGATCTTGTATTGATCATCCATGGAATCAAGTGAAAACTTTTTGTCTTGGTCATCTAATTTTTTTTCTTTTTATAATGAGATTTTTTTTCTTTTGTAATGAGATAACTGAGGTCCCGTGACTTGCCCAAGATTATATATGGCCAGTTTATACATCACAAGTGGCTGGAAATCACATGAATAAGCTGGAAAAATGATCACATCACTTTGATTCTCTTTGGAGAGGAGTGTTTGTGGCCTCAGGTGCCCTCACAGATAGGAGCCAATCCTTGGTGACAATCTCCATCCCATTTCATTAGACCATTCAAAAGATCCACTGTATGGGTGATATAGTTTGGTACAGGGAGAAGTCCTTTTTTTTTTTTTTTTTTTTTTTTTAGAAAGAGAGAGGGTTTAGATTCCTAAAGGAGTCCGTATCCCAAAAGTCAAGTCTGAGGTCCAGGTCCTCTCTGAGGCTGGTGAAGATAAAGGAAGAGGTGGAAGAGGAGGAGGAAAAGGAGGAGGAGAAATCTTGACCAGTCCATTACAAAGATAACTGGAAAAATGGCTTCATTCAGTCATTCAACATGTACTTTAGTTTTTGAGACAGGGTCTCACTCTGTCATCCAGGCTGGAGTGCAGTGGCGCCATCTAGGCTCACTGCAGCCTCCACCTCCCAGGCTCAAGTGATCCTCCCACCTCAGCTTCCCAAGTAGCTGGGACTGCAAGTGTGCACCACCATGCCCAGCTAACTTTTTGTATTTTTGGTGGAGACAGGATTTCGCCATGTTGCCTAGGCTGCTCTCAAACTCCTATGCTCAAGTGATCCACCTGCCTTGGCCTCCCAAAGTGCTGGGATTGCAGGTGTGAGCCACTGCACCTGGTCTCAACATGTACTTTCTATGAGCAAGGCTCTAGGGAGTGAGGAGGCTGGAAGTTGGGAGATGAAAGAGAAGACAAGACCTCTGCCTTCAAGAACTGAGGATCTACATTTGCCCTGACCTTGAGTGCTCAGATATTTGCCTCTTGAGAATGCCACAGTCATTATCTCTCTCCTCACTCAAAGTATCATGTTCAGGTGTGTGTTAGGTGTAGACCCCTGTTCTGGTGCTGGCCTGTGCCCTCAAGGAGCTTACAGTCTGGTAGGGTAATTGGGAACTGTTCAAGATGGGATTGAGTGCCAATCATACAAGGGAGTTTGTGACCAATGGCAAGTGGTCTGAGGGTGTCAAGGAGGGAGGGCTCTGTGCAGATTCCTTCATGATAGTGGGTAGGGCTTGTAGGAGAAATAATGAATAGCTAGAGAGAGGAGAGGTGGTTTAAGAAGATATTCCAGGCAGGAAGAGAAGAATAATAAGCAAAGAAGCATGCTTATGGGAGAGGCCATGAGTTCAGTCTCAGGTAAGAGGTGGGGTTCCAGGTCTCTGGATTTTCCTTAATTGTGGTCTCCCAAAACTGGCTTAGGTGTGACCCATCTCTGCCCTCAACCCTTCTTTTGTGTTCCCAGCTCTGACTCTGACCCTGACCTTCACTCTCTCATTAAGCCAGTACAGCTACATAACTTCTGAGGCCATCCAGAACCAAAGTCATCCCCCTGAGCTCCATGGAAAGCTGGGCAGGACAGAGGGCAGGGATCCAGCCCCACTCTGACCCAGGCTGCAGCATCCAGCATTATCTCAAGCATCTGTTCTGCAGAGGAAGTGTAGCAGGGAGCTCTGGTGAAGGATTTGCTTGAGAGGAAAAGAGACCATGAGATCAAGACCTCCCTCGCCCACCCAAATTTCCATCAGAAGTCCTGCTGTATTCTCTGGTCCCAAGCAGCAGCCGTTGGTGCAAAGCCCCATTCTCAGACTCCTGCAGGCTGGGAAGTCAGCTGACCTCTCCAAATTCCCTCTCTTTCCAGAATCTGAGCCTCTCCAGTTCCCATTTCCTCAGCACATCTTCGATGACTTCAAATGAATGATTTCTCTATTTCATCTGGCCCTGCTAGTGTTTCTTGGCAGGGAGACTGGTGTGCCTTAAGCTACTGTATCCCACCAGGAAGCAGAAAACTCTTTTCCATCTTTGTTTTTGAAGGATATAGTCATTGTAGGAATTTTGTGTTGGCAGTTGTTTTCTTTGAGGACTTTGAATCTATCATTCTCTATCTTCTGGCTTCCATTATTTCTGTCGAGAAGTTGGCTATAAGTCTTACTGCTGCTCTTTGAAGGTAATATTTCTTCTTTTCTCTTGCTGCTTTAAAGATTTTCTGCGCTCTGGTATTCCAGTTACAGTGAAGTTAATTTTGTCACCATGTCCCAAGGGGCTCCTGCATGCTTCTCTGTATTTTCCATCCTTCTGTCTTTCTATGCTATCTTCTGACCTATAACCAGGCTCTTGGGCCTTCGCCTGCTCAGGTCCTCATGACCCTCAGTTGGATCACTGCTCAGCCCTTCCTCCTGTCTCCCTGCTTCAAAGCCTGCTTCCCTCTAATCCTTTCCCCCATCCTCTAGGCCTAAAGAGCTTTCTAACACCAAATCTGACCATGCCATTCCTCTGCTTAAAGTATGGAGCAATTCCCCATTTCCCATGAGTAAGTAAATTCCCAGCTTCTTAATATGTGACTTAGGACACTACTTAGCTTTGGACTGATCTGTCATTATTTTCTGCCTTTAACGTTAGGCTCTAAAAATTCTTGATGGGATTATAATTCTCTCATGTCCATGCACACACAAACATGCACTCCCCAAGTTGTTCCCCTCCCACAAGCCTCTGTTCATGCTGCTCCTTCTGTCTGGGGAGCTCTTCTATCCCCTTTTGTCTGACTAAGCCACATATATTTCCACCACATCTCAGTCATCTTCACCTCCAGGGAGACTTCCCATCTTGTCTCTGCTCCCCACCTCCCTCCTGTTTGCTCCCATAATGACTTTTGCATATGTCTATTATCACACAGACTCTCTTTAAGTGTCTACAGTCTCCCTTTTTAGATTGCAAGTTCTTTGAGTAACTGTGTCTTATTTATCTTCATAACCCTAGGTTCAATACTTTGTCTGGGGCATAGAAGATACTCAATAAATGTTTAAATGATTGAAAATGAATAAGTAAATTTGTATAATTTTTTTTTTGAGGTAGAGTCTTGCTCTGTCACCCAGGCTGGAATGCAGTGGCGTGATCTCAGCTCTCTGCAACCTCCGCCTCCTGGGTTCAAGTGATTCTCCTGTCTCAGCCTCCTGAATAGCTGAGATACAGGTATGCGCCATCACATCCCACTAATTTTTGTATTTTTAGCTAGAGACGGAGTTTTGTCATGTTGGCTAAGCTGGTCTCAAACCCCTGACCGCAGGTGATCCACCTGCCTTGGCCTCCCAAAGTGCTAGGATTACTGCGCCCGGCCAAAAATTTCTTTGGTTTCATATCCTCATACGAATCAATCATGTCAGTCCTATTTTAGGTAAGAAAAAGAAATAGACTAAATACCCTGTCTCTAATTGCACAGATAGTAAAAGCTAGAGCCCCAAAGATCTCTTAAACTGCATCTGTCCGATGAAGCCCACGCTGACTTTCCTCTTCCTTCTCTTAATTCTTTGCCTATCAGAGTCCTTTACACATGATCTAGCCTTCGATCGTATGTGACCTTCTATTGTTCTCTAATTGTAACAGAGGCGGAAAAAAATCAATGGGCCAAGTGTTTTCTATGACATTTTTCATTAGTTTAGTTCAATACTATAGACTTATTGATTGATGGCATAGAAATTGGTCATTAGAAAACACTGTTTTGACTAAATATTATTGCCCAGTTGGTCGTCTGGACTAGGTGGAGTCAGGAGTCAGGGAGGTTGAAACTTACATCTCCCTAGGGAGAGGCTCTGTGGGTGGGGATTGGACACCAGTTGCAGCCAATGAGAAGAAGACAGTGTCAAGAACACATAAGGAAGAGCAATAGGCCAGCCTGCACCAGGACAGCCAGGGGATGAGGGGAGGGAATGCTGGAGCTGGCTTACACAGCAGCTGAGCAACAGGAGATGCAGAAGGAGGCATTGACAGGAATCCCTCCTTATAAATAGCAGGGCCCTGAATGCTAACTGAGGTCCAGGCCCCACAGTGGAGCTGTCCTAGGGGCATCTGGACTTCTTAGTGAATGCATTACTGAGAGGACAGCCTTGCTTGAGGTTGAGCATGTGTGGCAGGAAAGGGAGGGGTGCTGTCAAGTGACTGAGCTAGAGGATCCAGGCAGGATGTGACTGCTCCTGGCAGACACTAACCACAGCAAATCCAGGGGCAGGAGGTTGTAAAAGCAGGTGAGAAGCCAGGAAAAAAAGAGATGGAAGAAGGCTGAAAGCCCAGAGTAGGAGGTCAAGATGAGAGTGAGATGGGGCTGGGAGGCTGGTAGCTGAGGCAGTGCTGAGGGCTTTGGACCAGGTGACTAGGAAGTGAGTCAGATTCCAGGCAGTCAAGCCAGGCACTAACGCCCATTGTAGACCATAAGACCAAGGTGCCAGGAGGTAGAGTGGGCATAAAGGCTCAGAGAGTCGTATGTCGTGAATGGACATCAGAAGGGGACTGAGTAGGGGTGGGATTTACATGCAGGCTGTGGTCAGGCTCCCAGGAATTCCTAGGGAGCAAGGGAGAGGCAGGTGAAAGTTGTATTTAGGGTTCAGGTAAAATGGGGGGTCAGGAAGCTCATAAGATGGTCAGATCCAGGGAAGCCACAGAAATCAAACAGGCAAGATAGTAACAGACAAATGGGCTTCGTAGAGGCACCTAGCCCTTACTAACAGAGGCAGCTCTGCCTCATGCCCAGAGCTCCCCATTTACCTCTAGAGTTGCAGAGACCAGGTCCAGGGTGGCTTTTCAAGGTCCTCCTTCCAGATGGCAGCAAGCAATCCGAAGCAAATGGCATCTGGATGAGGGGAAGCAGGACAGATCTCTGCTCCCTGCCTATGGCTCAGGGATACCCCAGTGCAGTCTCCTTGGAAATCTATAGCTGGTGTTGAAGTCTATAGTCTTCACTCTGGCTGGTTGGGGGCCGCAAGCCATCCTGCAGCCCAGGGATCAGGAAATCCAGTGCTTTGGGGGTAGTATCTCTTGCTGATGAACGATTAGAAGTGTGGCTTCTTGATTACATCTTAGTTGAAGTCATCCTGCACATCTGACCAATTTGCTAATTCCTGGCCTCCAATTGGAAAGCTTCCAGCTCATTTTCATGCTACACTGCACAGTTCTGCCTTCTTAATGTAGTTTTAAAGTTGTATTAAATAAACAATGGGAATAAAATAAAATTAATTATTGGACACTGCCTGCTACTTAATTTTAAGGCTCCCATTTTGCCAGTATTTCTTCTGAGGACAACAAGGTGTGGAGTGCCAGGCATCTGGACTGGCCCTTCTTGGGCATTCCTGTGTAGGAGAATGAAGAGGAAAAGGAATAGAATTAAGAAAACCCAAAGAGAAATGTTGGTGGAGAGAATCATGCTCTTTACTATGGGGAAATGGCTTTTGATCCAATTTCTTGGGTTCCCCCAATTATCTGGACAGCCAAGTGGGAAGAGGACAAATTGTTCAGGAAAAAAAAATCAGATGAATTATCAGGTATTCCCTCTCAAGAATCTTTGGATTGTATGTGCTAACATTTCTTTCCTAAACAGGCAAGATCTGGGCTCTTACCATTTGCATCCTATCCTAACTCTTCCCCAGTTCCCAGGTTCATTCTTTGGTCTTTTTCATTGATTGAGTGCCTCTCTGTGCTATGCTGGGCAGGCTCCCTGGGCAGACAGACCCAATCCCTGCTTTCTGACTCTCCAGACCAAGTTGGATATGCCCGTCAGAGCCTTGGCCCTCATCTTCATAGCACTGATCCTATTTGTGATTTCATGTTTATTTATCTGAGGATTTAATTAATGTCTGCCTCCGCCCACTGAGCTGCAGCTTTATGAGGGTAGAGGCCATTTCTCTTTTTACTCACTGTTGTGCTCCTGGCCCCTAGTATGTGGCCTGGAATGTAATGGACACATAGTAATTATTGGATGGGTGGAAGGAAGGGTGAATGAAGTCAATAGGGAAGAAGGGAAGAAAAGGGCCTTTCTCAGTTGCCCGGTGGGTTGTAGCCCTGGGGGACCTCAGCCTCATTAGAATCCCGAACTTGGCCTCTGGTATTCTATAGGAGCATAGCAAAGCTTTCCCCAGGAGGAGTCTGGAGAGCACTTGGGCCCCTCTCCCCATGGCCCACCATTTCCAGCATTTGCCTGTACGTGCCTGGTTTCCTGTGGACCCTGATCTGGCTCACTCCCTGCCTCCCTAATAGTGTCTCTGCACGCAGCATGGCTCCGTCTTTATTCCACAAGGTTCTAAGCTCCAGGGACAGGAATTGTACCTCATCTTACATCTGAAGCTCCCACAGGTGCGAATCTCTCTCGTGTATATTGCTCCTTCTGTTCTTCCACTTGGAGAGCCCTCTCTCTCCCCCATCCAAATCCTCCCATCCTCAAAGGCCCGGTTTAAGCTCCATCTCCCCCTTGAAGTTTTCCCAAGACACTACAGCCAACACTGCTCCTTTTTTTTTTTTTTTTTTTTTTTATAACTGCACAGAGAGCTTCAACAAGAGCTTTCTACTTCCTCTTACCTTTGATTTTAGGCCAATTACCTGTCTCTGCTTCCTGAAGTCAGGTGTCTTCCCTGTCTGAAGTGACCAACTCTTCCTAGTTTCCCTGGGACTTTCCCAACATGAGCATTGGAAATCTCACATCCTAAGAACTCTCCTAGTCCTGGGCAAACCAGGACAGCTGGTCACCCTAACACTTCCTCCAGCCTAGCCTGACTACTCAAAGCTATCAACTTGAAAGTCAACTTGAAAAGACTCAACTCAAGAATCACTTTCTCTGGAGCGATGCTCCCGGCTAGGTGCAGCACAGGTCCACTCCGCCAAAGCAATCACTGTCCTGCTGTGTTTTTCCACAACTGTGGGTCTCCCTGGGTCATGTGTTCATCATCCCAGTGCCCAGCATAGCATCTGACACAGCAGGTGCTCAAGAAGGAAGGGTTTATCAAATGAGCAGTAATACAAGGTGTTCTGGCTTGAATAATGTCCCCCAAAAGATGTTGAAGTCTTAACCCCAATACTTACGAATGTAATCTTATTTGGAAATGAAGCCTTTGCAGATGTAATCAAGTTAAAATGAGGACATTAGGGTGACCCCTACTATAATCTGACAGTATCTTTATGAAAAGGGCAAATTTAGACACAGAGAGACACATACAGAGGAAGATACTGTGAAGAGGCACAGAGAGAAGACATCCAGTCACAAGCCAGGGAACTCCTAAGGACTCCAGGAGCGAGGAGAGAGGCCTGGGTCAGATCCTTCCCTAGTGCTTTCAGAGGGCCATGGCCCTGTTTGCACCTTAATTTTGGACTTCCGGCCTCCAGAACTGTGAGACAGTGTTTCTTGCTTAAGCCCCCCAGTCTTAGGACTTTGTTACAGTAGCCCCAGGAAACAAGTTCACTAGGCTTCGACTAGGAAATAGCTGTATTCTCCAACCCAACCCATCAGAAGAGTAATCTCATGGGGTAATTAAAATGTCCAGGAAACGACTGTTTAAATACTCGATCCCGCTTCCCCTCCTATAGCCCAGGTGGCTTTGGCAGCCTGGACTGGCTGGGACACGTTGGGGGTTTGTGGTCAGCTGCTCTTCCCGGCCCCCCACCTGGTCCTAGAGGCACTTCCTGATCCCTAGAAGGCTGGAGAGGGAAGGGGAGGTCTTGCCTATCTGGAACCAGGGTAACCTGGCTTTGCTGTTTTGCTCTCGGGAAACCGTTTCATATGGACCGTCTCTGAGTTGGCCAATGTTCTGAACTCATTATTCCTTTCAGGGACACTTTCATGAAGGTCCCACAGGGAACCCTTGACTGCACTTCCTATGAAGGGTGATACATTTGATCAGGTGACCAAGTTGGCCGTGTACACCTTCCCCATGGTGCTAGGGGAAGGGTCTCCACAGCCCCTGCTCCCTGCTGGGCTGTCTCGTCCCTCTGGGCAGTCCCGTCCCTCTGGGCAGTCCTCTGGGGCATGAATAAAAAAGACCTCAGGGCTTCTCTCTCCTGCAGGGCCCACACCTGGCCCAGGAGAAAACTGCAGACAGGTGATCTTCTCACCTCCCCATTACCCTGGGCCAGAGCCTTCTCACCTCCCCATTACCCTGGCCTCTTGTCTGTGATTGCTCGAGCCCAGTGTGCCCCTAGCTCCTGGGGGCAGCACACCTCCCACCTGCCTGTGGGTGTAGGACTCATAGCACAGCCACAGCTCTCACTTTCCAGAAACATCCTTGGTCACTTTGACTTCAACCCCTTTACATCCTGTGGCATGTGAGGCTGAGTCCTACAGGCGATCCACATCTCACTCCTAAATGTGCAGTGACAGCTCCTATGCAAGTTGTTTTGCTTTTGACCCAGTAAAGGAGCCAGGGCTGGGGTGTGGAGGGAATGGATGTATCAGATAAGCCTGGAACATCTCGTTGTGCAGGGATGTAAGGTAAAGCTCCAAGAATCTAGGAGGCCTGTGAGGAGATGCAGGGGCCAGCTCAAGGCTCCCAGGGACCACCTCTGGGACAACGTGAACATCAAAATCATAGTGAGAAGAATCACTTATAACCCACACAGTAGAAAAAACTCTTGGTTCTATGCTTAAACTAAGAAAATAAAACAATTCTAGAAATCAGAAGTGTGTCTGCAGTATTTTACTCTTCCGCCAAATGCCTTCCCAGAGAGCAAGTCTCACTTGACCTCATTCTTCCCATTTTTCAGGTGGAGATATGGAAACCTGGAAAGATATAGTGACTTTTCTAGAATTGCTTAGTGGTCTGGTCAATGAGAAATCTAGGACCAGACCCCAGGTCTTTTGAGCCCAGTCCAGTGTTCATGATTCCCTTAAGCTGGGTGGGGGTGACAGCTGTGAGCAGCCTCCACTGCCCAGTGCTCCAGGGTTTGCCTCTGCCCTGCTAGGGTGGCCCCAGCTTCTCCCTTGAGTCTGACCAGCTCTTTATTCTCCTGGGTAGAATGAATGTCCTTGGATCGACCCTCAGAGGATCCGACCACTCTCCCAACTCCTGGCCCCGATGCCAAAAACTTATTAAGCGGCCGCCTGTCACCTCCACCTTAATAAATAAGAATCTCTTTTCAGTTTCTTTGTCTCCCTCACCTCGGGGCCTACCTCCTGTAACCACACTGTCAATTACACCTCATGTCTAGCAAGGCCAGAGCTAATGAAAAGCAATAGAGAATTCACTGCCTTTTAATGATGGAAACATGGCTTTTTACAGGGAACAATTTATTGGGCCAATTCCCCCCGTCCATCACCCAGGGGAGCTGCTGCCTTTTTGTACCCTGCGTTTGTTACTGTGTCAGGCACTGTGTAAAATTGCCAGCCAAGCACCGAGGCGAAGGCTCTGACTCAATTTACAGGGTGACATCTCTAATCTCCCTTCTCGGATCAGTAAGTGATCCTGGCAATGATATGCATAGAAATTAATTACTCTGTCCCTCCTACTCCCGTTGGGCAGCCAGGAGTGGGGCAACCTCCCTGGCCAGAACAGCTGGGCCAACTGTCCACTGATCTTCACCAGCCCTAGCTGCTTGCACTGGCAGGAGTATGCAGTGGGTCAGAGGACCATGCTGCCCAGAAAAGGCAGGGAAAAAATGCACGGGAGGAAAGCATCTTGTGCTGTTAAGCTCTATTGAAGGTCAAGGGCAAGTACCAGGTCCATCACCATTTTCGAGAGAGAGATGGAGGCAGGGGATACAGGAAGAACACCCTGGGAGATTCAGGAGATATCTCATTCTGCCACTAATTTTTTCTGTGGCCTTGGACATGGACCCGCATTACTAAAGTGTTTCAAACAGAGTGATTGTTTTGATGTTCTGCAAAAATAGAACTCCCCTCCATATCTTCCCCTGCCCACCACCCCATCTCATCTTCTCTGGATAATGTACTAAATACTTCAGTCACTTGATTTTAGGCTTGGTTGAAGTATGTGGGCTTAGGCAAGTCTCTTTAATTTTCTGTACTCTAGAGTCACATGGTTCACGATCTACCCACTTCCAAAGATAGCTATGGGAGTCAAATGAAATAAAGTTCTTTTAAAATATGAGAATATATCATTTAAACTCCAAACCTAGGGTTATCTTGGAGGAAGGATATTAATGGCTCAATTTACTGGGCCATTAGGGAAAATTGGACTTTCCGTTAGAGAAAATGACCATTACGAAGAGGACTGGTCAAGAGTTCCTGCCTCAAAGTATTTTCCAAACTTCTCATCACATCTGAAGCCCTGCCATTAGAGATTCGTCTATTTGAGTCTTCAGGTTTATTAATAATAAGTTACTGCTTACTTACTCAGTTTTAAGTACCATACTTAGATAGATAATCATGGCAAATCTGCAAGTAAATACTTATGGAATTGTCATCTTATGAAATTAAGATTCTGAGGGATAAATCAGCTGCTCTAGGCCTCTCTGTAAACAAAGAGGACAGAATTTTTAAAAATCAACTTCACTGTGATATAATTTGCAAAGAATAAAATGCACACATTTTAGATGTACAGTATGATGAGTTTTGAAAAATGCGTACATCCATGTAACTATCACCATAATCAAGATATTTACCCATGACTCCAAAGGTTTCCTGATGTTTCTATCCAGTTGATTTTCACTGCATCCTCAGGCAAATCCTGATCTGCTTTATTCACTGTTGATTAGGTTTGTCTTACTTAGTATTTCATAAAAGGAAAAGCATACAACATATTTTCTTCTGTCTCTAGTTTTTTTCACTCAGCATGTGGTCTTTAAAATTTTGTCTATGTTTTTGCATGTATCAATTATTTGTCTCTTTTTACTGTTTTGTTCGTCTTTTCACCCATTGATGGACATTTAGTTTTTTCAGTTTTTGGCAATTTTGAAAAAAGTTATCATAAACATTTGTGTACAAGTTTTTGTGTGGATGTATGTAGCTTTTAGATAGATTTCTTAGGATTTTCTAAGTCCATGGTCATGTTCTATGCACATAAAGGCACTTTTGCTTATTTGTTTCTTATTTTAACACTTTTATTTCTTTTTCTTGCCTTATTGCTCTAGCTTTGACCCCCAAATACAAGGTTAAATAGGGGTGATAAGAAAGAATATCTTTGCAATGTTTCCAATATTTGGAGAAAAGCATACGATATTTTACTATCAAGTATGATGTTAGTTCTAAATTTTTCACAGATGCTGTTTACCAGGTTAAGGTATTTCCCTTTTATTTCTAGTTTGCTGGTAATTTTTCTAAAAAATCATGAATTGGTGTTGAATTTTATCAAATGCATTTTCTGGATCTGTTTAGATAGACATATGGTATTCTTTATTCCGTTAATATGATAAATTATATTGATTTTTTTTTTTTTTGAGATGGAGTCTCGCTCTGTCACCCAGGCTGGAGTGCAGCGATGCGTTCTTGGCTCACTGCAACCTCTGCCTCCCGAGTTCAAGCAATTCTCCCTGCCTCAGCCTCCCAAGTAGCTGGAATTACAGATACCCACCACCACACCCAGCTAATTTTTGTATTTTTATTAGAGATGGGGTTTCACCATGTTGGCCAGGCTAGTCTTGAACTCCTGACCTCAGGTGATCTGCCCCCCTTGGCCTTCCAAAGTGCTGGGATTACAGGCATGAGCCACCGTGCCCAGCCTGATTTTTGAATATTAAGCCAACCTTGTATTTCTGATATAAACCCCACTTGGCCATGGTATATTAGCCTTTTTATATGTTGCTGTATGCTATTTACTAATTATTTGTTAAGGATTTTTGTGACTATTTTCATAAGAGATAGACTGCAGTTTTCTTATGTTTTTGGTTCAAGAGGTAATGTGCTCTCATAAAATGGTTTCAGAAGCATTACTTCCTCTTTATTTTCTGAAAGAGTTTTTGATGGACTGGTGTTATTTCTTTCTGGTATTTTCTTTGTGGCAAATTTTTGTTTGTTTATTACTAATTCCATTTCTTTAACAGATATAGGACTCTAGATTTTTCTCCCTCTTTTTCAGCCAGTTTTTGTTATTTGTGTCTTTTAGACAATCTGTATATTTCACCTAAGTTGTTGAATTTATTGATAAAGTTTCTTGTAATATTCTCTTATTATTCTATTGATATCTGTAGTATTGGAGTCAAGATTTTAATCCTGTCTGACTACAAAGTTATGCCCTTTCTCCTGTGTAGTCCTATTCTTTCTATGAAATGCAGTCTCTGGGAGGGGTCATAGATGAAGTCCTAAGGAAGAAATACCTTAACAGCAATTTAAAGCCAGGTGGGATCAGGTTTGCTAGAAGGAAGTTCATGTATATGTGCATAAACCTGGGGTCAAGGAGGCCAGGGAGTTGAGCTGAGGAGCTCAGGAAAGGCAGGAGGAAGAAGGCAGACACAATTTGTTTCTTTAAGGTGATTGAGTCATAGACTTGAACTGCCTAAGCATGCCAGGGTCTGACATGGCATCAAAGGGTGGGTCTGTGGGTTTGGGGACAGGGGTAAAGTAGAGGAGATGCTACTTTACTGAACCTATGCACAGTGTTTTGAGTTAGGTTTGCTTATAGCAACATGTCTTGAATGATGACTGAATTTCTTTCACCGTTTTCTCTACTTATTCCACTGCAAAACTGTCACTTTTTTTCAGTAGATATTGACAACACATAGCTTTAACTTAGGACAAATGCGTCATTTACTTACCCAGAAGTCATCCGTCTCTCCTTCTTTCAAGT
The DNA here is from genome assembly GCF_000001405.40 of Homo sapiens. Lineage (NCBI taxonomy): Eukaryota > Metazoa > Chordata > Mammalia > Primates > Hominidae > Homo > Homo sapiens. Next base: position 47,646,580 of record NC_000018.10, on the reverse strand, counting down.
GGGCAGAGTTCACCTTCTATCTTAGAGGCAAAGGATGCCAGACATTGGCTTTCCCAGCTTCCTTTGCATCTGGGAGTGGCCTTGTGACCTGTTTGAGTATAAAGAAAAGTCTGACTGGGAAACCTCTGGGCAGAGATTTCCTTTTTTCTTTCTGATGAGCTTTCTCACAGTCCTGTCCTGGCTTCTTGCCCTTTAACTTTCTTGTATGAGTATCGCATGCCTGGGACATGCACAGTTCTCTTGCAACTGTGAGGAAACAAAGCTGAGTTTGCAAAGCCAACATGCATCAGATGGCAGAACAGAAGGATAGAAAGAACCTGGGTCCTTGATGATATCATTGAATCACTGAACCAGCTCTGGAACCATCTACTTCCAGGATTATTGATATAAGATAGTAAGTGTCTTTTTTAAAAGCCACTGTTAGATGGGCATTCTGTTATTAGAGACTTAATATCTTAACTGATGAACCCATTAGGTCCATCTCTGTTCAGTGGTCTCACTTGGTACCAAGATGATTGTAAGATCAGAAATATAGGCAATCTAATAACACAGCAGTACTAAAAATGAGGATGGTCCAGAAAATGCTTAATATAATATAAATTTAAGATTATGAGCAAAATGAAAACACAAATTTAATTTTTCCCCTAGAGAACTTTAGAACCTTGTAAGAACATAACAATTGTTCTGGTCCAGAGATCCCAGTAGGGGAAACCTTCTCCAGAAGTGTAGGTTTTAAAAGTAAGAATTTTGTAAGATTGTGGGACACTCATAACATTCTTCTCTTTGTTATTTATATAATCTCTTGCCACTTTCTCCAGAGCAATTGGCAGCATAACCCTTAAGTCACAGGGGACTTGGCACTTGCAAAAGGGTAGTAAGAAAGAATAATAACCCTCTCTTGCAAAGGCAGCCTTCTTAAGAGAAGATGAGCCCAGAGGGATAGAGGATTCTTGAGATGAAAAGGGAGAACTGCTGCTATCTAGAGGAGAGAACTTGAGCAGCCAATCAACCTATGAAAAGAAGGTCAGTCTCTCTAGTAATCAGAGTAATCAAGGAAATACAGAGAAATAAAAATCCAAACTATAATATGATACTATTTTAAAATTTATTCAAGGTACTACTACCGAAAGAAATAAATCTGAACACACCATGGTTGGTAAGGATATGAAGCAATTCTAACTCACATACTGTGCTGGTGAGAGGGTAAATTGCTAAAACCATTCTGGAGAACAATAGCAATACCTGGTAAAGTTGAAGATATGCAAACACTTCTACCCAGCCACCCCACTTCTGGGTCTGTACTCTACATAAGAAGGTTCATAAGAGCACTGTTTGTAATTGCTCACAAACAGTGAGAAATATTCTCATTATTCATCAGGATGGGGGAATGGATCAATTAACTGCTGTGTATTCACACAGTGCAATACTACATAGCACTAAACATGAATGAGTCAGGGCTTCTCTGGTTGAGTGTGGGGAGTTGCAGAAGATTGTACACAGCATAACATCATTTATACAAGTTTAAAAGCCTGCTAAACCGGACTGTGTGCCCTTTGTGGGTACATCTAGCACCTTAGTAGTATGAAGAGTTACACAAAAATTACAAAACCTAGTTCAGGTAGTAGTTAGTTCCTACCTCTCTGGAGGTGGGAGGCAAATGGTATTGGGAAATGATATGCAGGGGACTGTGGATGAATTTGTCAAGCTGGATGGTGGTATATGGGCCTTCATGGTCTCTACATTTTTTCATATAAACATACCATCTGAAAATTTTCATTCATACTGTCTTAAAAGCAATGGGAAGCAGAGAAACAAAGGAGATTTGCATGGGATAAGTCTTGAGGGCTTGATGGTAGAAAGGTCAGTGGTGAAGGCGGGAGCCTCCAAATCAGAGACCTGCATCTGAATCCTAGCTCTCCTGCTCACCCACTGTGGTGTGGTTTGAGGGGCAAGTTAATTAACCTCTTGTGAACCTGATTTTCCCAGGTGCAAAATAAGAATAATGATATTTACTCTTACATGAACATGGTCAGTTCAGTAATTAAATAAAATATTGTAAGTTCCTAGCTGCCTTAGTCTGTTTGTGTTGCTATAAAGGAATACCCAAGGCTGAGTATTTAAAAAGAAAAAAAATTTATTTGGCTTATGATTCTGATGGCTGAAAAGTTCAAGATTGGGCATCTGTGTCTGATGAAAGCCTCAGGCTGTACATGCCATCTCCCCTTCGCCTTCCACCATGAGTGCACCTGCATCTCCCCTTCACCCTCCACCATGAGTACACCTGCATCTCCCCTTCACCTTCCACCATGAATACACCTGCAACTTCCCTTCACCTTCCACCATGAATGCACCAACCACCTTCCCTTCACCCTCCACCATGAGTGCACCTGCATCTCCCCTTCACCTTCCACCATGAGTGCACCTGCATCTCCCCTTACCTTCCACCGTGAGTACACCTGTCAACTCCCCTTCACCCTCCACCATGAGTGCACATGTCATCTCCCCTTCACCTTCCACCATGAGTGCATCTGCATCTGCCCTTCACCTTCCACCATGAGTGTACCTGCATCTCCCCTTCGCCTTCCACCATGAGCGCACCTGCCATCTCCCATCTCCCTTTTACCTTCTACTCATGGAGATGGCAAATGCAGAGATCACATAGTGAGAGAAGAAGCAAGACAGGGGAGGTGCCAGATCTTTTTCACAACCAGCTCTTGTGGGAACTAATAGAGTGAGAACTCACTTACCCTCAGGGAGGGTGCTAATCTATTCATGAGGGATCTACCCCCCATGACCCAAACACTTCCCATTAGGCCCCACCTCTAACATTGGGATCAAATTTCAACAAGAGGTTTGGAGGGGACAAACATCTAAGCCATGGCACAAGTACATTGCCTGAAACATTTTTAGGGAGACTATGCATTCTGGTTTATCTGGGACAGTCTTGGTTTATATCTTCCAATCCCAAAAGTGTCCTGATTGGAAGATAAATAATACACATTGAAAATACTCCATGTAATTAATGTTAATCCCTTTTTTGGTTTTCAAGTCCTTGGAAACAGTAAGCAACAGCCCTTCCTCTCTTTCCAAATGTATTTATTTTATTTTATTTTATTATTATTTAAGTTTTAGGGTACATGTGCACAATGTGCAGGTTAGTTACATATGTATACATGTGCCATACTGGTGTGCTGCACCCATTAACTCGTCATTTAGCATTAGGTATATCTCCTAATGCTATCCCTCCCCCCTCCCCCCACCCCACAACAGGCCCCAGAGTGTGATGTTCCCCTTCCTGTGTCCATGTGTTCTCATTGTTCAATTCCCACCTATGAGTGAGAATATGCGGTGTTTGGTTTTTTGTTCTTGCGATAGTTTACTGAGAATGATGATTTCCAATTTCATCCATGTCCCTACAAAGGACATGAACTCATCATTTTTTATGGCTGCATAGTTTTCCATGGTGTATATGTGCCACATTTTCTTAATCCAGTCTATCATTGTTGGACATTTGGGTTGGTTCCAAGTCTTTGCTATTGTGAATAGTGCTGCAATAAACATACGTGTGCATGTGTCTTTATAGCAGCATGATTTATAGTCCTTTGGGTATATACCCAGTAATGGGATGGCTGGGTCAAATGGTATTTCTAGTTCTAGATCCCTGAGGAATTGCCACACTGACTTCCACAATGGTTGAACTAGTTTACAGTCCCACCAACAGTGTAAAAGTGTTCCTATTTCTCCACATCCTCTCCAGCACCTGTTGTTTCCTGACTTTTTAATGATTGCCATTCTAACTGGTGTGAGATGGTATCTCATTGTGGTTTTGATTTGCATTTCTCTTACGGCCAGTGATGGTGAGCATTTTTTCATGTGTTTTTTGGCTGCATAAATGTCTTCTTTTGAGAAGTGTCTGTTCATGTCTTTCGCCCACTTTTTGATAGGGTTGTTTGTTTTTTTCTTGTAAATTTGTTTGAGTTCATTGTAGATTCTGGATATTAGCCCTTTGTCAGATGAGTAGGTTGCAAAAATTTTCTCCCATTTTGTAGGTTGCCTGTTCATTCTGATGGTAGTTTCTTTTGCTGTGCAGAAGCTCTTTAGTTTAATTAGATCCCATTTGTCAATTTTGGCTTTTGTTGCCATTGCTTTTGGTGTTTTAGACATGAAGTCCTTGCCCACGCCTATGTCCTGAATGGTAATGCCTAGGTTTTCTTCTAGGGTTTTTATGGTTTTAGGTCTAACATTTAAGTCTTTAATCCATCTTGAATTAATTTTTGTATAAGGTGTAAGGAAGGGATCCAGTTTCAGCTTTCTCCATATGGCTAGCCAGTTTTCCCAGCACCATTTATTAAATAGGGAATCCTTTCCCCATTGCTTGTTTTTCTCAGGTTTGTCAAAGGTCAGATATTTGTAGATATGCGGCATTATTTCTGAGGGCTCTGTTCTGTTCCATTGATCTATATCTCTGTTTTGGTACCAGTACCATGCTGTTTTGGTTACTGTAGCCTTGTAGTATAGTTTGAAGTCAGGTAGCGTGATGCCTCCAGCTTTGTTCTTTTGGCTTAGGATTGACTTGGCGATGCGGGCTCTTTTTTGGTTCCATATGAACTTTAAAGTAGTTTTTTCCAATTCTGTGAAGAAAGTCATTGGTAGCTTGATGGGGATGGCAATGAATCTATAAATTACCTTGGGCAGTATGGCCATTTTCATGATATTGATTCTTCCTACCCATGAGCATGGAATGTTCTTCCATTTGTTTGTACCTCTTTTATTTCATTGAGCAGTGGTTTGTAGTTCTCCTTGAAGAGGTCCTTCACGTCCCTTGTAAGTTGGATTCCTAGGTATTTTTTCTCTTTGAAGCAATTGTGAATGGGAGTTCACTCATGATTTGGCTCTCTGTTTGTCTGTTATTGGTATATAAGAATGCTTGTGATTTTTGTACATTAATTTTGTATCCTGAGACTTTGCTGAAGTTGCTTATCAGCTTAAGGAGATTTTGGGCTGAGACAATGGGGTTTTCTAGATTTACAATCATGTCATCTGCAAACAGGGACAATTTGACTCCCTCTTTTCCTGCTTGAATACCCTTTATTTCCTTCTCCTGCCTAATTGCCCTGGCCAGAACTTCCAACACTATGTTGAATAGGAGTGGTGAGAGAGGGCCTCCCTGTCTTGTGCCAGTTTTCAAAGGGAATGCTTCCAGTTTTTGCCCATTCAGTATGATATTGGCTGTGGGTTTGTTATAGATAGCTCTTATTATTTTGAGATACGTCCCATCAATACCTAATTTATTGAGAGTTTTTAGCATGAAGTGTTGTTGAATTTTGTCAAAGGCCTTTTCTGCATCTATTGAGATAGTCCTGTGGTTTTTGTCTTTGGTTCTGTTTATATGCTGGATTACATTTATTGATTTGCATATATTAAACTAGCCTTGCATCCCAGGGATGAAGCCCACTTGATCATGGTGGATAAGCTTTTTGATGTGCTGCTGGATTCGGTTTGCCAGTATTTTATTGAGGATTTTTGCATCAATGTTCATCAAGGATATTGGTCTAAAATTCTCTTTTTTGGTTGTGTCTCTGCCCGGCTTTGGTATCAGGATGATGCTGGCCTCATAAAATGAGTTAGGGAGGATTCCCTCTTTTTCTATTGATTGGAATAGTTTCAGAGGGAATGGTACCAGTTCCTCCTTGTACCTCTGGTGGAATTCGGCTGTGAATCCATCTGGTCCTGGACTCTTTTTGGTTGGTAAGCTATTGATTATTGCCACAATTTCAGAGCCCGTTATTGGTCTATTCAGAGATTCGACTTCTTCCTGGTTTAGTCTTGGGAGGGTGTATGTGTCGAGGAATTTATCCATTTCTTCTAGATTTTCTAGTTTATTTGCGTAGAGGTGTTTGTAGTATTCTCTGATGGTAATTTGTATTTCTGTGGGATCAGTGGTGATATCCCCTTTATAATTTTTTATTGCATCTCTTTAATTCTTCTCTCTTTTTTTCTTTATTAGTCTTGCTAGCAGTCTATCAATTTTGTTGATCCTTTCAAAAAACCAGCTCCTGGATTCATTAATTTTTTGAAGGGTTTTTTGTGTCTCTATTTCCTTCAGTTCTGCTCTGATTTTAGTTATTTCTTGCCTTCTGCTAGCTTTTGAATGTGTTTGCTCTCACTTTTCTAGTTCTTCTAATTGTGATGTTAGGGTGTCAATTTTGGATCTTTCCTGCTTTCTCTTGTGGGCATTTAGTGCTACAAATTTCCCTCTACACACTGCTTTGAATGTGTCCCAGAGATTCTGGTATGTTGTGTCTTTGTTCTCGTTGGTTTCAAAGAACATCTTTATTTCTGCCTTCATTTCGTTATGTACCCAGTAGTCATTCAGGAGCAGATTGTTCAGTTTCCATGTAGTTGAGCGATTTTGAGTGAGTTTCTTAATCCTGAGTTCTAGTTTGATTGCACTGTGGTCTGAGAGACAGTTTGTTATAATTTCTGTTCTTTTACATTTGCTGAGGAGAGCTTTACTTCCAAGTATGTGGTCAATTTTGGAATAGGTGTGGTGTGGTGCTGAAAAAAATGTATATTCTGTTGATTTGGGGTGGAGAGTTCTGTAGATGTCTATTAGGTCCGCTTGGTGCAGAGCTGAATTCAATTCCTGGGTATCCGTGTTAACTTTCTGTTTCATTGATCTGTCTAATGTTGACAGTGGGGTGTTAAAGTCTCCCATTATTATTGTGTGGGAGTCTAAGTCTCTTTGTAGGTCACTCAGGACTTGCTTTATGAATCTGGGTGCTCCTGTATTGGGTGCATATATATTTAGGATAGTTAGCTCTTCTTGTTGAATTGATCCCTTTACCATTATGTAATGGCCTCCTTTGTCTCTTTTGATTTTTGTTGGTTTAAAGTCTGTTTTATCAGGGACTAGGATTGCAACCCCTGCCTTTTTTTGTTTTCCATTTTCTTGGTAGATCTTCCTCCATCCTTTTATTTTGAGCCTATGTGTGTCTCTGCACGTGAGATGGGTTTCCTGAATACAGCACACTGATGGGTCTTGACTCTTTATCCAATTTGCCAGTCTGTGTCTTTTTATTGGAGCATTTAGTCCATTTACATTTAAAGTTAATATTGTTATGTGTGAATTTGATCCTGTGGTTATGATGTTAGCTGGTGATTTTGCTCATTAGTTGATGCAGTTTCTTCCCAGCCTCGATGGTCTTTACACTTTGGCATGATTTTTGCAGTGGCTGGTACTGGTTGTTCCTTTCCATGTTTAGTGCTTCCTTCAGGAGCTCTTTTAGGGCAGGCCTGGTGGTGACAAAATCTCTCAGCATTTGCCTGTCTGTAAAGTATTTTATTTCTCCTTCACTTATGAAGCTTAATTTGGCTGGATATGAAATTCTGGGTTGAAAATTCTTTTCTTTAAGAATGTCGAATATTGGCCCCCACTCTTCTGGCTTGTAGAGTTTCTGCCGAGAGATCAGCTGTTAGTCTGATGGGCTTCCCTTTGTGGGTAACCCGACCTTTCTCTCTGGCTGCCCTTAACATTTTTTCCTCATTTCAACTTTGGTGAATCTGACAATTATGTGTCTTGGAGTTGTTCTTCTCAAGGAGTATCTTTGTGGCATTCTCTGTATTTCCTGAATCTGAATGTTGGCCTGCCTTGCTACATTGGGGAAGTTCTCCTGGATAATATCCTGCAGAGTGTTTTCCAACTTGGTTCCATTCTCTCCGTCACTTTCAGGTACACCAATCAGACGTAGATTTGGTCTTTTCACATAGTCCCATATTTCTTGGAGGCTTTGTTTGTTTCTTTTTATTCTTTTTTGTCTAAACTTCCCTTCTCGCTTCATTTCATTCATTTCATCTTCCATCACTGATACCCTTTCTTCCATTTGATCGCATTGGCTCCTGAGGCTTCTGCATTCTTCATGTAGTTCTCAAGCCTTGGCTTTCAGCTCCATCAGCTCCTTTAAGCACTTCTCTGTATTGGTTATTCTAGTTATACATTCGTCTAAATTTTTTTCAAAGTTTTTAACTTCTTTGCCTTTGGTTTGAATTTCCTCCTGTAGCTTGGAGTAGTTTGATCGTCTGAAGGCTTCTTCTCTCAACTCGTCAAAGTCATTCTCCATCCAGCTTTGTTCCATTGCTGGTGAGGAACTGCGTTCCTTTGGAGGAGGAGAGGTGCTCTGCTTTTTAGAGTTTCCATTTTTTCTGCTCTGTTTTTTCCCCATCTTTGTGGTTTTATCTACTTTTGGTCTTTGATGATGGTGATGTACAGATGGGTTTTTGGTGTGGATGTCCTTTCTGTTTGTTAGTTTTCTTTCTAACAGACAGGACCCTCAGCTGCAGGTCTGTTGGAGTTTGCTAGAGGTCCACTCCAGACCCTGTTTGCCTGGGTATCAGCAGCAGTAGCTGCAGAAGAGCAGATTTTCGTGAACCGCAAATGCTGCTGTCTGGTCGTTCCTCTGGAAGTTTTGTCTAAGAGGAGTACCCAGCTGTGTGACGTGTCAGTCTGCCCCTACTGGGGGGTGCCTCCCAGTTAGGCTGTTTGGGGGTCAGGGGTCAGGGACCCACTTGAGGAGGCAGTCTGCCCGTTCTCAGATCTCCAGCTGCGTGCTGGGAGAACCACTGCTCTCTTCAAAGCTGTCAGACAGGGACATTTAAGTCTACAGAGGTTACTGCTGTCTTTTTGTTTGTCTGTGCCCTGCCCCCAGAGGTGGAGCCTACAGAGGCAGGCAGGCCTCCTTGAGCTGTGGTGGGCTCCACCCAGTTCGAGCTTCCTGGCTGCTTTGTTTACCTATGCCAGCCTGGGCAATGGCGGGCGCCCCTCCCCTAGCTTCGCTGCGGCCTTGCAGTTTGATCTCAGACTGCTGTGCTAGCAATCAGCAAGACTCCATGGGCGTAGGACCCTCCGAGCCAGGTGTGGGATATAATCTCCTGGTGCACTGTTTTTTTAAGCCCATGGGAACAGCGCAGTATTAGGGTGGGAGTGACCCGATTTTCCAGGGGCCGTCTGTCACCCCTTTCTTTGACTAGGTAAGGGAACTCCCTGACCCCTTGGGCATCCCGAGTGAGGCAATGCCTCGCCCTGCTTCGGCTTGTGCACGGTGAGCTGCACCCACTGTCCTGCGCCCACTGTCTGGCACTCCCTAGTGAGATGAACCCAGTACCTCAGATGGAAGTGCAGAAATCACCCTTCTTCTGCGTCGCTTATGCTGGGAGCTGTAGACCAGAGCTGTTCCTATTCGGCCATCTTGGCTTGACCTCCCCATTTCCAAATGTATTTCATACCCTATCTATGCAGTGAAAGGTTTACACATTTCTCCATGCTATAAGCTTGGAGTACCTAATCCAGTGGATTGAATAACTACAGGATTCTTGCTCAAATTTCATTAAGCTCTAGAACCAGAATAAGCTGAGGAGTTCAGAATTGTTAAGAGTATAATGGGACAAAAAGTGTTAATGACAAAGAGCAAAAAAGTTGCTGAAGACATATGATGAAAACTTGTGTTGAGTACTTAGTATGTGCCAGGTATTTTCTGAGTCCTTCATGTATAGTAACTCATTTAATCTGAATAGACGAGGAAACTGAGGTTGAAGAATTAGTAAGTGCTATGAACCAAGGCAAACTGACCCCAGACTCTATTAATTACCATTTTCTATTGCCAAAGAGTCTGCTATGAGGTAACAGGATTGAGTTTTAAAAACAATTAGTTCAAAACACCATGCTCAGATGAATGTTGTCTCTTCAGGAGAGACAACAAAGTCCTTCAAAGTAGCTTGTTGGAAGGCTGTCTGTGGGTTTTCACTATGTGGACTTTGCTGAGCATAACTAGAATCATCTTTGGGAATTTCCATCACAATCTTGGCATAAGCCCTCAAATATCTTCATATGTTTTTAATCGTTTAAGGTGGATGTAATTTTTCTAAAAGAGTCAAAAGTTGCTTAGAAATTGGGTGCAGTGGCTCATGCCTGTAATCCCAGCACTTTGGGAGGCTAAGGCAGGCGGGTCATGAGGTCAGGAGTTGGAGACCAGCCTGGCCAACATAGTGAAACCCTGTCTCTACTAAAAATACAAAAATTAGTCGGGCATGGTGGCGCATGCCTGTAGTCCCAGCTACTTGGGAGGCTAAGGCAGGAGAGTCACTTGAACCCAGGAGGTGGAGGTTGTGGTGAGCCGAGATTGTGCCACTGCACTCTAGCCTGGGTGACAGAGTGAGACTGTCTCAAAAAAAAAAAAAAAAAAAAAAAGAAAAGAAAAAGAAATGCAAATTAAAACCATAACAAGATCCACTACAAACACACTAGAATGGCTAAATTATACCAAGTATTGATGAGGATGTGCAGCTACCGAATCACTCATACATTACTGATTGGAATGCAGAATGGGCCAGGCTCTTTGGAAAACACTTTGACAGTTTCTTATTTAATTAAGTATACACTTGCCATATGACAGAAAAGGAAAATAAAAAAAGCATGTCCACACAAATGCCTGTATATGTTTATAGTAGCTTTACTGATAATAGCTTCAAACAGGAAATAACCCAAGTGTCCATCAACAGGTAAGAAAATAAATAATTTTTGATATATTCATACACTGGAATACTACTCAGCAATAAAAAGGAATGAATGACTTGTACATGCAACAACATGGATATGTCTCAAAAGTATTTGCCGAGTGAAGGAAGCCAGACACAGAAAGCTTCAAATTATCTCATTTGATCTTTCCCCACACTGTTATCATCCTTATTTTAAAGGTGAAGAAACTGAGCATAGAGCAGTTAAGTTTAAGTCACATAGGCAGTAAGTTTTATAGAGCCCGACATTGAAGGGTGTGTTCTTAGTCGTTGTGTTACTCTGAAGGCTTCTGCCAACCACAGCCCCTGTGATAAACACTCAGACACTTTCCCAACCAGCCCTGAGACACTTGGGCCGGTTGTAACAGAAATGGAATCAGCTGTCAGAAGGGTGTGACAACACCCCCAAAGTGTAGTGCCACTCTGATAAAGCCCATGCCAATTGCTAGGGACGCAGCCTGCCCTGCAGCTCAGCTCACCCAGGTTATACATCTCCACTTCTAAAAAATAAATTAGGCAGGTAATAAGGATTATCTCTTTTAAAATTTGAGTTCCCATTGAAAAGACAATTGGATACGAGTGGAGGCTTGGGTTCGAATCATTGTTGTCCTCCTGCCTCCAAGAAGCTTTCAATTCCAACGCCCCCAGGCCCAGGCCAGGTACCCTTCCCCATGACACCACAGTGTCCCACACTTGTCTCTGTCTCAACTTGTCTTTGACCTAGTGCTTCTTTATGTGTCTATTTTCCCCACAAGAGCATGAGTGGCTTGGTGGCAAAGAGGGCTCTTACCCCAGTGCCTGGCACATCACAAATGCTCAAGAAGTGTTTACAAAATAAAAGGAATTAATATTTACTTACTATGTAAATTGGCCACCCAGTTAATAAACAGACATTTATTGATTATTTATGATTGGGCAGTTCCGTGGAGGATACATGTAAGAAACTGTTCTTGTTCATGGAATTTACTCACAAATTTTATTATTAAGAAATAAAAACAAGTATGTGAGGCAGAGCATATAACAGGTACTAAAAGAGTGGCCCCGACAGTAAGTTCTGGCAAAGGAGGGAGGGACCATGCAGGTTGAGGGATCCAGGAGGTTTCTGATCTGTACATGTCTGTGTCCCAGGTACTTAGGGTGGGACATGGAAGTAATTGGGGGAGTAGTTTTGTCATTTCCATGGCTGGAAGAAGTCACCTCTAAGTAGAAGAAGGGAAGCTTGTGAGCATCTTCAGTTTCACTGAGCTCCCATAATAGTAGAAATTGCAAGTTCAGGACTCTGGTCAGACCACATGGGGAGTTTTATATCTTTGCCCAGGAAGATTTACAAATGCATGCAGTTTCAAAGTAGAGTGACCATGTATTAACCAGGGAAGCCCAGGCTGGGGTATCTGCCTACTCCTGTGGCCACCGATTATCCTCCAGCATTCCTCGTCCTGCATATAAGCCCCTCCCCTTCTCCTGGAGAGATAACCCAAAGTCCCCTCTAGTTACTGAATCTAGACCCAAGGCCAGCACCTTTGGGTGATGGACAGTCCTTGCCACATGTCTGGATATGATTATGTTGGGGCTGATAACAAGTCACCTCTTCTCCCCACTTTCACACACACTGGCAGTGTATAGAGATGAGCAGGACAAGGCAAGCAGAATAGTGACTTCTATGAGTGGCAAGGAGAATTGGCAGAACATGGCAGTCCTGGGTCTCTGGCAATGATGAATCCTGCTCAGCTGGCCTGGACAAGAGCCCCTGCCCCTGTCCTGAAGGAATTTCCCTGACTAGACCTTGATTTTTCTCCAAGGGAAGAGCCCTTTGTCCATTGACCTCCATGGCCCCTGACTTTACTTTGTAAGATGCTCCTCTGCATTCATTATCCTTCACACCCCCTCTGCCGTGGGCATGGCGGTGTGTGCATACTTTGGGTGCTGTCCAACTTTCATAGCTTTTTTTTTTTTCTGCTCATGCAAGTGTAGAGACCTGGAGTCATTTTAGGATTCATACAGTCAGTGGCCTTTCTAACTGTATAATTCTCTCAAAAATTTCTGGCCTGTTTACTTCTAGTCAACCTCCCATGCTCAGAATCACATCCAAACTTCTATGCTGGACATAGTTCTCAGAACTGGGTTCACGCCTCTCTTTTGCAAGTTGGTAGAGGCTACACTGAGGACATCTCAAACAACAGGCTGGAGCAGGATGGCAGAAGCCTCATCTCCTGCTTGTTCTGGCTCAGGAGCAATTTACTTTTCGAATGAGGTAAACTCTCTAACTTCTGGGCGTGTTCTCTTCCCTTTCATTCCTACTCTTGAATGCCAGAGCTCATATCTCTTATTACTTATATATATGAAACCCATCTTTCTGGCTCTTGTTCAGATTCTTTCCTTACAGCTGGACATTCTGTAAGTACTTTGTTGGCTTCCATGTTAGAGAATGTGACAGGTCTATCATAGATTTTGCAACTGCTTGACATGGATCTCCTTCTTTCCTGCCTCCAGTGTCTTTCTCTGCTGCTCATCACCAGACTCCTAAGCCAGTGCCACATATTTTAGATTTTTGAACCTACTTCAAAATGTCAAGCACAACGGAAGTTTATTTTTGCTTAAGTAACAGTGCAATTTTGATTTACTGACCACTGGGCAGCTCTTTTCTACATAGTGACTCAAGTATCCAGCTTCCTTCCCTCTTGAGAGTCTATGAAACCCTTGACCTTGGGTTATAAACTATACCAACTGGTATCAGAGGACAGAAGGCATGTTGGAGAGGAAGCATATCTTTTATCTTAAAAATCTACAAGTGGAATACATCAACATCCTCTCACATTTCATCAGATAAAAATTCCATATGGCCATACCTAATTACAAAGACTGGGAAATGTAATCAGCCATGTGCCTAAAAAGAAGACAGGGAAGGGGATTTGGGTGAATAGCTAGTGATTTCTGCCACAGGAAATGGTTGGGCCACATAGGAAGTTTCGTATTCTGGTCTGGTTGGGTCTTTTTGCAAGGGGGCATTGTGTGTACATGATACAAACAAGAGCATGTCCAGAGACATGTCTGGGACCAGAATACCATCAAGGTCATTGTGATTGAGCTTCCCATCTGGAATGGACTTCCTAAAGGGCTCCAAAGTTTATTATGCAAGCTTATTAAAACTTGCTGCTCATAGCTATGCCTTGCCCAAGATACTGTAGCGAATGCTGATTTTATGGGTCCTTTTCTTTCTTCCCTTTGGGTAATCCTGTTCTGATCCAAATGAGTAAGCTCCCAGCACTTGACACATGTTTTTTGTCCCCAGTTGTGGTCTGTATGCTCCTATTTAGCTCAGGCTGGCTTATTTCATTTTTAAAAAGTCTCATGCAAAATCTCTTGGAGACAGGACATTTTAAAATATAATATTGGGGGAGTTTGGAATCAAAGGCTTTATAACAATGATAATATCTACTATTTACTGACTGCTTACTATATGCCAGGCATTGAATAGACATCTAACTTAATACTTGAAATAATCTCATAAGGTAGATAAGCAATTAGATGAATGGTTGAAACAAAATAGAAAATATAAGTCTATCTGGCAACTGTTTTTAAATAACTAAAGGACTATCATGTGGGAGTGAGATAAATATTTATTCTGCATTGTGTCTCAAAACAAAACTGGGACCTCAGACATTATAAGCCACTGGCAGACTTAGGCTTAATGTAAGGAAGAACTTTCTAACAGTTACAGCTGACTGAACTGGTCCAGGCTAACACACAAGATACTAATCTCATTGCCTTCAAGAGTAAAAGATCCCATTTTGATACTTGGAGGGTGGAAGTTGAGGAAACTCAGCCATCTGTTCATCCATCTCTTCATCGATCTGTCAATCCATCCATCTACCTGTTTCTGTTTGCATGCATTCACCAGTTATTTATTAAGGCCCAGGAACTGTGCAGGGTGTTAGTTGGGGAAGTCCATCCCTGAGATCCTATGAGTCTCTGACTCTCGGCCTGTAATATGGCCCTCAACACGGGGATTCCCTGTCACAATCTTCAAAGTACATAATCTAGAAGTCTATTGTGAGCTATCTTCTTAAAGAAAGTCACAATTTAAGGCTCATCTGACTTAGAAAAAGTAAGTTCTGTTAACCAGTATACTTCATCCACTTGCAATAACTTGGAAAACAGTAATCTAAACAAAATCAGAAAAGCAAATTGTTTTTTTTTTGTTTTTTTGTTTGTTTGTTTTAAACTTAAAGAAAAATTTATTCTTAGAATTTGGGAATGTTTGTTCCATATAGATTGTTTAATTAAAATTTATTTGTTTCTTGATTCTGTTACAGATTGTTTAATTAAAATTTGTTTCTTGATTCTGTTACATATATGGAGAAACCATGTGAAAAGGGATGCTAGGATCTGAGTAAAAGACAAGGGTTTATAGTAAAAACTAATCTTTTATATAACTTTTGGGACCACCTTGAACCCTACTGAAGTGTTATATTTTTTTCAACAATTCTAAATTTCATAAAGAATGTCAGGCCAGGCACAGTGGCTCACGCCTGTAATCCCAGCACTTTGGGAGGCTGAGGTGGGTAGATCACCTGAGGTCTGGAGTTCGAGACCAGCCTGACCAACATGGTGAAACCCTGTCTCTACTAAAAATACAAAAAATTAGCTGGGCATGGTGGCGCACACCTGTAATCTCAGCTACTTGGGAGGCTGAGGCAGGAGAATCACTTGAACCTGGGAGGCAGAGGTTGCAGTGAGCTGAGATTGTGCCATTGCACTCCAGGTTGGGCAACGAGAACGAAACTCCATCTCAAAAAAATAAAATAAATGCCAGTTTTTCTGTGTGTATTATGTTTAATATGCATTGCATTTTAAAATATTTTTTTAATTGTACAGGTAACACACACTGATTGATAAAATATCTTGCAATCTGTAAGACACACAGGCATAATCTTTCACATCATAATCTCCTCTCCAAAGGAGCTACTTGAAAAGTTTAGTTACATCTTTTTCTCCTAAAACTTTTTTAGAAAAAGTAAACAGCTTTACTAAAAAGCCATTTTTAGTATAGATCTATCATGTGATTTATAAACAATTTAAAAAATTCATCCATTACATTTTCAGGCTTTAGCATAATTTTCAATTCCTCAAAAACATGTCAATGTGATTTTATCTATGTCTCATTTACTTTTCTGTAAGTAGATATAACTTTTCAGAAAGATAGTCAATCCCCCAATTTTTATGTCATTCTTCAAAAGCATCAACCTTCTCAAGACAATGTATATTGCATATTTTACCAAACAACCTTTCAATTTCAGCATGTGGAACATAAAATGGTGGACCTGGATGTTTAGTTGGATCGTAAGAAAGACACACAGGAGATATTGAAACTTCTTTCCCAGGAGGGATAACATTATATCCGCATAGCATTTGCGATCACCTGGATTAATGGCAACTAATGCTCCTCTATCCCAAATCATGTCAAATGTGCCAATATTTGTCCTGGGAAGATCAAAAATACTGCAACAGTATGATGAAATGTTCCCCGAAGAACTCTTAAATGCTTTGGTTCCAGGAATTTCGGTGATTGGTTCTTCTGAGTAAGATAGATTCTGCTCTGTAAAAAATTCTCGTATCCCAAGTTCACTGATTTCCACACCAACTACGCTGTGTCCCCGGTCTGCAAACCATTTCATCTCAACCTCTTTTCTGCAAAGAGGAAAAAATACCCTCAGTCCACTCTCTCCTTTAAGAAAAGTATCTAAATGTTTCTTTAATAGCTGAGGTCCTTGTTCCTGATGAAAAGCAGTGTTGCCGTTCACCCACTTGTCTTGCCATTCTTCCAGAGTTAGTACTTGGTTTTTCTGTACCTCAGTATTGGAGTACTCTTCAATGTCAAGTGAAGTTCTTGTACCATCCATAGTTTCATAGACACCTTTTTCTCACAAGCATATGTCTTCCATGCCTCGCTTACAGAGGGTTGCTGGCCATTGCCTCCGCCACTAGTGTCATCCCAAGCAAATTGTTTTTAAGGGCATTAATGGGACTAAAGATGATATCAAGTGGAGGTCCTCAGGGATCTGATTTAATAAATTTATAAAGTTCTTTGTAGCACTTCCTCACAATGGCCAATGCTGATTTATATATGGATGTCCCTGATAGGGGTGAGCACAGAGCAGATTCACAAACAGGCTTAGACAGCTCCAGTCCTATCTGTAGGATTTCCCTCATTCAGGAAACCAAGATTCTACAACAGTTTCTTTTTTGCCATGTCCTTGTACACTTGGGAGTGCCATGCATCCCTTCTGACCTGTTTCTCATCTGCAGTGTAAGGGGACTGAGGGAAAGGATCTCTAGAGACCTTTCCAGTTTGAGCAGTCCATGATCTTATGATTCTTTTTATTCATTCAGCAAATCCTGAAAACTATGGTTTATTCTGGGTCATAGTTTCTAGCTTTGGGGAGGTCTATAATCACATAAGCATATTATCTTAGAGACAGTCCCCTGAGAAGGATGATGTGCATTTTGAGGAAATGCATTGGAAGAAGCCAGTCTTTGGTCAAAGGTTTGCCTTGGGGGTCAGGCCATGGCTGGCCACCTCAGTCAGATTTAATGCCCCAAATGGACGTGCCTTAGACAACTTCTGTCTTTTTCAGCAAATGGCATTGCATGGAGAAGAGCAGAAATGGAAGATGCTCATGAGAACTTGAAAGAGATGCCATGAAAAAGCTGAACACATGGACAAGAAGAAAGGCTGAGACAGAAAGATGGGCTCTGGTTACTTCTTCTCTACCCCCTAGGAGCCTTCACTCTGGCTGTATAACAATCACACTATTTTTTAATTTGTTCTCCCAAAAGATCCACTGTCTGAGAGGAAATCTACAGCCCCATGTCCACTGGAGCGTCGCGTGTACATGATTCAATTAACCTTTAAGGTGGCTCGGGAAGTTTGTGCAATAGGAGAGCCATGCCTTAATTGGCAGCCTGACACAGACAATAAAGTTTGATCAGATGTAGAGGGCATCAGAGACATCATTAGCATCCTCTACTGAAGACTACGTGGGGTGTAAAAGTTGTTTAATTTCTGCTGGAGAAGTAAGGGAAGAGGAAACCTGGTTCACATTTCCTGCATGTTTTGTTTAGTAAAGATCACCTTTCCCTACTACAAATATCAAGCAGGCCCAGTATTTTGGTGTGTGTACAGCTTCCAACCTAGCTTTTACTGCTCTACAATCCACCAAATGATCATTTCTCTGTTATTAAAACTTTGCATTTCACAAGAGCTGTTTTGGAAAAACAAACATAAATAGAGGCAGATGGGGTGATTCCTTCTCAAGAGTTTCAAATGGAAGAAATGGATGGGGCAGAGGGTAAGTGAGACAGTGTGCTAGAGAAAGCCTGGAGGAGGGTGGCTGTGTGTGTGTGTGTGTCTGTGTGTGTGTTTTAACTTTCACAAGAGTAGCAGTTGGGGAGAGGGACTCTGGAAACCATGGAAATGAGTACAAGGTCAATGTCTGGATACTCTCTTATTATTCAGAAGAGTTATAAATCTTAGCCCTTCCAGGAAGTCTTGCCCAAATGAGAAGGGAAGAGAAGGGAAAACTAACATTTACAGAATGCCTTTTGTGTGCTAGGCACAGCCCAGATGCTCTCCCTGCTTCTCACAGGCAGCCCTAGGAATGAAGTTTTATTATGCTGCTTTTCTAGATGAGGAAATTGAGACAGAAAGTTTGCAAAAGTTGTTGAGAGGGCCAGCCAGTAGGTAACAGGGCATGAATTCCATTTCAACTCTGCCTTTCTCCCCTACCCCATTAGAAGGAAAAGTAATAGACTTCTTCAAATAGAATCTGACAAAAAATCTTCTCTCTACTAAGTGGATCATCTTCCCATTTTCCTGCAACAGATAAAAAATGCCTACCAACTGAATTTATTTACTAACTGATGTGCATTTAAAAGAGCTTTGAAATGTGCAATACTAAAAATGAGCAATTAATTTTCACTTATACAAAGACACTTAAAATTAAATAGAGCTAGACCAATGTAGGTATGATTGTCACTGCTTTGTTGTAAATTCTTTTGAAATCAACAAATTGTCATCAAACATAGAGCAAATGCTCACTCTGAACAAAATACTGAGGATAGTGGGGAAAAAAAAAGAAGTAGAAAAAGACTCGGTGCTTTTGAGGAAAGGAGGCAAGGAAAGAGAACCAAAGGTGGATACTACAAGTACCATGTTTACACCATGCACACACACACACATCCAAACATGCAATGTATACACTCACACACACATATACCACAGAATTACACATTACTCCAGGCACTAGGGATATATGCTAAACCAGATAGACACAATATCTGCACTTACGGAGCTTACAGACTTGAAGGGAAGAGATCCCCTGAATAAGTAATTACAAGTTTGAAGAGGAGGGAGAAGTCGGATCAGGAGGGCCTTATTGAAAGAGGAAGGACTTGGGAACACTTTAGAATCCTGGCTCTGTGTGTCCCTGGGCAACAACTCATTGGCTCCATTTAAGCCTCTAACACCAGGATCGAATTTGATGCTCTCCAAGGCCCTCTCTTGCAGCTCCATTACACACTGTGACTGTGAATGTCATGGGACGCCACTGTCCCAGACAGAAGGTGGGATGAGACAAACTTTATATGTAGAATGCTTTCCCCTGGGGGCCACCGTCCTATATCCTTCCCCTGCTTCACCACCCAGCACCCTTTGCCTGCTGGACCATGGTCCTGGCACTTTGGACAGCTCCCCCAGCACTCCTCTGACCTCATTGTCATCAGTGCGCCTTGGGTCACTTCTCCCCTTCAGTATCCCCTGCTACCCTGGGCCAGGCCTTTGGTGTCCCCCTGACACTTGTGCCAACAGGGCAGAAGGCTGAAGGTACTCTCACCTAATCTTTGACCATTTTAGCTGCAGCCTCTGGAGATAGTGCATTAGTGGAAAATACCCATGCTTGATGGAAAAGATGAGAATTTGAAGGCAGAAGGAGAAAGAACAGCATCAATGCAGGTGTCTGGGAATTTGGGGGAAGGGAGGGCATTGAAGGCTGGACTGGAAGGGAGGGGGACCTTTATCCCACTTTCATGTTAGGCCTCCCTCAGTGTTGAATAGACCCAGGGCAGAAATGGAAAGTTTGAGGGGCGATGTGATACTTAAGCATGGAAAGCTCCCACCCCATCCTTAGATGCATGTCTCTCCTAATTCCTTAATTTCCAGGTTTCATTCAGGCTGTTTCTCCCCTGATTGAAGATATAGGAGTAGTCTGATGAAGCAGTAACTCAGCAGAAATAATGATGATGGTGATGATGGTGATAATAACAATGATAATAACTGAGGAAAGAATCATTTATAGATCTTTTTATTTTCCATTTTTGTTTTTGTTCTGTCTCAGATGAGCATCAGCTAATTGATCTTTCTGGCATCTCTGTGGAGTAGGTAAGAATTAGAATTCCTTTCAAGAAATACCCAGCTTATTAATAACCAAGGAGGGGGTTGATACACTGTTTAACTGACTGGCTTGTCCCATCTGAAGCTTCGAAGCTCAGCTCTGTTCATGGAGCTTTCACGATCACCCATGAGCAAGCAAACAAAAAACGCTTCCAGAATGTTGAGATTGCTCCCAGCTGTTACAACTTCATAGACATTGACATTGGCAGACTAGGATCTTACTAAAGGTTAGTTCTTATTAGCTTTGAGGCCTTGAATATGTCCCTTAGTCTTTCTGGCTTCAGTTTCTCCATCAGTGAAATGGGAATATGAATACTATGTTGTAGGAATATTGTTTGAATCAATAACAAATGTGCAGTTTTGAGTTTTTGACAAGCCCATAAAAAGAACAAAAATAGAACCCAAGGTCTAGAGGAGAATAACAGGTAAAGTACAAGATCCTCAGAAGCTTGGAAAATCTTCAGGGTCTGCCCTACTTAGGAGGCACCTTATTCCAGACTGCCTCACCTCTCTTCTACCCTCATCAAATCTCAGCTGGACAATGCTCCTTTTCTCAAGAACCATCTTTTCTTTCAAATAATATGATTAACTAGTCATGGACTAAGCAATGAATGGCTATAAGCAATGTAAAATATGATATAGTTCTTCTAAGTAACCATTTATGTTTAAACACTGATTTTCCAAGCAGTCCGATTTTTAAAAAAAATTCTATATTTTCATAATGTTAGATACTGTTCTATTTGCATGTGTTAATTTTAATTTTACTTATTCTTACTTTACATAAAGTAAAATGCATTCTTCTTGGTGTATAGTTCTGAGGTTTTACAAATGCCTAGAGTTAGGTAACCACAACAAAGATAGAAAACATGGCTATCACATCTCCAAAATTTTCCTTTGGCGTCAACTGCTTTCCCACCTCCAGGCCCTGGCAACCTCCAGTCTGTTTTTACAGCCTGGTTTTCTCCAGAATGTCATATGAGTGGAATTGTAGAATATGCAGCCTTTTGAGTCTATCTTCCCTCACTTGACAGAGTGCATTTGAGCTTTATTCATGTTGATTCCTGTATTAATAATGTATTCCTCTTTACTGCTGAGTAGTATCCCATTGTATGGATGTTTCACAATTTGTTTATCCATTCATTACTTAAAGGCTTGCTTTTAGGTTTGGGTATTAATTATGAGCAAAGCCATTACAAACATTCACATACATGTTTTTCTGTGAACCAATGTTCCTATTTCTGTTGGATAAATAACTGATTGTTGAGTTGTATGATAAGTGTATGGCTAACTTTATTTTTTTTTAAGCTACCAAACTCTTTATCAGATGGGATATATCATTTTGCATTCTCATAAGCAATGGTTAAGAATTTCAGGAGTTCCACATCTTCACAAGCACTTAGTATTGCAAGTTCCCTTTATTTTAGCATATAATGGGTATATAGCAGTATCACCTTGTAGAGTTGCCCTTTATCAAGTTAAGAAAGTTCTCTTCTTTTGTCAGATGCTTTTCCTACACCTATTGGGATGATCATGTTTTTTTCTTTCATTTATTAATATGGTGAGTTACATTAATTGACTTTCAAATGTTGGCTTAGACTTGCATTCTAGGGATAAATACTACTTATTCATAATGTATTATTATTATCATTCTTTGAGACAGAGTCTCACTCTGTAGCCCAGGCTGGAGTGCAGTGGTGCGATATTGACTTGCTGCAACCTCCATCTCCTGGGTTCAAGTGATTTTCCTGCCTCAGCCTCCTGAGTAGCTGGGATTACAGGTGTGTGTCACCACATCTGGCTAATTTTTGTATTTTTAGTAGAATTTTGGGGTTTCACTATGTTGGCCAGGCTGGTCTTGAACTCCTGAACTCAAGTGATCCACCCGCCTCAACCTCCCAAAGTGCTGGAATTACAGGCGTGAGCCATCGTGCCCAGCCTTATTGCTGGACTTCGATTTGACAAATTTTGTTTAGAATTTTGGTTGTTTGTAGGCATTGGTCTATAGTTTTCTTGTCTTGTAGTGTCTTTGTCTGGTTTTGATATTAGGGTAATGCTGGCCTCTTAGAAATAAAGGAGCCATAGACAATAAGTAAGCGAATGGGCATAGCTATATTCCAGTAAAACTTTATTTATAAAAAGAGGTGATAGGTTGGAGCCCACAGGCTGTAGTTTGCCAACCACTGGCTTAGACTATTGATTTGAGACCCCTTTTTGTTTCTAAACATTTAATGATATACATTTTCCTCTAAGCACTGTCTAGCTGCACTTCACAAATTTTAAAATGTTGTATTTTCATTTCCTCCAGTTTGAAATAATTTCTAATTTTCCTTGACACCTCTGCTTTGACCCATGGGTTACTTTAAAGTGTGTTGTTTAATTTTTAAATATTTGGGGATTTTCCAGATATTTTCCTATGACTAATTTCTGGTTTAATTCCACTATGGTCAAAGAACATACTTTGTAGGATTTCAATTCTTTTAAATTTGTTAAAATTTATTTTACTATCCGAGGAACCATCAATATTGGAGAACGTTTCATGTACACTTGAAAAGAATGTATATTCTGTTATTTTTTTTTAATGAGCTGTTCTATTAATATCAACTAGGTCAAGTTGGTTAACAGAGTTCTTTAGTTCTTCCATATTGTTGATGACTTTCTATTTACTTGCTTGTAGATTACTGAAAGAAATATTAAAGTCTTCAAATATACCTTTGAATTTGTCTGCTTATTTTTAATCTCTGTCAGTTCTTGCTTCATGTATTTTGAAGCTCTGCCGTTAGGTGTACATACATTTAGGATATACATTTTCTTGACAATGGCCCTTTTGTAATTATGTAATATTCCTCTTCATCCCTGGAAATTTTACTATTCTGAAGTCTTTTTTAGTGTGATTCAAATGTAGCCACTCTATCTTTCTTTTGATTAGTATTCATATGGTATAGATTTTCCCATACTTTTATTTTTAACCTATTTATTTTTTTTGTTTAAATTGGTTTCTTTTGGACAGCATTTAGTTGTGTCTTCATTTTTTATCCAATTTGATGATGGCTGTCTTTTAATTCATTTACATTTCATCTAATTATTGAAGTGACTGACTTTAAGTCTACAGTTTATTATTTGTTCTCTCTCTTTGTTTCTTTGTTCCTTTCTTCTGCTTTTTCTACCTCCTTTGAAGTGATTTGAATATCTTTGGCATTCCATTTTGGCTTATCTATTGCCTTTTAGACTGTATCTCTTTGCATTCTTTTTGTTTAGTGTTGTCTTGGGGGTTACTATATTGATATCATTTCACAGTCTGTACAGAGTGAACATATTATAACATCAAATAAAATATAGAACTCTTACAACCACATAGATATTTTTACTTTTTCCACCTTTAACATATGCTTGTCATGTGCTACAGGTGCATATGTTGAAAACCTACCAGGCAATGTTATGCTCTGTGCTTAATAATCATACATATTTTAAATAACCTAAGGGAAATAAAATAATCTATTATATTTACCCAAACATTTTCCATTTCTGTTGCTCTTCCTTCATTTCTGAAGTTCCGTGTTTCCCTCTAGTATTATTTCCCTTCAGCCTGAACAACTTTCTTGTTTTTAAGCATTTCTTTTTGAGTAAGTCTGCTGATAATGAATTCACTTAACAGATTTCCCTTTGTCTGCAAATATATTTATTTCACCATCATTCCTGAAGGATGCTTTCAGTGAGAATTCTGAGTTGACAGTTCTTTTCTTTCGGTACTTTAAATATGTTGTTTCACTGTTTTCTGACTTCCATAGTTTCTAATGGAAATTTGTACTTATTCAAATTCTGCTTCCCCTACATGTAATGTACCATGATTCTGTGGCTGTTTTCAGAATTTTTGTTCTTTATCTCTGGTTTTCCATAGTTTGATTATGATATGTTTGGTGTGGTTATCTTTGATTTTATCCTGTTTGGGGGGTTCACTGAATTTGAATCTATAAATTTATGTCTTTCATCAAATTTGGGCAGTTTTCAAACATTATTTCTTCAAATAGTCTTTTTCTGCTACAATCTTGTTCTACTTCTTTTCTTGTAGGACTCTAATAACACAAATGTCAACAATTTGATAGTGTTCTGGAGGTTCCTGAGGCTTTGTTCATTTTTTTGTCAATTATTTTTCTTTCTGTTCTTCAGATTGGATAATTTCTATTCATTTGTCTTCAAGTTCTCTGATTCCTTCCTCTCTCATCTCTATTTTGCAATTGAACCCACACAGTGGGTTGTTCATTTCAGATATTGTGTTACACAGTCCTAAGATTTTCATTTGGCTTTTAAAAATAGTTTTCTGTATTGATAACTTTTCTCTTTCTATTCTTTCAAGAGCGTGATTATAATAGCTACTTTCAAGTTTCTGTCGGATAGTTCCAACATTTGTGTATCTTGTCATTGGTGTGTGTTAACTATCTTTCCCTTGAGAATTGATCACATTGTCCTGGTTTTCCCTATGTTAAGTAATTCTGGTTTTGGGTTTTTATGGTGTGACTCTGGGTCATGTTAAAAATCCTCTGGAGAACCTTGAGTTTTCTTGTCTTGGCAGTCAATCAAACCAGTTAGGTTCATTCCATAAGTTCTGTCTCACTTTCTGTGGGAGGAAGTGCTGATGTCAGTTTGGTTCTCACATCTGCCTTAGGTCTTCCTCATGTGTGAGCTTCTTGGGGGTTAGTCTGGGACTTGGTGTTGGCCTATATTCAGTTCTGACATTCTTTGTTATCTTGCTTTTGTTTTCTTCTGTACCTGTGCAGCTTATGGTGAAGTCCAAGACTTTTATCAGTTTAGACACATAATTGGTGGCGTTCTTTTATTCAGCTCTCTCTGCTGTGGAGCTTCCACCATATCCTCCTGCTTCCTCCAAGTGGCCACTTTTCCCACCCCTCTGGCTAGAGGGACACAGAATGTCTCAGAGCTTCATCTGCTCCATGATACTACACAGTTCTCTGAAACAAGATGCCCTTGGGGCAAGAAGAGATAAAGGAATGGGATTTTCTTTATGCTTTTTAGAATACAGGACCATAGTCTCCCTGTTCTCCTTACCAGAAGGATTTTCTTTTGGAATTTTAGATACTCAAGCTGCCACCACCTTGCAGTACAGTTCTGAGACAACGGCTGTCCTTAGGGTGAGGGGCCAGGAGAGGAAAAAAAGAAACAAAGGGAATTCTCCCATGCCCTCCAGCTCTCTGGGGCCCTTTTCCTAATCATCTGACCAGAAAGACAGTAGCACCTCTTCCAGAGTTCTGCTGCCTACACTGCAGTACAGCAGCACTGGAAACACCCACAGATCAAAGCCAGTTC